>NC_000010.11:131946019-132294908 GCF_000001405.40 Homo sapiens | reverse complement strand
AGGACAGATCACGATGAAACAAAGCCACCACACGTGGCAGCTGCAGGACCTGTGGCCTGTCTCCGTGGTCAGGACTTCCGGGGAAGGGGACGGAAGTCACTGCAGGGCTCTGGAATACAGAACCCGGGGCTCTGGGGGGAAGAGCTGTCCATGGTGCTGGCCCTGGGTCGGGGGCTGGTGCACTGACCCATGCCTGGATCAGAGGCTGAGCTGTTGGCTGTAGATGGTGCGAGGTCAATGGCTGATAGCTGTGTACACAACTAGCTGGAGCTCCCGAGGGGCTAAGAGTGAGCCATGCATGTTCGTGTCCCGAGAGTGGAGAAGGGCGCCAGGCATCAGATGGCGTTTGGTGTGTGGCTGTTGAGTGAATAAGCAACATGCTTTATTTCCTGTGCTACGAAAGTGTCAGCCCACAGCCCTATTTCTCAGCCCTCCATTTTCAGCAAAACTCAAACTCACTCACTCCCTGCCGTCTGCAGGCCTCCCCTCCAGTTCTCCCAAAACCCGCTGGAGCTGGAATCTGCCCCACCTGCCCCAAAGATGCCTTGGGGCGGGCCCCTCCCTGTGGCTGTGCTCTGTTCCCAGCCTTCCTTGGCCTCGACCTATGGCAGGGTCTGACACTCCTGATCCCCAACCCCCTTCCCCGTGCCTGCTCCATGGCCTCCTTGGCGGATCCTCCTCGTCTCTGACTCTGACTCTGCCGTGCTGGGGCTCTTTCACCTCCCGCTCCACCCACACGCTGGTGATCTCATGGTTCAAATACCACCTATATGGCAGCGACTCCCAATTCCTGTCTCCAGCTGGGACCTGTTTCCCACATTCCAGGCTTTTCCGTCCACCCTCCGACTCGACATTGCCACTCGAGTGTCTCAGTTCCGCAGGTTCAAATGCGAGTCCTGATGCCCCCATGCTGGCCCCGCCTGAAGGCCCCTGCCTGTGCCCACCTCTGAGCTCCCTCGGGGGCCCCTTCCCTCGTGCCTGTGACCGTCAGGTGTTCTCTTGGCTCTACCCTCTGAAGGGCCCCCTGTGCCCTGGCTCCTTCTGCGTCCCCGGAGCAGGCTCTGCCCCAGCTCTGGTAGGGCTTCCTCGGGGCTGTCCCCACCCCCATTCCCCAGGCAGTGGCTGGTGTGGCCCAGTCTGCTGGACCTCCCACCTGCTGGGCTCCTGGCTCTGTTCTTCAGGCCGAGGCTCACCACGTGCCTGGCTGTGTGATCTCCCCACCCCCACTCTGGCCCTGCCTGCCCTGCGTTCCCTCTGCTGTAGCCGGCCTGACTGCTGCTTCTTAAAAGAGCTCTGCCCACGGCACCCTCCGTGTGCCTGGCCGGCTGCCTTGCTCCCCTGGCCCAGTCTGGGTGGCAGACGCTCTGCAGTAACGCCCACCCCAAGCCAGTGGCTAAGGATGACAGGGCCTTCATTCTGCCGCCTGCCCTGTGTCCCCATGAGTCCAAGGGAGGGCTTGGCTCACTGTCACACTGGCCTGTGTGAAGGTGCAGCCACCAGGGGCTGGAGTGGGAGAAGGAGTGTTCTGAGATGTCTTTTGCTGGCGAAGAATTGCCTTCCCTGGCCTGAGAGTGGCTCACAGCTTGCTGGCCAGGACAGTCGCTTGGCCCTGGGCCATCTCAGAGCCAGGAGGGGAGCCCGCCAGGCGCCAGGCCTGGGTGGAGGGACCGTGAGAGTAGCGATGGCCACTCCATCCTCCTCTCAGCCAGGCCCACTCTAAGTCCTGCCCCAGCCCCCTGGCCCCAGGCCTCTCTTGGCTCTTCCCCAGCGCTGCCCTCCCCGCACGCATGCACGCGCTGCACTGACCGCCCCGCACGTGCCGTGCTCCCCGCTTGCTGATGTTTGCCGTTCGCTGCTCACCTCTGGGTCAGCCTCTTGCCCTGCACGTTGCGTGGGGCAGGTTTCATCTCCTTGGCTCAGTCTTGTGTCCTGAGTGACTTGCAGCACTGGAGCAGGTGAGCACCCACCGAGTCAGGAGGAGGACGTCTGCATGGGGAAGGGAGGGGGGAGGGACCAGGGAGGGACCGGCAGCGGGTCGTCGCGGGGCTTGGGTGCCATCTCCAGAGGGTGAGAGGTTGGCAATCTGATGCCCTCCCTCACACCTTTCTTATAGAAGAGCTCCAGGGGATGGTGTCAGCCAGGCCTCTGAGAGTGGCTTCCCAGGGTCTGGTGTCTTTTTTTCGATAATTCCAGGGCCTGCTTTGGGTGGGGGTCTTGCGTTGGGTGCCCCTCAGAGCACCTGGGCTGGCACCGGGAATCTGTGGATTAGCCTGTATGGGTATGAGCACAAGCATGGGAGTGCATGAATATGGAAGCATGTGTGCAAGCATGAATATATGAATGTGTGTGCATGAGCATGTGAGTGTGTGCATGCGTGTGCATGTATGCATGTGTTTATGTGTGCCTGAGCATGTGTGAATGTGTGTGCATGCATGAATTGTTTACGTGTGTATGAGTGTGTGGATGAATCCGTCAGACTGAGTGTGGATGAGTGTGTGACTGGGTGAGAGAGTGTGGGTATCAATATGCATGTGGTGAGTGTGTGAGCATTGAGTGCCCGGATGGAGAGGCCGAGGCCGATACCCAGGCCCTTGGTGGCAGTGAGGGGACCCTGTCTGGCTGACGCATGGTCCTGGGGGTGCTTGTGAGGGCTGGGCTTGGGCTCCTGGGCTCAGAGTGTGCTGCACTGGCTGTCTACTCCTCGTGGAGGTGCTTATGTTGGCACTGGATGTCCAGGGTGGCAGTCTGCCTCCAATGTCCTTGCTCTTCTTGACTTTAGAGAGTAGCTGAAGTGTTGAGGCCCAGTGCTGACTGGGGTCTGAGGCCAGTCCTGGGAGGTGCTCAGTCCCTGTAGGAGCCTTGGGCCCCTGCAGGGGAAGCCTCCAGGTCTAGAGAGGTCAGTGCAACGGTGGGAAGTGAAGGCTGGGCCGTATGTGGACCTCACTGCAATGCTCTTCTTCCCCGCTCCCCACTGGTGTCTGAGAGGGGAGACACACCACCTCTCGCTGTCAGCATCAGGCTTGCCAGGGCAGGAGGTTAGGAATGGCCATCTTGTGCACACAGGTGGACATGGAGGCCATGTGGTCTGTGTCCTTCAGCTCTGCAGCCTGAGGGTCTTCAGTGCAGGACGGCAGGCAGGTCAGAGCTAGGGTGGGGGGGATGGGGTCTCTGGGACCTGAAGGTTCTCTCTCGAGGCCTGTTTCATGAGCCCCATGGCTCTGCTTGAAGCCTGGCATAGCTCAGCCTCAGCGTTCATACAGGAGTCTGGATGCGTGAAGGATGGTACCTGGTGTGATTCTAAACTCAGACTTGCAGAGGGGCACTCTGGAAGGCTCCAGGCCCAACTCCATTGGGCGGGCTGGCATCTCGTGGGCACAGCCCTTCTTCCCACTAGGTGGCCTGGGCTCTGCAGGTGACCGTGCCTCTAGGCTTTCTTTGGCACAGCTTGACCATGGACTTCTTTCTTCCAAGGCCACGAGGAGGTGTCCACAGGGCTCCTGGGTCCTCAGAAAGCAGAGCCTCATCCTCACAAGGATGACATACATCTCAGATCGAGAACATCCAAGGGGACAGGGTCACCCACAGCCAGTGGAGCCTGTCCTTCCTGTGGACCTGTGTGGCCTGTCCAGGGGCCCAGTGCAGTGGATCGCAGGAAACCTGTGCCAAAATGAACTCACATTCCTTTAATTAAGAAACGGCAATGCTCCAGAGAGCGCAAGCCAGCTCAGCCACCGCCGAGCTAATTGGAAGGTTCAGAAAATTTCCATTAATTACATTTGCCCTCCGGTGGTTTCTTCTCTTCTATGTGCAGTGGCTGTGTTGATTTTGTGTTTTCAACATACAAACAGTGAGGTCCCACAGCCATGAGGGCTGTTATCGAATGCAGGAGAGAGCCGGAAGGGAGGCAGGGGAGAGCCAAGGCAGCGGAAGCCGGTGGAAGACTGGCTGTGCCTCTCCTGCCGTGTTTCCCTTGGGTTGCCCTGGATGTGGCCCTGGGTGTGGTGGGTCTGGATGGGTATCCCTGGACATGGTGGCCCTGGGCTTGGTGGGTCTGGGTGTGGTGGCCCTGGTTGGGTGCCCTCGAGCATGGTAGCCCTGGGCATGATGGCCCTGGATGTGGTGGCCTTGGGTATGATGGCCCTGGATGTGGTGGCCCTGTGAACAGCAGTAGAGCCTTGGGCCCTCAGGGCAGCAATGTCCAGCGCCCCAGGGCTGTGGTCAGGGGGATGCCTCAGGACACAGCATGCTGGACACTGGCTTGGTCTTGGCATCTTCCTGGGTAGTCCTGGGGACCTTAGCTTCTTAGGGGTCTCTTGGAATCCATCCTCATAAACGTCAGAACAGTCAGATGATCTGGCCAAGAGGATCTGGCTTTGAGTTTGGAGATGTCACTCTCCTATGAGCGTGCATGCATACACACATGTGCACAGTAATCGCATCCTCTCTAGGTGCTACCTGCTGCAAGAACACGTTTCTGTCTGTTGCTGAGAAAGCCATGTGGGCAGGGGCCGGGTTATGTTCGCTCTGGACTCCATATGGTCTTGCACATGTAAGTGCTCAATAAATGCTTAGATTTAACTTAACTGGGTAGAAAGAGAAAGTGAATGAGTCAATGTGGAAGGGAGCTGGGCACATGGAGGTTGGGCGTTTTGACCATGAGTGTTGCACAAAGCTGTGTCTCCCTTAGGGAGTGTACTGCGGTGTCCAGCGGGGAGGCATGGCCCAGCCCTGCTCTCCTTTCTGGCTGGGTCCCGGGGTTCTTCTTGGGGTCTATGGTGGAGGCATCTGCTGGCCATAGGGTGGCCGGCTGGTATCTTGGAGACACAGCAGAATCTCTTTGGCAGGTGTGGCCAAATCGGATTGCTGTTGGATGACCATACGGTTTTCAAGAAAATTATGCATCTGAGGTTGGCAAATAATGGGCATTTCCAAACGTGATGTGATAAGTTTTGATATTAGGAACATTTGCATTTTCCTGATGACTGATGATATTCACGACTCTTTCATGTGCTTATTGAACATTGGAGTGGACCGAATGTTTGTGTCCCCACCCACATACATATGTTGAGATCCACCCTCCAGAGTGACAGTATTAGGACCTAGGGCCTTTGGGAGGTACTTAGGTGATAAGGGTGGAACCCTTTTGAAGGGGATTAATGCCTTTATAACAAGGGACCCCAGAGGGCTCTGTCACCACCTTTCTACCCTGTGAGAACATGGAGAGAAGACAGCTGTTTAGGAGCCGAGAAGTGGGCCCTCACCAGACACTGAGTCTTCCGGTGCTTTGATCTTACACTTCCCAGCCTTTACAGCTGTAAGAAATAAATCTCTGTTGTTTGAGGAATCAGGTCTATGGCAATCTGTTATAGTAGCCTGAACTGACTGAGACAGTCATTTGTGTGGCTTACTTTGTGAAGTGTCTGTGCAATTCTTTAGCCCATTTATGTGTGTGTTTTATTAAGTTGTAGGAGTTTAACGATTCTGTATTCAAGTCCTTTGGTGGACAGATGCACTGTGTTTTCTTCCAGTTTATGGCTCAACCATTCATTTTCTCAGCGGTCTCTTTTGATGAGTAGTCTGTGTCTCCTCTAAGAAATCGTTGTCTATCCTAAAGTCAAGTTTAGGTCTAAGATACATTTAAAATTAATTTTTGTGCACAGTGTGAAATGGGGGTAGAGGTTCATTTTTCCATGTGGATATCCATTTACTCCAGCATCATTCATTGAAGAGACTTAGCTTTCCCCATTGGATTACCTTCGTGCTTTTGTCAAAAACCAGTATGTTTGGGTCTATTTTTTTTTATCTTTCTTGTTGCCAGTAACACACTGTCTTGATTATTGTAGCTTTATAGTAAATCTTTAAATGAGATTTTTATGTCCACCAACTTAGTTCATTTCCCAAAATTGTTTCAGCAATTGTGGATCCTCTGTATTTCCATATGAATTTTGAATATAAACTTGTCAATTTATATGTACAGAAGCCTGCCAAGATGTTGATTCAGACTGTGTTAGAAATATAACTCAGTTTTAGGGAGGCTGGACATCTTAATAATAATTAGTTTTTCAATCCATGAACATGGTACATCTCTCCATTTATTGAGGTCTTCTTTAATTTCTCTCAGCATGGGTTGCCATTTTCAGTATACAAGTCTTGTACATCTGTTAAATTTATCCCCAAGTAATTTTTGTTTTATGCTACTGTAACTGGCATTATTTTAGTTGTATTTAAAAATTTTTATTGCTGGTGCATAGGAATATGTTTAATTTTTAATATCAGTTTTATTGAAGTCTAATTTACATAAAATTCACACATTTTAAGGTTGAGATTTAATGAGTTTTGACAAAGGCATACAGTCACCTAACCACTACTGCAATAAAGATGTAGAATATGTCTGTCACCTCAGAAAGCTCGCCCTTGACCCTTTACAGGAAGTCCAGCTCTGGGCTGGAGTTGGCTACACTGGCTCACAGGAGCCAATTCTGCATCTTTGTCTCATTCCTCTTTAGTTCTTAATGGTGGTTTTGGAGAAAGAAGTTTTAAATGTTGATGAAGTTCAGTATATCATCAATTTCTTCCTTTATGGTTTGTTCTTTTTGTGTTCTTTCTAAGAAATCTTCGACCAGCGCTTGATCACAAGGATTTTTTCCTGTGTTTTCTTCTAGAAGTTTTATAGCTGTTAATTTTTGTGTTTCACATGCGGTGAGGGTTGAGGATTTTTTTCCCCTCTTCTTCCCTCCCTCACTCTTCTCCTTTTTATAATCTGGATGTTTTTATGGTCCAGCACTATTTGCTGAAATGACTACCCTTTCCTCATTGTATTACCTTGACACCTTTTTTTTTGGGCTGGGGGAAGAGCTTATAATTGTGGGTTTATTCCTGAACATTATTCTTTTCTGTTGACCTGTATGGCCGTCTTTACCCCAGTTCAACACTATTTATTACTGTAGCTTTATAAGTCTTGGAAGCAAAACCCCAGTTTTGTTCTTTCTCAAAATTATTTTGGCTACTCAGATTATTTGCTCTTTTATCCCAGCTTGTAAATTTCTGCTACTCATTAGTATTATTTGTACTCTTCTGGAGGAGAGACTCATTGGGATTGCACTGAAACTATAGATCAATTCAGGGAGAATGGATCTCTTAAAAATTGAGGATTTTTGGCCAGGCGCAGTGGCTCATGCCTGTAATCCCAGTACTTTGGGAGGCTGAGGCAGGTGGATCACCTGAGGTCAGGAGTTTGAGACCAGCCTGGCCAACATGGTGAAACCCCGTCTCTACTAAAAATCACAAAAATTAGCCGGACATGGTGGTGCACGTCTGTCATCCCAGCTACTTGGGAGGCTGAGGCAGAAGAATCACTTGAACCCGGGAGGTGGAGGTTGCAGTGAGCCGAGATCACGCCACTGCACTCTAGCCTGTTTTGACTGAGTCTCGCTCTGTCGCCCAGGCTGGAGAGTACAGTGGCACGATCTCGGCTCACTGTAGCCTCCACTCCCGGGTTCAAGTGATTCTCTTGCCTCAGCCTCCCAAGTAGGTGGGATTACAGACTCACACCACCACGCTCAGCTAATTTTTGTATTTTTAGTAGAGACGGGGTTTCACCATGTTGGCCAGGCTGGTCTTGAACTCCTGACCTAGTGATCCGCCTCCCTTGGCCTCCCAAAGTGCTGGGATTACAGGTGTGAGCCACCGTGCCTGGCCAAAAATTGATTTTTTAAATCTATGAATCTGTGGCAGTTGGGACATTTTATTTTGGTCGTCTTTAATTTTTCTCAGCACCGTTTCCTAGCTTTCAGTGTGCAAATGTTGCAGATATTTTGTTAAATTTATCCCCACATATTTTATGTTTTTTAAAAAATGAAATCTATTGCTTATATTGTCTTTGTATTCTCCAGCCTTGCTTAAACTCACTCAGAACTTCCATTATCATATTTTTAGATTCTTGAGGGTTTCTCAAATCATTTGCGAATAAAGACAATTTCGCTGCTTTCTTTTAAAACTTTCTGCCTCATTGCACTCTCTGGGATCTCCAGCACAATGAGTAGAAGTGAGAGCAGACATCCTTGCTGTTTTCTGGTCTTAGGGGGAAGCAGTCAACATTTTATTATTTACTGTAATGTTGGCTGAGCCTTGTCATGTGTGCTTTTTATCAGGTAGAGGAAATCTCCTTCTCCTCTTAGTTTGCTGAGTTTTTTATATTTTTAATTATTAACAGTTGTTGAATTTTGTCAAATGCTTTTTCTTCTGTATTTGTGGACGTGATGATTTTTCCTCCTTTATTTTGTTTGTGTAATAAGTTACATTGACTTTTGAATATTATACCAACCTTTCATTTCTAGATTTGTTTTTATGTGTTCCTGAATTCAGTTTTCCAATATTTCATTAATAATTTTTACATCTGTGTTCATTAGGGATATTGGCCTGTGTTTTCTTTCCTGCAGTGTCCTTGTCTGGTTTTGACATCAGGCATGTGCTGGCCTCACAAAATGAGTTGAGCGGTGTTCTCTTCTCAATTTTCTGGAAAAGTTTGTGTAAGGTTGGTGGTGTTTTTCCATTAAATGTTTTCTAACATTCACCAGTGGTGCTGTTTGACCCTGGAGTTTTCTTTGTGTGAAGATTTTAATAATGAGCTCAATTTCTTTAGGAGATAAAGGATTATTCAGATCTTCCATCTCTTTTGTGTTAGTTTTGATAATTTGTGTCTTTCAAGGAATGAGTTTTGTCCATTTCATCTAAGCTGTTGAGTTTGTTGCATGAAGTTGTATTATTTTCCTTTTTTTTTTTTTGAGACAGAGTCTCGCTCCGTCACCCAGGCTGGAGTGCAGTGGCTCAGTCTCGGCTCACTGCGAGCTCCACTTCCCGGGTTCACGCCATTCTCCTGCCTCAGCCTCCCGAGTAGCTGGGATGACAGGCGCCCGCCACCAAGCCTGGCTGATTTTTTGTGCTTTTTTAGTAGAGATGGGATTTCACTGTGTTAGCCAGGATGGTCATCTCCATCTCCTGACCTCATGATCTGCCCGCCTCGGCCTCCCAAAGTGCTGGGCTTACACGCGTGAGCCACCGCGACTGGCCAATATTTTCCTTTTAATGTCTGTAGTGATTCCGCCCTTTTATTCCTCACATTAGTGTTTTGCGTTTTGTTCCTTGTCTATAATAGAGGGGAATGATGCAATCTATCGCTATGTCTGTTGGTTAGTCTGTTCCTTCCTTTCATTTTGTCTATTTTTGCTCCACATATTTTGGGTTGTTGTTGGGTGCATTCACATTTAGGGTTGGTATCTTTCTGATGATTAAACCTTTTAGGAAATGTTCCTCTGCACATTGGTCAAATATCCCTTGTTTGAAATGTGCTTTGATGTAGTCACCTAACTGTATGATCAGTGTTTTCATGATGTATCATTTTCCACCCTTTTCCTTTTTAACCTGTGTCTTTAAATAGGAAGTACATCTTTTACAAATATATAGTGGTGTCTTGCTTTTAAAAATACAGTCTGAAAATATCTGCTCTTTAATTGGAATGTTAGCGTCATTATTGATATGGTTTTCCTTGAGTCTACAGTGTTGCTAATTTTCTCTGTGTTTCCATCTGTTAATTGTTTATCATCAGTCTCCCAGGGTGAGAATATAGACTCCTGAGGGTGGGGACGTTGAGCTCTTTGTGGAGCTCCACAGGCAGGTGTGGGAATGTGTTCTGGGTTCATGCCTGGTCTTTGGGCAGGTGTGGGAATGTGTTCTGGGTTCATGCCTGGTCTTTGGGCAGACGTGGGAATGTGTTCCGGGTTCATGCCTGGTCTTTGGGCAGACGTGGGAATGTGTTCCGGGTTCATGCCTGGTCTTTGGGCAGACGTGGGAATGTGTTCCGGGTTCATGCCTGGTCTTTGGACAGACGTGGGAATGTGTTCCGGGTTCATGCCTGGTCTTTGGGCAGACGTGGGAATGTGTTCCGGGTTCATGCCTGGTCTTTGGGCAGACGTGGGAATGTGTTCTGGGTTCATGCCTGGTCTTTGGACAGACGTGGGAATGTGTTCTGGGTTCATGCCTGGTCTTTGGGCAGATGTGGGAATGTGTTCTGGGTTCATGCCTGGTCTTTGGGCAGACGTGGGAATGTGTTCTGGGTTCATGCCTGGTCTTTGGGCAGACGTGGGAATGTGTTCTGGGTTCATGCCTGGTCTTTGGGCACGTGTGAGAATGTGTTCTGGGTTCATGCCTGGTCTTTGGGCAGATGTGGGAATGTGTTCTGGGTTCATGCCTGGTCTTTGGGCAGATGTGGGAATGTGTTCTGGGTTCATGCCTGGTCTTTGGGCAGGTGGTTCCCAGGGCTGCAGCTCTGTTCGTCTGAGGGGAAAGGCCCATGCAGTCGATGCTACTGGGGGCTCTGTGGGTGTCATGGGTGCTCAGAGTCCCTGTGGAGCCTCATGGGTTGAATCTGCTGCCCTCCCAACCTCACCTGCCCTCCCAACCTCACCTGCCCTCCCAACCTCACCTGCCCCCCCAACCTCACCTGCCCCTGCAACCTCACCTGCCCCCCCAACCTCACCTGCCCCCCCCAACCTCACCTGTTCCCCCCAACCTCACCTGCCCCCCCAACCTCACCTGCCCCCCCAACCTCACCTGCCCCCCCCAACCTCACCTGCCCCTGTTCTCCACCTTGATGCCACCTCCTACTCTGCCCGTTTCCTGCGGGGCTTCCCATGGGGCCCGGCAAGCCGCTGCGGACCCTGCAGACCTCAGGCACGGGTGGATGCGGGGCTTGTGGTCGGCGTCTGCTCTTCACCACCATCCTCCTGTGGTCCACGTGCCCTTTCAGTTGGCCAGCTCTGCTCATGGTTGGTCAGAGGCTGTGGGATGCGCTTAAAAGCCTCAGCAGCAAGTCCTGGAATTTGGAGAGTCTGTGACAGAGAAGGGCACATTCCGTGGCCAGACAGGTTTTGATTCTGTGCCATCTGTGTACTTGCCTCTGACCATCAGGTGGGGGCTGCACCCGTCTTCTCCTTTGGTTCCCCTGGACTTTGGATGGGGCGGGGCTGGACTCAGGGAGGCCTCCTGGGCAGTCTGGGGTGGCTCTTCCCAGCAGAGCGTGGGGAGAAGTGGAGCCACAGCCAGCCATGGGGGCGGAGGAGGAGGCAGCAGCTGTGTTTCTCAGTCTCAGGCGCAGCGGAGTCGGACGTGTATGGCACCACGTGTTCCCTCCTCTTAGTGCTGGGGTCATCTCCATGACAGCCCGCGGCCTCTCCCTCCTCCTCTCTTCAGCTCTGCAGATGCTGGACCCTCAGGTGTTCCCCAAAACCGGGCCCAGACCTGCTGCAACTTGCAGGTCACAAACCACCCCCTTCACTGGCCTTCTGTGCCGAGGAAGATGGGCGGCCTGGAGGGAATCTGCCTTTCTAGAGGCTGGAGCCCTCCCCACTGCCCATCTGTCTGGGAGCCTGGTCCCCATGACACCCTCCTCCCAGTGAGTGCATCCAGGACTCTGCCTCCGCTGGTCGCACGGTGAGGGGGGCGTGGCTGCCGCTGGACCTTCGCAGCCTCGTCTGCGTTCTGCCAACGCCTTCACAGCCTGTTTGCTCCGCTCAGATTTCACAGGGCGGGTTGTGCCATTTTTTCTTGTAACTTACCCGTGTTACAGTCATCCCCAAAGCCACTGATCAGCGTGTTGCTCTGTGCTGAAAACGTTTTGCTGGGGTGTCTTCAGTAGCGCTCA
This sequence comes from Homo sapiens, assembly GCF_000001405.40. Lineage (NCBI taxonomy): Eukaryota > Metazoa > Chordata > Mammalia > Primates > Hominidae > Homo > Homo sapiens. The sequence continues at coordinate 132,283,210 of NC_000010.11, read as the reverse complement.
CAGAGCTGAGATAGCATAGAGGACTGGCGCAGTCCCTGGGGCCTGGGGCCTCGGCCGGCCTCCCGGCTGGGTCTTGGCCATCGTGGCCCTGAGGTGCACACGCCTCTCCCTGCTCTGTCTGGTCACTGGATTCTTCTCTGCTGCCCCCGGGTTGGCTGCATGGAGTGGGGTCCGCCTTGGTGGACCTTTTGTGGTCAGGACCCCTGGGAATGTGATTGGTGCAGCCTCGGCCTGAGAACGCAGCAGGGCCAGCCTCCCCGACCCCAGCCTCAGAGGGGCTGTGACAGGAAATGACAACACCCCCCACCGCCTCCTGACCAGCAGAGTTGCTGTAGCCTGTGCTGTGTTTTCTCCAGAGAAACCACTTACTTCTTCCCTTCGCTCCAGCAGCTAATAGGGTGCAGCAGTCACTTCTGGCCGGTTCCCCAGAGGAGTGGCTGCTGGTGGCTAAGATGTTTAACTGGTGGCCCCAGCCTACTCAGACAGCTGGGTGATCGGATGCTTTGTGTCGGCTTCCTTAATGGCAAGCTGACTTCGTCGTCGTTGTTATTATTATTTTGTTGTTATTTCTTGTTTCAAGTTGGGGTTTCAGTGTAGTGTTTAGTATGTCACTTCCCCTGGTGAAGCCATGGCTGTGGGTTAAATAAGTGAACTGCAGAAGGACAGGCGCAGGTACAGGTGGGCACAGGCACAGGTGGGCGCAGGCACAGGTGGGCGCAGGCACAGGTGGGCGCAGGTACAGGTGGGCGCAGGCACAGGTGGGTGCAGGTACAGGTGGGCGCAGGCACAGGTGGGTAGCTGACGCCTGGCACTGCCCTCTTCATCAGCCACCAGAAAACTGCAGGAAACCACCCAGGAGCTGTCTCAGAGAGGACTTTATTCCAGTTCCAGCAGCGACTCTGGACGGCCTGGGGAAGCTGGCGCAGCTGGCAGGGCGTGTGGCAGGGATGGGCGCTGTGAGAGCCGGGGTGGGCGGCTGCGAAGCCTCTCGGGCGTGGTGCGGGCTGGTTGGCGCACCTTGGTCCTGCACTGGGCATTTTCAGCACATCCGCTCTTCCCAAGTGTAGCGTGGCTGCTGAGTGTTACACAATGTAGCGCCTCCCCGCCCAGCACCTGTCGCCCCCACCCCCGGAGCGGCTGGGCTGCTGCCTGGCCAGCTGGCGGCTCTGCCTCCAGGCCGGGATCAGGGAGGCGCCTCCCTCTGAATGTCGGCGCTCAGCAGGGACGCTGCTCTGAGAGTGGCAGCGGACAGCATGGGGAGAGTGGCCCCTGTGAACAGGCTCCCGTCTGAGGAGCTCTCTTCCCCCCAGACCCCACCATCCTGGTTGGGCTGAAATAGCCATCGTCAGAGAAGTTGCCCCGCGGCCTCAGCACCATGTCTGATCTCCCACCCGGGCTTCTCCCAAGGTGGAGCAGGTTTCTGTGGGTCCTGGAACCAAAGCAGAGGGGCCTGCAGGTGCCGGGAGGGAATCTGTCTTTTCGTCTCCCGGGGACCTGCACAAACCACCCGACCGGCCCAGGGGGATACTCCCTGTCCGCAACAGTGCTTTCCAACCGGAGCCCTTTTCTGATAGAAGATTTCTGATAGAAGATTTTCAAAGACAGTATTTCTTGAGCTGGGCTTCATGAACATACTCTTTGGGCTATGTGAGAATGTTTTTTTCCTTTAAAAAAAGACAATCATATTAAGCTTGGAATACACTGGTCCAGGCCCACTAAGACGTGAGCTGGCAAAATGGCTTTCTTTTACCCAGCAGGAGCGGGCCCGGTAAGGTACGTTAGGAATAGCTGGGGCACTGTCTGTTTTATGTTGTATTTAACAGGCTTTTGTTTTTTAATAAACAGAGAGGCCCAAAGAAGGAAACAGAAAAGAACCCATAATCTCACACCCAGATAACCCCTATTGCCAACAAAAATAGTTCAAGTAGAAGGTTCAAACACGGACATAGTCTAGAGAAGCAAAAGATGGGGCCTGAAGGTCACTCTGTCTATGCACCTGTGTGTGTGTGTGTGTGTGTGTGTGTGTGTGTGTCCACGAGGATCACGTGTGTGTGTTTAAAGATAGGTCTTGCTCTGTTGTCCAGGATGGAGTGCAGTGGCATGATCATGGAGTGCAGTGCCATGATCACAGAATGTAGTTGCATGATCACAGAGTGCAGGGGTGTGATCACGGAGTGCAGGGACGTGATCACGGAGTGCAGGGGCGTGATCACGGAGTGCAGGGGCGTGATCATGGAATGGAGGCCTCAGCGTAGTCAGGGAGTGCAGTGGCGTGATCATGGAGTGCAGGGGCATGGTCACAGGATGCAGGGGCGTGGTCACGGAGTGCAGGGGCGTGGTCACGGCATGGAGGCCTCAGTGTGATCACGGAGTGCAGGGACATGGTCATGGAGCGCAGGTGGTGTGATCACGGGGTGCAGTGGCGTGATCACAGAGTGGAGGCCTCAGTGATCATGGAATGCAAGGGTGTGATCACCGAGTGCAGGGGTGTGATCAGGGAGTGGAGGTTCATGATCACGGAGTGGAGGTGCGTGATCACGGAGTGGAGTGTGGTGATCATGGAGTGGAGTGTCGTGATCACGGAGTGCAGGGGCGTGGTCACAGAGTGGAGTGGCGTGATCACAGGGTGCAGGGGCGTGGTCACGGGGTGCAGGGGCGTGGTCACGGTGTGGAGGCCTCAGCGTGATCACGGAGTGCAGGGACATGGTCATGGAGCACAGGTGGCATGATCACGGAGTGCAGGGGCGTGATCATGGGGTGCAGTGGCGTGATCACGGAGTGCAGTGGTGTGATCAGGGGGTGGAGGTGCGTGATCACGGGGTGGAGTGTCGTGATCACGGAGTGCAGGGGCATGGTCACGGAGTGGAGGCCTCAGCATAGTCAGGGAGTGCAGTGGCATGATCATGGAGTGCAGGGGCGTGGTCACGGGGTGCAGGGGCGTGGTCACGGGGTGCAGGGGCGTGGTCACGGTGTGGAGGCCTCAGCGTGATCACAGAGTGCAGGGACATGGTCATGGAGCGCAGGTGGCGTGGTCACGGAGTGCAGGGGCGTGATCACAGAGTGCAGGGGCGTGATCACAGAGTGGAGGCCTCAGAGTGATCACGGAATGCAGGGGTGTGATCACCGAGTGCAGGGGCATGATCATGGAGTGCAGTGGTGTGATCAGGGAGTGGAGTGTCCTGATCATGGAGTGCAGGGGCGTGGTCACAGAGTGCAGGGGCGTGGTCACGGGGTGCAGGGGCGTGGTCACGGGGTGCAGGGGCGTGGTCACGGTGTGGAGGCCTCAGCGTGATCACGGAGTGTAGGGGCATGGTCATGGAGCACAGGTGGCGTGATCACAGAGTGCAGGGGCGTGATGATGGGGTGCAGTGGCGTGATCACAGAGTGGAGGCCTCAGAGTGATCATGGAATGCAGGGGTGTGATCACCGAGTACAGGGGCGTGATCACGGAGTGCAGTGGTGTGATCACGGAGTGCAGTGGTGTGATCAGGGAGTGGAGTGTCGTGATCACGGAGTGGAGTGTCGTGATCACGGAGTGCAGTGGCTTGATCATGGAGGAGTGGCATGATCAGGGAGTGGAGTGGCATGATTACAGAGTGCAGGGGCGTGAACATGGAGTGCGGGTGGGCATGATCATGGCTCATTGCAGCCTTGACCTCCTGTGCTCTGGCCATCCCCCTGCCACAGCCCCCCAAAGTGCTGGGATGACAGGTGTGAGCCACTGCACCTGGTCACATGTGTATGTCTTTACACACATGCATGTACTTGTCACGTAGAGTCTGTCATTTACATGAAGAGGAGTGTTGTGTGCAGAGTGTTCTGGACTCCTGCAAAGGCTTTATGTTGTCTCTTTGGGATATGTTCTTATCAGCACGCCGCTCCACCTAGTTTGTAACGTCTGCACGAGAGTCCGTGTTATGGCCGTAACATGGTCATGTCACCTCGCCTGTTATGGACACGGGTAGCCCAGGGCTTTTTGTTCTTACACTTCAGTCGTGAAAGTCACTGCACATCGGTCTTGATGAATTTTTGTGGGCTTGCTGACTGTGGAACTTCACAGTTGCAATCATTACTGTGTTAAACTGGGTGCAGCTGGACTATTGATCACTGTTGCTAATTGCTTCTAGAAGGGCTGGGCCACTTATATGCCCCGTCCCCCGCCCCCTGCATGGTATATGGGCAACTGGCACTGGCTGTATTCAAGACAAAGGGCATCTCCTTGCTATTTTGGCTTGGATTGTTAAATGGGGACTGAGGCAGGGCAGTCTCGGGTCTGACACACTCTTGTACCATGAGTGGCCCTCGTGGCCTCTGCCCCGTCTCCTGTTGGGTTGGTTTTCTCAATAATCTGTATAAGTTCCTTGTAAGAAAAGTAGCCCCTTGTTTGTCATATGTATTGCAAATGCTTTTTCTCAGTTTGTAGTATTTTGAATTTTTTTTTTTTTTTTTTTTTGAGACAGTCTCGCTCTGTCGCCCAGGCTGGAGTGCAGTGGCGCGATCTCGGCTCACTGCAAGCTCCGCCTCCCGGGTTCATGCCATTCTCCCGCCCAGCCTCCTGAGCAGCTGGGAGTACAGGCGCCTGCCACCACGCCCGGCTAATTTTTTCTATTTTTAGTAGAGATGGGGTTTCACCGTGTTAGCCAGGATGGTCTTGATCTCCTGACTTCGTGATCCACCCGCCTCAGCCTCTCAAAGTGCTGGGATTACAGGCGTGAGCCACCGCGCCCGGCCGGTATTTTGATTTTTTAAAAACTGTGTTTATTGTTATCTATGCAGAAGCTTTGCATTTTTGTAGCGTTCTGTGTATCTTCCTGGTCAAGAGCCCTTTCCCTGTAGCTTCTGCAGTCTTTGTCTTCCTTGGAGAGGCCTCTCTTGCTGCAGGATTACAGAGAAATTCACTGGTGAATTTTTGTTTTTAGAACTCACGGAGGCATGGCATGTGCGGGGCATGGCATGTGTGGGTCTTTGCTGGGTTTGTAGTTTCTTCTGTCACTGGACATGAGGTGGGGATCTAGTGTCTCCAGGTCTCTTTCCTGACCCCACAGAGTGATGGTGGAGCTGCTCTGAGAGCCAAGTCAGAGGGCAGAGTCTGCAGAGAGGGGTGTGAGCAATGGGTTCCCAGGGGGTCTTCATGGTAAGGAGTCTATTCCTAAGCTGCCCCCTCAAGACCACCCCCACCTCTCCCTGGAGGGAACTGGGGAGGAACTCCGAAGCCTTGCTTTGCCACTGCTGCCTTCTGCCATCAACAGGATGTTCATGTGATTTTATCGTGATTTGGGAGATGAAGAAAGACCCTCTCCCAGGTGAGCCAGAGTGCAGGCTGGCCCTGCACCGAGACAGCCAATGAAGGAGAGGTCGGGAGGGTGTGTCGGGCCCCGGGTGAGAAGCCAGGTTCCTGCAGCCTGAAGGCAGAGGTTTGGAAAGGAGCATGTGTGCATGTGTGTGTGCACTTGTCTGTGCAAGGGACTCAGAAGAGACACCCTGCTCCCCACAATGCTTTGCCCCGACCAGCTTGGGTCAAGGTCGAATAAAGTCCCCTGCAGGCCTGGGATGTTGCCTGCAGCTGTCCCAAAGGCTGCCGCTGTCCCAAAGGCAGTTGCAAAGCAAGGCTCTGGACTCCTTGCCGATTCCCTGCAGGGCCACGGGCAGGCAGGTGATTGGCCACTGAGCTCTCAGTGAGCTCCAGCTGCCATCCAGCAAGGCGGTGGGCACAGAACTGCAGCCGGGGGCCAGGCTGGCTCTCTGGGTTCCTGAGAAGGAAACTGGTCAGTGGATAGGAAGGGCAGCATGCCATGTTTCTGGATGTTCAGGGCCCTGGTGTGGTCCCAGCCTCCTCAGCCTGGCCACCTCCCCGCACAGGAATGGTGGGCTGGAGCCCAGTTTTGTGGCCGTCTCTGTGCTGCAACTTGGGAAGTCCAGGTGCTGGTGTCCTCCCTGGCTCTCTCTCCAGCGGCTCTCGTGGAGGGCCCTGACTCCCTTCGGCCCGTCTTCGGTGGTTTTGATGGTCCTGGCCAAGACACGCAGCCCAGAATCCACAAACTTGTGCATCCATGGGAAGGCAGACTGCTGGCCCTGCTCGGCTCTTCTGACTCTTATTTTTGGAGACATAAAAGAGAACAGAGTCTTACACTCTGTCTAGAAATAATGCCTTTCCTTACTTCAATTCAGTTGGTCAAAAATAAGCACATCCCTTTCCCAGGGTGATAATCCAATCCTTTGAGCTGGAAGGAGGAATGGAGGAGGGGAGGCTGGGCTGGGGAGGGACAGGAACAGAGGCCGTTCAGTGAGCCCAGATGGGGCGCAGCCACGGCCTCGAGCCCTGGGGAGCCATAGCCTGCATCTGACCTGGACTCTTGGGGACCGTGGGCCACGCTGGGGTAACGGAGGAAACCTTGGGAGAAGATACATTGGGTTTTTTTTTTTTTGAGGCAGGGTCTTGCTCTGTCACCAGGCTGGACTGCAGTGGCACAATCATAGCTCACTGAAGCTTTGAGCTCCTGGGCTCAAGCAATCCTCCCGCCCCAGTCTCCTGAGTAGCTGGGACTATAGGTGTGTGCCATCATGTCCAGCTAATTAAAAACTTTTTTTTTTTCAGAGATGGGGGTCTTGCTGTGTTATCCAGGCTGGTCTCACACTCCTGGCCACAAGCAGTCCTCCCGCCTTGGCTTCCCAAAGTGCTGGGATGACAGGCGTGAGCCGCCGTGCCTCGCCCCTTTTGTGCTCTGAGTGTATCGGGTGGATGCAGATGCTCTGAGTGCCTGTGGTGATGTCCTTCTTGGCATTCACAGGTGCACAGGACCACATTTAGACACCGTGTAGCTGGCACAGGTGCTGACCCTGACCCTGTTCCAGTGCCCAGTGCCAGGAGGTCTGTGGGATGGCTGGTGTCTGTAGGATCACGCGCCTGATGCCAGCCGATCCCAGACTTGGCGTGGTGGCATCTCATCACTCTGCTGAAAGCTCACTTTTCTGCATCTTCCCTTGAAAATGGTTTTTCTGCTGCGGTCATGCTGTTTTCTGTGTTTCGCTGTGGGTCCACCTTCTGATTTGTGTGGACTCGAAAATTGCTGACCGAAAAGCTGGTCCAAAAGCTGGGCCCCAGAATTACCTCCAGGCTCATCTCATGATGAGGGAAGCCTCGCATGTGGGTCTGGCGTCACCGGGTGGCAGCCTGGTGGTGTGGCGGCTTGGGGGTCTTCCATCCTCGCGGGCCTTCACTGTGACCGTTCCGCATGCCAGGGTGGAAGGCAGCCACCACTTGCGGGGTGGGGGGCTGAGGTTTCCTAGGCAGAGGGGGTTTTCCTGTACAGTCTCCTGCCCGACACAGGCCTGGGTGTCTGCTTCTCAGAGATGCCAGGAGGTGGGGAGAAAAGAGGGGCAGGAAGAACATGGAGCTGCTGAGGAGGTTTCCGCTGAAGGCTGTAGTTTCTCTAATGGAAGGGGACGTTTGAAGGGATTTCCCAGGAAGGCAGACCCTGGAGCCTGAGAGAAGGTGGTGTGGGAAGCCCATGGGCCCAGGTCCTCATCCCTGCGGCATGATGCGTCAGTGACGGTGGGTGGCTCTGCACTGCGCTGGCCCCTGGCCACTGGCCCCGTGGCCTGGCTGTGCTGTGACCCTGCATTGCAGTGACACGTCGGCGGAGTGGCCAGAAGGAAGAGCGGGCACTGAGACTCGGAGGTGATTCTGGAGCAAAATCCTAGGATGTCCTGGGCTCTCTTATTGCTTGGATTCCAGGAAAGGGACCTGATTCTCATCCTACGTCCATGGCACGACATCTAGATGTTTCCAAGGCCAGGATGGCTGCCTCCAAGGGCAGGTGGGGCAGATTCATCCCAGACCCCTGGACCTTCCCTCGGCCTCTTGCACCTGCCAGCCTTGCTACTGTTGCTGACTCACCATCTTCCCCGGGGGTCCCAGCACCCACCCCCACCAGCGGCCCTGTGGGGCTGTCTGTGAGTAGCCATGGGGCCTGGTGGGGCAGCACTGCCCAGAGACATGGTGGGCACGGGTACGGGGATGCCGGACCTCCCATGGCTGCTGTCAGGGCTGAGGCCAGACGGGCTGATGGGCCAGATGGCAGCACCAGGGACAGTACCTGCTGCCTGGGCCCCCTGGGTGCTTCCAGGAGGAACTTGGTTCCTCGGCCCTGGGGGACACCGTGAACCACACACTGGGCCTGCTGTGCCATGGTGCTGGGCCCTCAGAAGCTGGGGCTGGCACAGGGTTCTCGGTCCCTGTCCCGGCTGTCACCTTCCATGTTGTCCCCTCTCTGGAGCTGGGGCACCCTCCAGGGAGTGGAAGAACAGGGTGGATTTAAGGCTCTCACTGAAGGAGTCCTGGGAGTGACTCAGCCTTGCCACGTCCCTGGGTGAGGAGGCGCCTGCTGGCTGCCTGTGCGGCGGAGCGACAGGTGACTTGGGGGTGGAGGTGGCCGACTGCCGAGGAGGCTTTGGACTCGGGGACATCTCGGGGCCCTCCGAGGCCTGGTTCCCGTGGATTTTGAGGTTTGCGCTCAGCCGGGTTTATTCTGCAGACAGGCCCACGCCTGAGGGACCAGTGCAGCCTGAGGATCCGGCGTCCGTGGCTCCTGGTGGGCTGAGGGCAGGGGAGGCTCTGCGGCCAGGCCCTGTTAGATTCCCAAGCCTCAGGTGAATGTCAGCGGGCGGTGCAGCCTCCACAGCCTGGTACGAGGTTTTGTCACTGCACATTTCCTGCAAAACAACTGTGAACAGTTGTCAATCTTCATATATTGACCTCCCATCAAACACATACGAAAATTTCTCTGTGAAGAAGTGTCCAAAATAAAACCGTGCACTTACCATGAGATAGGATTTAAAACAGCCGCCTTTCCCTAGCAATGGTGTGTTGCTTCTGTTGACCCACATTTGGTGTGGGATGGGCATTTGATTCAGACGCCACATTACCCTCGTGTGAGTCCTGAATCCGGGCGCAGCTGTTGGCTGCTCCCCAGGCCCTAGGACAGGAGGAGCCAGCCTCTCCGCTGAGTCCCAGTGTGGCCACACCCAGCGTGGATGGTGCTTGCTGTCTGGTCCCGTCCTGAGCAATGACCCCGCAGGCATCTGCAGACTGATGCATTCTCCTTGTAGGTTGCATTTCCAGCCCCAACCCCTGCACCTCAGCTTGCTTCACCTCGCAAATGTTTAAGTCGATGTGCACCTCCCACAACTTGCGGATCTTATGGAAAAAGAGAGCAGAGCCCAGGGTCACACCAGGAATCAGCTGAGAAGTCAGAAGCGCAGTTGGCAGCCCAGGCCCAGTCAGTATGGGGCTGGGGTCAGCACACGCATAGTGGGCTCTTATGATCTTTCACTTAGATCCACTCTCATTCATTCACTCACTGTGCGTTCATTCACTCATTCACTCATCTCTCATTTGCTCACCTCATTCACTCACCATGCATTCATTCACTTACCATGTGTTCATTCACTCACTGCATTCATTCACTGTGCATTCATTCACTCACCGTGTGTTCATTCTCATCTACTCGTTCATTTACTCATTCATCTCATTTACTCATTTGCTAACTCCACTCATTTGTTAACTCCTTCACTCATTCAGTAACTCCACTCATTCAGTAACTCCTTCACTCATTCAGTAACCATGTATTCATTCACTCACCATGTGTTCATTCGCTCATTCATCTCATTTACTCATTTGCTAACTCCCCATTCACTAACTCATTATCATTAACCGTGCATTCGTTCACTCACTCACCATTCACTCACTGTGTTTTCATTCACTCATCTACTGATTCATTCACTCATTCATTCACTCAACAGGGCTTTGTTGAGAACAGATCTGGAGGAGGTACTGCAGTGATATCTCCCTGAGCCCCACAGACACCTGCAGTTGCCCCACCCTAGAGCTGCAGGGACTTAGAGCCCGTTCACAGGACCTTTAGGGCTGAGCAGCTTCCTTTCTTGACTGGGGGCTGCCCTCTTGGTGGGGTCGCTTAGTGAGCACAGAAAGCTCTATCAGATGCCCCGTCAGCCTATTCAAAGCAGTGGAAAGGCTGAGTGGATTGGAACTGATTTGTGTGAAGCTAAGTAAATGTATAGGATGTTAACAAACAAATACTGTTGAGGGGGGCAGCAAGGAAAAAAATGATGTGGGCAATTGCAGTCTTCATTGGGGTGAAATCTTGGTGAAAACGACACACTAAATAGGGATATGGTGAGCCCAGGGTGCAAAGCGTGCGGCTCTGGGGAAGAGGGCTCCGGGCAGAGGGAGCTGTTGGTGCACAGGCCGCATGGTGGGCTCACTGGGCTGCTTCAGAGAGCGCAGCAGAGTCAGGCACAGGGAGGGTGGAGGAGCCGAGGCCAGAGGGGTCTGGGGCTGGGTCCTGGACGGCTTGCTGGCAGCCGGAAGGACATGGGCTATTACTTGAGAGAAATGGGAGTGTGGAGCCTTTGAGCAGAGCGGGGCTTGACATGTTTGTTTCAAAAGGACGACGCCTGCAGCTTTGTTGAGAATAGATTCTAGGGCGAGGGTGGAGGCGGGGAGACCAGGCTGTTGCAGGAATCCAGGCGGGAGTGGACGGTGGCCAGAAGCAGAGGAGGGGCAAGATGCGGTCGGAGTCTGGGAACGCTTGAAGGAAGAGCCTGCAGGATTTCCCGACAGACGGGCTGGGGTGTGAGACAGAGAGGAGTCGAGCCCATGCCAAGGCTTCAGGCCGAGCATCCGGATGAGCTGTTGGTAACTGGGGCTGTGGCAGTGTGAGCTAGGGAGCTGGGTTGAGGGCACGTTAGATTTGGGTTGTGGGTTTCAGACATTGTATTCATTTGCTCGGGTTGTTCGTGGGTGGCGTAAACAACAGCCGCTTGCACTCTCACAGATCCGGAGGCTGGAAGTCCGAGACCACGCGCCGGCAGGGTTGGCTGCCTCTGAGGCCTGGCTCCTTGGCTCGTGGGCAGCGTCCTCACGTGGCCATTCCTCTGTGGGTGTCTCCGTCCTGATCTTTTCTGTGAGGACACGGTCCAGTGGGATTGGGCCCACCCACGTGACCTTGCTTCACCTTAACCAACTCTTTGAAGATCTCATCTCCACACACAGCCACGCTCGGAGGCACGAGGGGTCAGGGCCTCAGCTTAGGACTTCGGGGGCACAGCACAGCCCACGACACACCTACCCTGCCGGGGCTTGCAGGCACACCTGGTCTGTCCTTTCCCCATTTCAGCTGAGCTGGAGAGAAGCTAGACATGCATTCAGGGTAGGGGCCTTGCCCCGCCAGCACACACACAAACATGAGGAGGTCCGGGCGTCCGGGCACTGAGCAGTGGTGTTGTCACTGAGGCAGCCCCAGTGCTGCCTGGGAAGGGGCAGGGCCGTGGCTCTGAGCACAGTGTGCCCAGGAGGCCGCAGGAGTCTCTGGAAAACTCAGACTCCAGATCCCCACCCACACCTGGAAATTTTGTTCTGTAGGTGTGGGGTGTCGGGGAGGGCGCGAGTCTGGGGTCAGGAACGGGTGATCCCAGGTCACTCCGATGTGTGCTTTGGCCACCTTAGGGAAACACCACCGTGGTTTTTCAGTGGTGGGGGCTGGATCCGTGGTTGCAGGTCTTACCAGCTCTCCCAGCCGGACATGACCGTGTCATGCTGACGCCACGGCCACCTTCTTCCCACCCTGAGTGCTGTGTGTGGGGTCAGATTTGGCCACAATGGACGGGACAACATCTTTCTGTGTGAGGCCAGGTGTGGGGCCAGCCTCAGGTGCCCAGTGAGGCAGGGCGTGGGCACAGCACGGGCCCACACTGTTGGGACAAGGAGCTGGGGGCTCTGGGAACGTGGCCTCTGTTCTGACCCTCCATGCTATTCTTGCAGCTCTCTGCCTGGGTCTCTTGCCAGGTGTGCTGGTTTTTTCCTGAGTGCCAGGGGCCTGGGAACCGTTGCTGTAGGGCTGCCTGCTTTACAGATGGGGTGTATGGGCCACTGCCACGTGGAGGCCGAAGCTGGCTGGAAGTGCCTGAGCCCAGGGACACTCTTCTGGATGCCACAGTCCCCAGCCATGGGTCAGGGGTGCCGGCTGCTGAATGGAAGGCCCCGGTTAGGACACTCCTCACCCCCTGTATTTCTATCTGATAATGGAGCCCTAGTCATTTGCGTCTTTGAGTCACTTTGGGGGTGCCACCCTCCTTGCACCCCATCTGACTGTGGTTCAGAACCCCCTTGGTCTCACCCCTGGCTCCTCCCTTAGGACAGATCACCCCCTCTGATTGGTGGGAGGTGAGGCCCCACCCCATTGCCCTACCCTTATTGGCTGTTGCTCTGGAGGGGGGCTGCATCCTTCTGGTCCTGCTTCTGCCCTGGGCCACAGGTGGGTCCTCACCAGGTGTGTTGATGGATGCTTCCAGGATGGGAAGAAGCCCTGGGCCACTCCGCAGCCTCACCGTGGCCAGGATGGAGCTCTGAGTCCAGGGTGATGTGCAGGGCTCGCTGTGGTTCTCTTTGGGCTGCCTGTGGGTTCTCTGCTGGTTACAGACGCAGAGGGAGGGAGGGGTGTCTGGTTGGTACCCCCAGGCCATTCTGCAAGGCAGCACTAGCAAATAAGGCCATGGGTTCATATCCGGCAGGCCGGGGAGCAGGCGTGGGACTCCAAGGGAAGAGGCCATGCTGGGTCCTGGGGTTGCCGTAACTCACGGCCATACCCTGCGGTTCCCACAGTGCACATTCACTCTCAGTTCCAGAGGCTGGCAGGGCCACCTGCCCTCCAGAAGTGCCGTGGAGGGTTTGCTCTCGCCAATTCCAGCTTCCAGAGGTCACTCCCCTGCAGCCATGGCTCATGACCCCTGCATCTGCAAGGCCAGCGGCGTGGGCCCGTGCTTCACTTGTGGTATCACCTTCCCTGGTAGCAGTGTCTCCCTGCAAGGATGGCTGTGAGCAGTTAGGGCCCACCTGGATAATTCAGGAGTCCCACCCTCTCAAGATTGTTCACTCAGTCACATCTGCCAAATCCTTTTTGCCACATAAGGTGAATCACAGGTCCGGGGACTGGGGCCTGGACATCCCTGGAGCCATTGTTCAGCCACCCACAGGCTGTGTGGGGTGGGGTGGGCTCTCTCGGCCTCCTCCTCACGTGGGTGCTGCCCTTGGTCCCCTGCTGCCCTCAGTCCCCTGCCACAGGTTGAGGGGACGCTGTCCCAAGGCCTACAGCAGTACCAGGCATCAGCTTGTAAACTCTGCAGGGTTCTCAAGAGACCATGAAAGCAGTCAGGGGAGGGCTCAGGTCGTCAGGCGTGGAGGACAGGGGGCCTGGCTCAGGCATCCGGGGCCCACGTGGCTGGGAGGCCACCATTGGGTGGGTGTCAGCTATTATGGCCGTGGCAGGCTAGGGACTCTCACTGAACGCCTCCTCCCAACACCAACCTCTCAGGCTTGGGAGAACTGCCCCCACTGTGCCGCTGGAGTCAGCGCTCCCACAGGCATTCGGGGGAGGCCAGGGCTGAAGGGGACCCCAGGGCCCACCTCCACCTTTTGCAAGGCGAGGCAAGGGTCTGGAATGCTCCCAGGTGGATGTGGTTGGGCGACAGCCTGGGGTCTGTCTCATAAGCTCAGGTTTGGAAAATAAGACCATCCACTAGCTGTTAGCCCCGAGCAGCCTTCCTGCCCTTGGGGAAAATCAATCCATCAGCAGCCAGCCCAGAGGCGCTGGCTCTTAGCAGAGCAGTGATGGTGATAAATGGCTGTGAGGCTGCAGCTTGCTGCCACACACTTTCCCCAGGTCCTCCTGCAGCAGCCAGCAGGGCTGGGAGGCAGCCCTGAGCTCAGGGGAAGATCCGGTGCGGCCAGTGGAATCCAGGCTGCATCTCAGTCCTGCAGCTCAGCAGCAGATTTTCCAGGCTCCAGGCACCATGTGTCGGTCAGATGAGGCCAGGCACGTAATCAGCTCACTTGAAGAGACCCTGTGCAGCACCCTGTGCATACCACCGTGTGCACACACATGCACGGAGACACAGACACATGCACAGAGCTGCACCCACAGGCACATGCATGCACACACAGACACACACACGATGTGACACATGCACACACGATGCAACGTGAACCAACAGACACGTGCATGTACACACGCAGGCACACACACACACGATGTGACGCACGCAGGCACAGCTGCACCTGCATACACATGCATGCACACACCGACACACACACACGATGTGGGACATGCGTGCACACAGGCATAGAGCTGAACCTGCATACACAGGCATGCACACACACCGACACACACACACACACGATGTGAGACATGCATGCACACAGGCATAGAGCTGAACCTGCATGCACATGCATGCACACACACCGACACACATACACACGATGTGGGACATGCATGCACACAGGCATAGAGCTGCACCTGCATACACATGCATGCACACACACCGACACACACACACACGATGTGGGACATGGATGCACACAGACAGGCATAGAGCTGAACCTGCATACACAGGCATGCACACACACTGACACACACACACACGATGTGAGACATGCATGCGCACAGACAGGCATAGAGCTGAACCTGCATACACATGCATGCACACACACCGACACACACACACACAATGTGGGACATGCATGCACACAGGCATAGAGCTGAACCTGCATACACATGCATGTACACACGCAGGCACACACACACACACACACACAATGTGACGCATGCACACAGGCACAGCTGCACCTGCATACACAGGCATGCACACACACCGACACACACACACGATGTGGGACATGCATGCACACAGGCATAGAGCTGCACCTGCATACACATGCATGCACACACACTGACACACACACGATGTGGGACATGCATGCACACAGACAGGCATAGAGCTGAACCCGCATACACATGCATGCACACACACCGACACACATACACAATGTGAGAGACATGCATGCACACAGGCATAGAGCTGAACCTGCATACACATGCATGCACACACACCGACACACACACACACACACGATGTGGGACATGCATGCACACAGGCATAGAGCTGAACCTGCATACACATGCATGCACACACACCGACACACACACACACAATGTGACGCATGCACGCAGGCACAGCTGCACCTGCATACACAGGCATGCACACACACCGACACACACACACACGACGTGGGACATGTGGGCACACAGACAGGCATAGAGCCGAACATGCATACACATGCATGCACACACACCGACACACACACACACACACGATGTGGGACATGCATGCACACAGACAGGCATAGAGCTGAACCTGCATGCATATGCATGCACACGCACTGACACACACACACACGATGTGGGACATGCATGCACACAGACAGGCATAGAGCTGAACCTGCATACACATGCATGCACACGCACTGACACACACACACACGATGTGGGACATGCATGCACACAGGCATAGAGCTGAACCTGCATGCACATGCATGCACACGCACCGACACACACACACACGATGTGGGACATGCATGCACATAGACATAGAGCTGAACCTGCATGCACATGCATGCACACACACCGACACACACACACATGATGTGGGACATGCATGCACACAGACAGGCATAGAGCTGAACATGCATACACATGCATGCACATGCACTGACACACACACGATGTGGGACTTGCATGCACACAGGCATAGAGCTGAACATGCATGCACACACACTGACACACACACGATGTGGGACATGCATGCACACAGACAGGCATAGAGCTGAACCCACATACACATGCATGCACACGCACTGACACACATGCACAGAACTGTAGCCCCAGAAACATACATGCACATGCATACAGACACACATGCACATTCACATGTGCAGAGCTACACCCACAGGCACACGCACACATAGGTGTGATCTGAGGTGTATTCCAGGCCTCCAGAATACAAGTGAATGCTGGGCTGTGCAGACTTCTCGCATTTTGGCCAGGTTTCAAGGGACCCCAAAAGGAGACCTGCACCCCACACTGGGCTTGCTGCTTCTAAAGGGGCTGCTACTGCAGCTGGCTCACTGCCTGGACTGAGCCCAGGGCCCACGTGTCACAGGTCAGAGAAACCATGCGGGGAGCAGGGCCGGGGAAGCCTGAGGACAGGCTGGAAGGGGCTGCTCCGGCTTCTGACCCAGCTTTGGGTCTCCCCACTGCAGCGGGGTGGGCGGGGGCTGCCCGCTCAGTGACGGCCGAGCTCCCAACACTCACGGTGGTTGTTGGGGTTGGAGCTGCAGTTCCTCTGCGGCCTCGTCCGCGCAGCCCTCCCCACCCCCAGTGTCCATTGTCACTCCATGCCTCAAGGCTGGCTGAGAAGTCCTGTTGTTCTGACCTCGAGCTGCCCCCAGGTCCTGCTTGTGTGATGCTCTCCTTGGAGTCCCCCCGCCCCACCGGTGGAGCCCCCTCCAGTGCCCTCCTCCCCGAGAGCATTTGTGATCCACTCCTTCCACCCCATGGAGCTAGCCTCCCTTGCCCAGCGCCTCCCCCACCCACGCCCGCGTTCCTTCCTCCCCTCCAGCCCTGGCTCGTTCCTCCCCCAGGGCTCGGGGTTGTCCTGGAGACAAATTGAGGGCTCCTTGGCGTGGGCAGGCCATGTAACCTCAGTGAGCCTCAGTTTCCTGCTGCCAAAGGTAAACACCCATTTCCTGAAATTCAGATAAGATGCCTAAAACGCTTCCACTACAGAATGTCCCTGATCTAGATGATCTATTTATTTGTATTGAGGTATAATTACAGTCAAGGGCACAGATGTGAGTATGCAGATTGATGTTTTGACAGATGGGCACACCTGTGTAACCAAGACCCCCCATGGAGACAGAGAACGTTGTCCTCCTTCTGGAAAGTTCTCTGGGCTCTTTTCCAAGCATCCCCTTCCTACCCCCAGAGACAAACCTGTGCTTCTCACTGTGGATCCGTCCAGCCTGTTCTTGAACTCACACAAACAGAATCGCACGACGCGCTCTTGTAAACCTGGCTTCTTTCCCTCAATGTAACACCTTTGAGATTCATCCACGTGGCTATGGATCGGGAGTTTGTTCCTTTAAAAGAAGTCCCCTAGTGGTATTCCATCGTATGGATATAACATAATTTCTTTATTCATTATCCTCTTGATGGACGTTTGGGTTATTTCCAGTATTTGACTGTTGTAAGGCAGCAAAGCACATTCTTGGGTAGACGTCTGTTTCATTCCTTTTGTGTAAATAGCTAGGAATGGAATTGCCGGGTGGCACAGCAAGTGTATGTTTAACTAAGATGCTGCCTGAGTTTCCCAAGCGGCCGTGCACGGCACCCCCTAACCCCTAGCATGTGGGTCAAGGTGCCCGGTGTCCTTGCCAGGCCTCGCTGCTGTCCCTCTCCCTGGCTGTCCGGGGGGATGGAGGGGGCCCGCGTTGGGTTTTCCTTGTGTTTCCGTGGCGACTAAGGACAGCCTCTCTCCTGTGCTCATTGGCCTTCGGGAGCTTCTCGTCTGTGAAGCATCTGCCTGGGCCTCTTGCCCATCTTTAATGTGCTGCTTGCCATTTATTACTGCCTTGTGTGTGCCCTGGCTGCCTGCGGCTGAATCCTGACCCAGAGCCTTCAGCAGGAAGGAAAGACATTGTCCCGAGCCATGAAAGCGAGAGGCCTCCCAGGGCTGTGCGGGGCTGATGGGCCTGCCCTCCGTCTCTCTGCACCGTGTCCTCTCCTCACACCCAGGCAGGGCCCCAGAGTGCAGTGAGGACCCCACAGGCTCCTCCAGGCTGTGTGTTGCCCTTGCAGCTCTGGTGGTCGCTTCTGCCCTAGTTCCAGAAGCCCAGGACTGGCTCTTCCTGGACACCCTCGCTGTGATGGGCCAGGCCTGGGCTGAGTGTGGCAGGGAGGAGCAGGGGCTGTCATCGAAGGAGAAGAGCCAGTGCCCAGCAGAGTGTCCCCCGGGTGGCTGCAGAGCCCACCTCGCCGCCCTTGCGGCACCCCCAGAGCCACCTCGCTGCCCTGGCAGCTCCCCCAGAGCCCACCTCACTGCCCTTGCGGCTCCCCCAGAGCCACCTCGCCGCCCTGGCAGCTCCCCCAGAGCCCACCTCACTGCCCTTGCGGCACCCCCAGAGCCCACCTCACCGCCCTTGAGGCACCCCCAGAGCCCACCTCACCGCCCTTGCGGCCATGTCTGCTGCTCGCACCTTCTACTGTTCTCATGTTGCAGCAGGTCAGGAAGATGTGTGGCTGTCCTGAATCCTCTGACATCAGGCGGAGTATAAATAAAATACGGGTATGATGGATGAGGCTTGAACTTTTGTGAATTTAACATAGTTTAACGTCTTTCCTAAAGTGAAAGTCAGAATGAAGCGCCCTATTTATTCACATGATTTTTTACGTCTTCCATCAAGGAAAACTGCCATGAGCGACTGTCCCGCCCCCACCTCCCACCGAGGAAACTCGTCTTGAAAAAGAAGACTGTGCTGTCTGCTAGGTCCCACCTCGCTGGCTTTGGGGTGACAGGCCCTGTGGGGGTGTGCCCCATGCGAGCCCCACTAGGTGCTGGTTTGGGGAGTCCTCCTCCCTCCCTGCATCCATGCCCCCCATCAGCTCAAACCCCTCAGGATGGCATCTGGCCCCTCAGCTCCCTGGTGGGAGAGGGTCCTGGAGGGGTCCTGGCCCGGGTCCCTCCTCTCCCTGAGGCCGTTCTTTCACCATCCCCTCTGTCCAGCAGGATGTGCCAGCAGTGCTGGGGTGCAGCACAAAGCTCTGTCCCTTTCTTCCTCAAGGTCCCCAGCTCCCTGTGCGTCCCGCCCACCTAACGCCTACTCCCAGCTCGAGGGGTCCCTGCGGCTCAGTTCTGCCCTGACCACCTTCCCCACCATGTGATGGCATCCACATGGGGCCACCTGATGACCAGGTGTCCCTCCAGGGGGCTGCAGCCTACAGCCAACTGATTGTGGGCCACTTAAATAATTATCTTGTTAATTGAAGTGAAATTCATAGCACACAAAATTAACCACTTTAGAGTGAAGAGTTCCGTGGTGTTTAGTGCATTGACAATGTTGAGAACATACTCTTCACACCACCTCTATCTAACTGCAGGCGCCTCACCAGCCCTAAGGGAGACTCCATGCCTACTGATTACATCCGTCGCCACCGCCTGCCCCAGCTCCTGGCAGCCACCACACTGCCTTCTGTCCCTGGGTCGTGGCACTGGGTATTTCACAGGGACGGAGTCACATGATGCATGAACTCTTGTCTCTGGCTGCCTTCACCTGGCGCTATGTTTCTGTCAGGGTCCTTCCAGCTTGGACCATGTGTCACTGCGCCATGCTTTTTCTTTTTTTATAATCCCAACTTTTTTTTTTTTTTTTTTTGAGATGGAGTCTCGTTCTGTCATCCAGGCTGGAGTGCAGTGGCACAATCTCAGCTCACGGCAGCCTCTGCCTCCCAGGTTCAAGCAGTTCTTATGCCTCAGCCTCCCGAGTAGCTGGGATTACAGGCGTCCACCACCATGCCCAGCTATCTTTTTTTTTTTTGTATTTTTTGTAGAGATGGGGTTTCACCATGTTGGCTAGGTGGGTCTCGAACTCCTGACCTCAGGAGATCCACCTGCCTCTGCCTCCCAAAATGCTGGGATTACATAATCTCAATTTTTATTTTAGATTTGAGGGTGCAGGTTCGTTGCCTGGGTATATTGCGTGATGCTGAGGTTTGGGGTTCAATTGATCCTGTCACCCAAGCACTGAGCATAGTACCCAGTGGCTGGTTTTTCAACCCTTGACTCCTCCTCTTCTCCCCTGCCTCGCAGTCCCGGTGTCCATTGTTCCTGTCTTTATGTCCACGTGTGCCCAGTGGTTAGCTCCCACCTACACATGAGGACATGTGGTATTGAGTTTTCTGTTCCTGCATTAAGTCGCTTAGGATTATGGCCTCCAGCTGCATCCATGTTGCCACAGAGGCCATAATCTTGCTCTTTTTTACGATTGTGTGATATGCCATGGTGTATAGGTACTGCGTTTTCTTTATCCAGTCCACCGTGGATGGGCACCTGGGTTGATTCACGTCATTGCTGTTGTGATTAGCACCACAATGAACACACGAATGCGCGTGTCTTTTTGGTAGAACGATTTGTTTTCTTTTGGATACGTACCCATAATGGGATTGCTGGATCAAATGGTAGTTCTATATTTTTTGAGAAATCTTCAAACTGCTTTCCACAGTGGCTGAACTAATTTAGATTCCCACTAATAGTGTATAAGCGTTTGTTCTCTTTTCTCTGCAGTCTTGCCAGCATCTGTTGTTTTATGACTTTTTAATAACAGTCGTCCTGACTGGTGTGAGATGGTGTCTCATTGTGGCTTTGACTTGCATTTCTCTGATGATTAGTGATGTGGGGCATGTTTTTCATATGCTTGTTGGCCATTTGGATCTGCTGTTGAAAAGTGTCTGTTCATGTATTTTACCTGTTTTTTTTTTTTTTTTTTTTGAGATGGAGTCTCACTCTTGTCACCAGGCCGGAGTACAGTGGTGTGATCTCCTGACCTCGTGATCCACACACCTCAGCCTCCCAAAGTGCTGGGATTACAGGCGTGAGCCACTGTGCCCAGCTGTATCTTACCCGTTTTTTAATAGGTTTATTTGTTTGTTGCTTGTTCAGTTGTTTAAGTTCCTTGTAGATTCTGGTTATTAGAACTTTGTCAGATGCGTAGTTTGTGAATATTTTCTCCCTGTTTGTAGGTTTTCTGTTTCTTCTGTTGATGGTTTCTCTTGCCGTGCAGAAGCTCTTTAGCTTAATTAGGTTCCACTTGTCACATTTCGTTTTTATGGAAATTGCTTTTGAGGACTTAGTCATAAATTCTTTCCAAGGCTGGTGTCAAGAAGGGTGTTTTCTGCTTTTCTCCTAGAACTTTTATAGTTTGAGGTCTTACATTTCAGTCTTTGTCTTGAGTTAATTTTTGTATATGGTGAAAAGCAGAAGTCCAGCTTCATTCTTCCTCATGTGGCTCGCCGGCTCTCCCAGCACCATTTATTGAATGGGGAGTCCTTTCCCCATTGCTTGATTTTGTCAGCTTTGTCGAAGATCAGATGGTTGTAGGTGTGCAGCCTTAATTTGGGGTTTTCTATTCTGCTCCATTGGTCTATGTGTCTGTTTTTGTACCAGTGCCATGCTGTTTTGGTTACTTTGGCCCTGTAGTAGAGTTTGAAGTCCAGTAATGTGATGCCCCCAGCTTTGTTCTTTTTTCTTAGGATCGCTTTGGCTATTTGAGCTCATTTTTGGTTGCATGTGAATTTTAGCATAGTTTTTCCTGTTTCTGTGAAAAATGACTTTGTAGTTTGATAGGAGGAGCATTGAATCAGTAGATTACTTTGGGCAGTATGGCCATTTTAACAATATTGATTCTGCCAATCTGTTAGCATGGGATGCATTTCCACTGGTTTGTGTCATCTCTGACTTCTTTTTTATTTTATTTTTTTGAGACAGACTGTCTCTCCGTTGCCCAGGCTGGAGTGCAGTGGTGCAATCTTGGCTCACTGCAACCTCTGCCTGCCGGGCTCAAGCAATTCTTGTGCCTCAGCCTCCTGACTAGCTGGGATTACAGGTGTGCACCACCATGCCTGACTAATTTTCTGTATTTTAATAGAGACAGGGTTTTACCGTGTTGTCCAGGCTGGTCTCAAACTCCTGACCTCAGGTGATCCACCTGCCTTGGCCTCCCAAAGTGCTGGGATTATAGGTGTGAGCCACCGTGCCCGGCCCCTGATTTCTATCCGCAGTATTTTGTAGTTCCCCTTGTAGAGCTCTTTCATCTCCTTGGTTAGGTGTATTCCTGGGTATTGTATTTTATTTTTTGGCTGTTGTAAATGGGATTGTATTCTTGATTTGGTTCTCAGCTTGAATGTTATTGGTGTATAAAAATGCTGTGGATTGTTGTATGTTGGTTCTGTATCCTGAAACTTTACTGAGGTCGTTTGTCAGTTCCAGGCGCCTCATTCCTTCCCCGGGGAGATTCTCCAGCCACCTGGCAACTCCACAGCCTCCCCATGGGAAGCAGTGATCATCTCCAAGGCCTAAGCTCGTAGTCCCCGAGTCCTCCGCATGGGAAGCAGTGATCGTCTCCAAGGCCTAAGCTCGTAGTCCCCGAGTCCTCCCCATGGGAAGCAGTGATCGTCTCCAAGGCCTAAGCTCGTAGTCCCTGAGGCCTGTGGGAGGTCGGGATGCCAGTCGGACAGCTTCCCCCAGCCCCAGGGGCTGGACTGAGCGGAGGTAGAGCTCTGTGGGCTAGGGGCCTGCTGGGGGCCCGCATGAGCGTCCTGACGGGGTTCTGGGAGGGAGGGTCTGGCAGCGCTGACCTCGCAGCCTGTCCCCTGTGCTCCTGCTGGGCCTTGGCACGTCCAGGGGCCCCCAGGTGCCACTGTGGTGTTGGGCGTGGGCTTTAACTGGGCCCTGTCTCGCCCCTCTCCCTGCCCCTCCAGGTGGTGATGGGCACGTGGTGAAGCAATGCCCACCCGGCCACTGGTGGCATCCATGAGCACTGCATGGGGCACAGACTCGATCACGGGGCCCTGGGTGCAGAATAGTGGGGTGTGCCTCATGGGTATCTGCTGGCCCCTGCTTGCAGGTGGGCCGAGGAAGCAGAGCAGTCCCCTTGAATGACACAGTCCGAAGGTGAGGGTCTGGGAAGCAGCCCCCTGCAACACCCAGGACCCGACAACGGTGCCCAGCATCCCAAGACCGGGGCCTGTGTGTCCGGTGGGAGGGTATGGGAGGGCGCTGGGGCTTGGGGTGGAGCCCATTCCCTGGCACACAGGAGCTGGTGGAGGCAGAGGGGCCGCAGGGGTGGATTTCGCGCTGGCTCCGGCTTGGCCTCCTGCCTCTTCCGTGCAGTTGGCTCTCAGTGGTGCCGTGTCCTTGTCTCCAAGCCGGACACCTGCGAGGACCCCGGGCCGGACTCTGGGGGTGGGCTTTGGTACATTCCCCAGTGGCTGAGCAGGGCCAGGGGCCAGGCGGAGGCTGAGGCCATTGCTGTCCCTGACAACGTGGCTGGGAGGACGTGTCAGTGTCTCCTCAACCTGAACAGTTATTTCTGGGGACAGCTTTGATTCCAGGGTCCCTGAGCCAGGTGACCCTCTCTCAACATCATCAGGGTTTAGCTTGGATTTTTTTTTTTCCTGAACCAGACTTTACACAGCGTGCATTTGTGGCATGTGTGCATGGGGCCTCCGTGATGCGTGCGCTCTGCCCTTGGTCTGGAGCCCATGTAGAACACTCACCCATAACAGGAAACCATGGCAACAACCCCTGCCCTGCGAAGCCCGATGGGCTTATTCAGGCCAGTTGAAAACACACAGTTCCTTCATTCAGGCAACCGGCCCTGTGAGGGCACATCCCAGAAAGTGTGTAGCGAGTGTCACAGGGAAACTGCAGGGGCCGCTCCGGAATGCCGGCCATGGTTTCCTGAGATGGTGGTTATTAGTCCGTTTTCGCATTGCTAGAACTACCTGAGACTGGGTAATAATTTATAAAGAAAAGAGGTTTAATGGACTCACTTCTGCAGGCTGTACAGGAAGCCTGGCTGGGAGGCCTCAGGAAACTTACAGTCATGGTGGAAGGCCAAGGGGAGGCCAGCACGTTCTCATGGCTGGAGCAGGTAGAAGAGAGTGGAGGGGAAGTGACACACACTTTCAGACGCCCAGATCTCATGAGAACTCACTATCACGAGAACAGCAAGGGGGAACTCCACCCCATGATCCAGTCACCTCCCACCAGGACCCTCCTCCAACACTGATCTCGTGAGAACTCACTATCACGAGAACAGCAAGGGGGATCTCCGCCCCGTTGACCCAGTCACCTCCCACCAGGACCCTCCTCCAACACTGGGGATGACAATTCAGCATGAGATTTGGGTGGGGACATAGAGCCAAACCATATCAGGGAGTTACATCTTACATGAGATTTGGGTGGGAACACAGAGCCAAACCATGTCAGGAAGTTACATCTTACCCTGGATGGAAGGAGGGTCCTGCAGGGCCCATTTTCCCACCTGCCCCAGGGCTTGGAGGCTGGGATGGGGAAGGTGCACATGAGGGTGAGAATGGTTGGCTATGGCCCTGTTCATGCCCCCAGCTGTGCCCCAGTACCCGGTGCAGCAGCCTCCCAAGCCACAGCCCTGTCCATGCCCCCAGCTGTGCCCCCAGTACCCGGTGCAGCAGCCTCCCAAGCTATAGCCCTGTTCATGTGTTGTCGAGTGAATGCTTTTAGTTGGAGATGATATTTTCCTACCATTTGCCATTAGCATTTCTAGGATAAAATTCCTTCCTGATGAACTGGTCATCCTCAACCCCCGTCTGCCCACGGGCGGAGACCTTCATGTTGTGGAAGAGGCCATGCCCTGGAGGCCCTCGCAGCCCCTCCTCGGCACTGTGGTGTTTGGGGATCCTCATCCGGCCCTGAGGTGTGCGACCGTGTGGCCTGGGCCCGCTCAGGAGGGGCAGTGGGAATACGTGTGAGTCCAGAAGCAGCTCCTTTCCAGGGCCTGCTGGCCCTCACAGCGTCAGCGTGGACAGCAGTCGGTACCCAGGGCGTTAGGTGCCCAGAGGACCGGCTGTGAGCCCGCCGCCCTGTTCCTGTTCGGTGGGCTGGGAGGAATTCCAGAGGAAGGCCTGCGCGCTGGCCCAGCCACCCGGGAGAGCGCATTGGACCTGTCCTTCCAGGAGAACGCGCTGGCCTAGGCACCCAGGAGAGCGCACTGGACCCGTCCTGAGGATGACACGGGCTCCACCTGTCCTTTGCAAAGAGCCCTGGAAGGGCCCCGTGGGGGGTGATGGGGGGCGGCCAGGGCCACGCTTTCCATTTTAGGAAAAGGAGGCTGTGAGGAACTCTTCGAGTGCTGTTGATGGTTTGGGGAAAGGTGCTTTCCACTCTACCAAGTGCTAATGTGTGTGAAAATCAGACTGGAGCTCATGCCACCTTGGAGCAAAGCTCCCGCTGTGCCCGGCAGACACCTGCCCAGCCTTGGCAGCTGGGCCCTCTTGCCTGTCCACTGCAGATCCAGGAGAGGCAGCTGCCCCCCTCTCTAGGTCAGGTCAGGGCCGATGTCCTGGGGCTGGGACACTTGCTGTTGCTCCCGGGGAGGTCCTGGGGGGCCACTCAGCCGGCATTCATCAGCACATGTGTGTGATGGGGTGACAAGGACAGGGACAGTGAGGGCACTTGGGACATGGAGCCCTTCGTCCTGACCGATTTCCCGGGGCAGGTGGAGTCCGTGCACTGAGGAGAGCCTTGCTGGTCTTTGCAGCCCATGTCAGGGCCTGTGGCTTTCAGGGGCCTGCTGGGCCGCGGCCTCCTTTGGGCCTCAGGCAGGCTGCACAGTGGAGGCTCGAGAGCCCTGAGTCCCACCTGCAGGTGTAGAGGAGCCCCCAGCCCAGGGCAGCTGATGGGTCCCCTGGGGGTGTTTGGTTCTGGGGCCCCCTCCTAGTGTCTGCAGAGGGGCCTGGTGGAGGGTGGGGGTTGGGGGGAGGATTGTGGGGGTGTCAGGCCTGGGATTGCCATCATTGGCTCACAGTGGGCGCCCCTGGGGACAGAGGCAGAGAGAGGGCAGGGCAGGGGGCCGGCAGCAGGGGGTGGGCACCAGATGGGGTGGACAGGGGTGATGTGGCTTTCTGTGCCAGAACAGGCAGCATCCTGCCACCCACTCCTTCGCAGCTCCGCCCCGCCCATCTCTTTGGCTGGGGGGTGTGATGCTCCCTCCCTGCTCTGAGTCACTCCTCCTCCAGCTCTGCCCCTCTCCCTGGGAGCTCTCAGGCACCCTGAATGACCACAGCCCGCTGGCCTAGGGGCCTGTGGCTGCCAGGAGCCACCTCTTCCTAGGAGCCCCTCCGTCTCCCTCTGTGGGAGACAGTGGCACGGGTGTGGGAGGGCTGTGCAGGACCCCAGGGGCTGCAGGTGGGAGGATGGAAGGACAGACACGTGGACAGGGCTTTTTCCAGCCTTGACCCACCCACACACCTACCCATCTCGTGCTGGCCTCTGAACACACTGACCTCTGGGGTCTTTCAGGGCATGTCCTGTATCCACAGGCCTCACCCCCCTGAGGACCCAGCCTCATGGGCAGCCCCCAGCTGGTCCCACAGCGAGCCCTGAGTGTGGCCCTTGGTGCAGCCACACCCCAGGACACAGGGCCCTGCCCATCCATCTGCTCCTGGCCAGGGCTCCTTCCTGGGCTGTTCTGCTTTGATCCCCAGCCCTGGGATCCCACTGGGCTCGCTCCCCCTCATCCAGTGCTGCTGCTGCTGTGGCCAGCGTCCCCCCCACTGGCTAGGCACACCTGCCTCAGGGTTCAGGACTCAGGAGGAACCCCAAGCCCCACCCCGAGTCAGGGCTGTCTCCATTGCAGCTCCGGGGTCCCCAAGCATCTGTGCCTCTGGGCGGGCAGCCCCAGGAGCAGGCTTCTCAGCTGCTGCAGGGCCAGGCGGCCTTGGAGTCCTCCAGGTCTGCCCCTGTGGGTGGTCCTGGGGTGCTGGGCCCTGCGCAGTGAGAGGCAGGGGTGGGTGGGGCCGGGCCTTGGACAGTAGGACCCCTCTAGGCAGCCTGGGGGGAGGTGCTGCTGCCCACCTCTCCAGCGGTTTGGGGAGCTGGAGGAGCCCAGGTCCCTGCTGCCGTGGGCGACTCCTGCGGTCTCAGGCACTGCGGTCTCAGGCCTGAGCCTCTGCCACCCGGAGATACTGTATTGATCAGGCGGTTGCCCTAATCACTCATTTATGGCAGATCCCCGTGTTGTCTGAGGATGTCGATATTAAACACCGGAACATGATTCCAGACAATTTCAGACCAGACAGGACCAGGATCCACAGTGCTGGCCTGGGAAGCTGCCACTGAGCCTGTTTTATGGGTGGAAGCTTTCACTGCAATTAAGGTGGGGGAGGGAGATGGCAAGAATGCTGCCGCCAACAGGGTCCTGCTGGAGGTGTAGGCACCAGGACCCCGGGCTCTGGGTGTGTACCTGGGCAGGAGAAGCCACAATTGTTTCGGAGCCCAGGGGCCCCACAGGACTCAGCTGTGGGCTGCTGCCACATCCTGGCTGTGTCTGTTTCACAGAAAAGACAGGGTGAGGGCATCGCTGCCAAGATGGAGCCTGGGGCACAGGGTATGTTCCCAGAGTAAGACCCCAGTTGGCTCCCCGAGGCTGGAAGGGTGGTGGTGCCAGCTGAGGACAGAGCCCTGTCCCGGAGCTGCCCAGGGATGCCGGGAAGCCGCCAAGCCACCCGGGCGAGTCCAAGCTGGACACCAGGGCTCCAGGGTGTGCAGAGGCTGCAGGCTGCTGGTCATGGGGGTCTGCCCCTGGGTGAGGGGACGGTGGAGAAGGAGAAGGTGGCCAGCTGGGCCCTCGGAGATGCGTGGGCAGCGCACGTAATGCTGGGCCATGGTGCTGGCACCCAGGCATGACCTCGAGGCTCCAGGCCCCCTCTGGACTGAGGAGTCCAGGGTCAGAGGCCGGCACCCACACCCTCATCCCCTCTCCTGATCTCTGACCTTCCTGCCCTGGGGTTTCAACACATCCTCAGTGGTGCAGGAAACCGCGTGGGGCTCAGCAAGGGTTGAGGGACCTGCTTCCTGCAGGGCCCCCTGCTCCTCTCCTGGGTGCTGCTGTGGCTGGACGCTTCTGCTCTATGTTCTCCGCTGTAACTCGGGAGCCTCCTCACCCCTGCCCAGCGGCTCTCATGCCTGTCTCTAGCCCCCACCTGTCTTGTCCCCATCTGCGTCAACCCTGCCCGTCAGCGTGGTGGGTCTTTGTTCCCGCAGGCCATGGCAAGAGGGTGAGGGGTCTGTGAGGTGATGTCTGGTGACTCCTGTGGTTCCTGTTGACCTAGCGGGCCAGGGCACCTGAGGAGTGGGAGTGGGGGGCACCCATTGCCAGGAGGAGCTATCGGGCCGGTTCCAACTCTTCCACCTGGCCCGGTATTTCCTAAGTCAGGAGCCCCGTGTGGGCCAGACATCCCCAGAGGCTGCACAAGCTCTGCGGGGCCTGCGTCTCGGAGTCCTGGGGGATGATTTTCCTCATCATAAGCACTTCCCAGGTCATAGGAGACGAGACGGCATTTAATCAACTTCTGCGTGTGTTTCAACCACGTGTGACATTTGATCTTTGTGACAGCTCTCACAGTAGTGCCCACTTCTGCTGTGCAATCCTCCCATTGGTGAACGGGCTGGTTCTGCCTGAGGACACTTGGACGTGGGGGCCTCTTCCGGATGAGTGGGTGGGGTGGGCTGTGAAGGGAAGCGTCCCAGGCCTGGGACACGCCTGCAGCTGTGGGCAGCTCATCCACCACGTGGCAGCTCTGAAACTGTCCAGCACCCACTTCCCGGGCCTCCAAAGACATCAAGAGGGGACCTGGGGTGTCAGGAGCAGAGCTGATTCTCCAGCTCTTGAGACAGCCTTCGCGTGGGGTGCACGCATTGTGCCGGGGTGACATAGTGCTGATTCCCGGCGCCCTGCGGCAGGCTTATTTTACTCTCCTGGGCTCCCAGGTCTGGGGGCAGCCTTCGTGGAGGGTGCACGCATTGTGCCGGGGTGACATAGTGCTGATTCCCGGCGCCCTGCGGCAGGCTTATTTTACTCTCCTGGGCTCCCAGGTCTGGGGGCAGCCTTCGTGGAGGGTGCACGCATTGTGCCGGGGTGACATAGTGCTGACTCCCGGCACCCTGCGGCAGGCTTATTTTACTCTCCTGGGCTCCCAGGTCTGGGGGCAGCCTTCGTGGAGGGTGCACGCATTGTGCCGGGGTGACATAGTGCTGATTCCCGGCGCCCTGCGGCAGGCTTATTTTACTCTCCTCTCTTCTTTTGCTGTCCTCATTGGGAGTATTTTCTTACCAGTTTTGATACAAGCCCTGGCTTATGAAAAGGCTATTTTTTTTTGTTGTTTTTTTCTCCCCTGATGGAGTTTCGCCCTTTTTGCCCAGGCTGGAGTGCAGAGGCGCGATCTTGGCTCACTGCAACCTCTGCCTCCCGGGTTCATGCCGTTCTCCTGCCTCAGCCTCCTGAGTAGCTGGGATTACAGGCGCCCGCCACTATGCCTGGCTAATTTTTTGTATTTTTAGTAGAGACGGGGTTTCACCATGTTGGCAAGGATGGTCTCGATCTCCTGACCTCGTGATCCACCTGCCTCGGCCTCCCTAAGTGCTGGGATTACAGGCATGAGCCACCGCGCCCTGCCTGAAAAGACTAGGTTTTAACCTGAAACTCCACTGAGGCTTTGGGCTTTCCTAACATGGTTTGTTATTGGAAGTGCTCTTTCTATGCCCATGTGGGCCAGCCACTCAGCCGAGTGCTAGACGCAGAGGCGGGTCCCTGCAGGGCGGGAGGAAGGTTCTAGCCAGGCACACGGGAGGGCAGATCATTTTTTATTCTTGGGGAAAAGTGTTGAAATGTTACCTAACGCTTTTGCCTTGGACTTGGTGGTAGCCATGCCAGAGGTGACGTCTTGGCCATCTCTCGCCTCGAGCCGGTGTTTGGCCTTAGATGTGCTGTGGAGGGGCGGCTCCCTCAGCTCCCTCAGCTCCGCAGGCTCCCTGGACTCCCTCTAGCTCTCTCGACTCCCTCCAGCTCCCTCAGCTCCCTCCAGCTCCCTCGGCTCCCTCCAGCTCCCTCGGCTCCCTCCAGCTCCCTCCAGCTCCCTCGACTCCCTCCAGCTCCCTCGACTCCCTCCAGCTCCCTCCGGCTCCCTCAGCTCCCTCAGCTCCCTCGACTCCCTCCAGCTCCCTCGACTCCCTCCAGCTCCCTCCAGTTCCCTCGACTCCCTCCAGCTCCCTCGACTCCCTCCAGCTCCCTCCAGCTCCCTCGACTCCCTCCAGCTACCTCGGCTCCCCAGGCTCCCTTGACTCTCTCCAGCTCCCTCGGCTCCCTCCAGCTCCCTCTGCTCCCTCCAGCTTCCTTTTGCCCGGTTCCAGTTCCCAGGCCCGGCAGGACCTTCCAGGCAGACATGTGGTTGGGCCACCTGTGCTGGCAACCCAGAAACCAGAAACAATTGCGTTGGAGTGCTGCTTTCCGGAAAAGCTCCTTGCCTTTTCTTTGGTTATTTTGTTGCTCCTGGTAAGCCTGGAGATGGTGGCAAAACTCTCTGAGAACAGGGAAATGCTGCGTTAGGGAGGACGAACGTCCCTGCTGTCTGGGTGCTGGGCTTAGCGCTGACAAGTCTCAAGAGAACCTATCTCTGATTGTGGGGCCTGGTTCAGGGACTGAGACCCCAGCTAGCAGCCCTTGGGGAGGACCTGGAGAGGCTGCCGGACACCGTGGGAGGTGTGGGGGCTGGTGTTGGTTTCTCAACCCACCTGTGTGGATGCAGAATCCAGAGTGACCTGGGAGGAGGCGGCCCCACGCTCGGGTCACTTAGCGGGATTCAGATGGCGACTCTCATAGGACCTGCTCTCAGTTGCCAACACCAAAAAAATAAAAGCCTTCCTTGAAGAATAAATATTTTAAAGACCCTGGATTCGAATGCATTTGCTGTACTGGGAAGACTGTGTCTGTGGCCCTTTGGCCAAGCTGCACAATGAGGGCAGGTGCTGGTGGGCCCGGAGCTCCGAGCCGCTCCGTCCATCCCACGCCCGCCGTTGGGTGCACACAAGTACAGAGGTGCTTCCTTCAGGCAGATGTGTCCTGGTTCCTGGGAAGGAGCCCCCTAGCTGTGAGATGGGATTGTGGGGAGCTGCGTCTGCTTCTCCTTTTACCTGCGTCTTAATTTGAGAGGTGGACAGCACGGGTGAAGGATGCGCTGACAGCATCACTGCACGGCGTAAATCACGCCGAGGAGCGTGACAGACCAGTCTTGGTCCCCGTAATCACGACCCATGCCCACACTTCTTTGCCAAATGTCCCCTTCAGAAATGTCTCCCGACGGCCTTGTAGGATGGCAGCCCCCTCCCCCTTTCCTGCTTTAGCCCCCTCCCTGGCACCTGGTGCCACACTGTGGGCTTGTTGAGTGTTTCCCCCACACTGAAGAGTTCACTCCAGGAGGTTGTCTCCCTCCTTCCTGGGTCTGGAATGGGCCTGGCCAGCGGTTCATGTGGTGACCTCTGACCTTGGCTGGTTAGCAGGCCGCCATGTCCCTAGCGGGTTCTTGGCCAGAGACTTCTGATCAGACAGTGCCAAAGTCCAGCCCTGAGGGGCCCAGCAGGATGAGATGGGGATGTGAGGGGGAGGCGTGGGTCGGAGGCCCCAGGAGGCATAGGGCATTGACCTGCCTGTGGTGAGTAGTGGAGGGTCTGAGGCCCCAGGAGGCGTAGGGCATTGACCTGCCTGTGGTGGGTAGTGGAGGGTCTGAGGCCCCAGGAGGCGTAGGGCATCGACCTGCCTGTGGTGAGTAGTGGAGGGTCTGAGGCCCCAGGAGGCGTAGGGCATTGACCTGCCTGTGGTGGGTAGTGGAGGGTCTGAGGCCCCAGGAGGCGTAGGGCATTGACCTGCCTGTGGTGGGTAGTGGAGGGTCGGAGGCCCCAGGAGGTGTAGGGTGTTGACCTGCCTGTGGTGGGTAGTGGAGGGTCGGA
The DNA here is from genome assembly GCF_000001405.40 of Homo sapiens. Taxonomy (NCBI): domain Eukaryota; kingdom Metazoa; phylum Chordata; class Mammalia; order Primates; family Hominidae; genus Homo; species Homo sapiens. The sequence continues at coordinate 132,251,701 of NC_000010.11, read as the reverse complement.
GGCCCCAGGAGGCATAGGGTGTTGACCTGCCTGTGGTGGGTAGTGGAGGGTTTGCATTCAGGGCTCAACCCCCAGAAGCCAGAGTCGATCTGAGGTGGGCACCCACCACCCTCTTGGGGTGCTCACCCAAGTCCTGAGGGGCTGAGTGTGGGGCGAGGTGGGGTAAAGAGATGGTGTGGGGGCTCCTATGCCCCCCCTTCCCAGGGCCACAGGGCTCCTCGGCCGTTCACAGTAGGCTCTGTGTATAAGGAAGGGACCATGCCCACTCCCCTCTGAGGCCCAGATCAAGTGACATGACCCCAACCCTTTGCACACCCACTCCTTCTGGGAGCCTGTCCGGCTTCCTCGGTGACCAGGGCTGCCCATGGCACCACCACGCAGACCCGTCCCTCTGCTCCCTCTCCTCCCATTGCAGGGGCCTGGCCTCTGCCCCCTCCACGGGCCCCCATGAGAGCGGACTTGGGACTAGGCGAAACTGGGTAGGGCCTGGGAGCAGATTCATGGCCTGGGGACCCAGTAGCTGGGGTCACCCCTGCTGTTGGGTGACCACATGGTGGCTCCTAGACCCCCAGGCCGGTCCTGTGGCAGATAGGAGGCAGATGTGTGGGGCCTGGGGCTCAGGGCTCCTTGGGGGTGACCCCAGGGATGGTGGGGTCCTGCTGGGACATCCCTGGCTCCCCTAATGCTCCATAGGCCCCACCCAGGCCTCTGCTATGCAGACCGCCACTGTACCCTCCCACTGGCAGAGGAGGAAACTGAGGCCCCAAGGAGGTGGGCGTGGAGGTGGCCTGCATGGAGCCCACCATGAGGCAGGGATTGGTTTTGGGGGCTCTGAGTGCAGCGTTGGCCTCTTGCCCAGCTTGGAACCTTCCTCCTCTCTGGGGACCAGACGTTGACCTTTGCCTAGAACGGTCTCCGACTTCCGTGCTGCCGATGGAAAGCCAGGCGGAGACGTGGAAGGTTCAGGAACACTTGCCCGGGTCTCCTCTCTGCAATGACCTGTCCCGGGCACCTCACACACACCTGCACTCGGGGCGGGGCCCCTCTCTGCAGTGACCTGTCCCGGGCACCTCACACCCACCTGCCTCGGGGCGGAGCCCCTCTCTGCAGTGACCTGTCCCGTGCGCCTCACACACACCTGCCCTCTCCTCTCTGCAGTGACCTGTCCCGTGCGCCTCACACACACCTGCCCTCTCCTCTCTGCAGTGACCTGTCCCGTGCGCCTCACACACACCTGCCCTCTCCTCTCTGCAGTGACCTGTCCCGTGCGCCTCACACACACCTGCCCTCTCCTCTCTGCAGTGACCTGTCCCGTGCGCCTCACACACACCTGCCCTCTCCTCTCTGCAGTGACCTGTCCCGTGCGCCTCACACACACCTGCCCTCTCTCTGCAGTGACCTGTCCTGTGCGCCTCACACACACCTGCCCTCGGGGTGGGGCTCCTCTCTGCAGTGACCTGTCCCGGGCGCCTCACACACACCTGTCCTCAGGGTGCTGTCCCCTCTGCCAGTGCCACCCTGGGCTCTGCGGCCTCAGCCCCTTCCCTCCCCCGGTGCGGAGCCAGCGTGCAGGGAGCTCTGGGAACTCTCATGAGAGGAGTTTGATGGACTCCGTAGACACCGGCTCCTGGTGACTGTGGTGGTTGCAGGACCACTCTTGGGACACCAGGCTGATTACATATTGCTCCCCTCAAAGCCCACAGGAAGCTGTTTTGACAGATTCCGGCTGGTGGACTTCCTTTTCCTTATCTCCTCCGCTGAGTGCTGGAATGAGAGCTCACCTCTCCTTTGGGAGCCAGGAATGGGGCTGAGCCTGGGCTTGCGTGGGGCAGGGCCGGTGGTCATGGGAGGTCCTGGCCCAGCCTGGGGCAGTGCGGAGACCCTCATGGGTTGCTGATGGCAGGAGCTGGGGACAGGAGCCTGAAACAGCCACTGGGTCTCCAGTTCCACTGGTTTGGAGCCTTTGGGGCTGGGGTCGGGAGGGCATGAGGGCCGCTGTGCACAGTGGCAAGGCCAGGTGGGCACCTGGGGGCAGCAGGAGCTGGGCATCAGGGTGGAGCCACGGTCATCCAGAGGACAGCCACGATGCCGGTCAGCCCCCTGCCAGTGCCCCTGACTCACCTTGCGGGGTCTGGGCCAACAGGTCCTTGAGCAGGGATCCCTGTGGACATGGCCGGCAGGGACCACTTGGCTCGGGGCTTCTCAGGGGCGCTGGTGCGGTGAGCCCTGCCCAGGCCCACAGGTGTCCACTCTGCTGCTTGCACGGCATCCTGGAGCCACATCCAGGATTCCTGCCCTGCCTGCACCTTCCCTGAGCAGCATCTGCATGGCTGTCTTGGACTTGGTGTCCCTTGGTGTCCCTGTGGCTGCCCTCCTTGTCAGTCTTAGGAAGCAGGGACAGTTGTGTTCAAATCACAGGCACTGCAGAGTGGGGGCCGCATGCCCCTAACCCCACAGCCCCACCCTCAGCCCCACTCCCAGCACTCCCGCAACCCCACGGCCCCGCCCCTGACACGCCCTGACCCCCATAGCCCCGCCCCCTGCACGCCCCGCCCCCTGCACGCCCTGACGCCACAGCCCCGCCCCGGCACGCATGCGCCTTGCTGCTGCCTCCCAGCTGGGAGCCTCTGCCGGAGCCGCCGCCTCCGTCGCACAGTCGGGAGGCTTTGCAGGTGTGCAGGGCGCAGGTGACCCAATTGCCGTGACTCCCTTATGCTTCTGACTTGTTATTTAATAGATTTTGTTTCCCATCCTTTTCCTCTCCGGGAGGGACTAACCTTGGGAACTTGTGCTTATTCTCTAAAGTGGAGGTGATGGTGGCTGGACTCCCTTGCTGGTTCACAGCTCGGGGGCCAGAGGCTTAGGGCTCTGTGCTGTGCGGGCTGCTTGGGGTCCTGGGGGAGGCCGCCAGAGCACGTGCCCATGGACAGGAAGATGCTGGCTTCGTTTCCCAGGGCAGTGCAGGACTGGACTCCAGGTACCCATGTGCCAAGTGCCAGGGTCAGGGGCCTGGCACAGCAGGTGCCATGTGGCCGTCCTAGGCATGCACGTGGGCGTGGACCACCACCCTCGTCCTCAGCTCTGTTGGGAATGGCCAAGGCTGTGCCGACCACGGGCTCCTGTGCCCGCTGTGGCTCTTTTGCCTCTACCGGCCGCTGCAAGGAGCACAGGGGTCTCTGGGCAGCGGCAACCTGGGCCTGGGTGGAGCCTAGGTGGACAGAGGGTCCTTGGACCCAGAGCCGCCCAGCGGAGTTCATCTCCCCAAGCTGTAGGCGGCCAGCTCAGCCCTGGGCCTCGCCCTGACACCCTGTCCCCTCCCCACTGCAGGGCAGGCCCCGCAGACTCCGAGGTCTGTCCTGTTGGGGTTGCTGCTGGATGGCATTGGTGTCCCCATCTCCCCTGCCACGGCCCAGCTGCCCTCTCACTCTCCTCCCTCCACTAGTTCAGCCCATCTGTCCCACGTGCTGGTTCACAGCTGACTTTCCTTTAACATCTGGTGACGTTGGGTGACGCCACATGGCGGCAGCTGCTCCCTGCCTGTGCGGCCGCGGCCCGGGCTGCCTTGGAGTGGCTTTGCTGGTGCTGGAGCAGCCTCTGCCTCGATGACATAATCTCTGGGCGTGCATAGGTTTTCTTGAGGAAGGAGGCTAGGATGCAGGGTGGGGCAGCTGCCGCCTGGAACGGGGGCTCGTGGAGGCTGTGTCAGCTTGTGGGTGTCGGCCACGGGTCTTGTCTGTGCAGCACGGCCCGTCCTCTGCGGCCTTTCTGCCCAGTGCCCAGCTCTGATGCCTGGCAGCCTCTTCTCTCACCCCTTGAAGCCCCACCCCCTCCGTCAACTTGGTCCCAACCTCCTGTGCCAGTCAGTGCCCCTCTGGTCACTTGCAGTGGGGAGTGCCTTTCTAAGGCGCTTAAATCAAACCGCTCTCCCCACCTCTGCGAGTCAAGCCCCACTACCGTCTTGTGCAGAGGAGACCAAGGCCACAGGTCACAGCCCCTTCCTCACCCCCAGGTGCTCTGCTGACTGCCCTCCCACTTCACCCAGGACCAGCTTGTGGGTCTGTCCATACCCTTGGGGTCCTTTTCCTGCCTGTGCCCAGGCTGGCCCCTCACCTAGGCACCCCCTCCCTTCCCCCAGCTGATGCCTACTTGTCCTGGAGGGCCCAGCACAGGCGTCCTCTCCCCAGGATGCCACCCTGCGCCTTCAGGCCAGCTCTGCCCTGTGCTCGGAGCCCTGAAGCCTCCGTGGGTCCTTGTCACGGCACCCGTAGCTCAGGCTGAAAGAATTCTGGGTGTGTGACTCTGTCCCCAGGGCCCATGAGGATGGACACTTTGCCTGCTGCGTCTATGCTGAAACCTGGGGCTATCCTGGGGTGCCCTGGGAAGGGAGTGGGCATTTTCCAGTTCAGAGGAAAATGCAAAGAAACCTTTCGTCTAGAAACTGTTCTGTCTCCTCCTCCACACACTGAGTGCCTAAAGCACTTGCCCCACCAGACGGCACAGGGTACCGCCAGGGAGCAGTGGAGATGAGACTCTAGGCCGTGCCTCCCAGGAGGGGTCAGTACCTACCCTGCTGTCTCCCCGGGTCTGCCTCTGGCCTTGGCTGTGTCTTCCCTGCCTTTAGAATAACCATGTGTGTAGGGGGTTGTTCCAGCTGTCGAATTCCCCAGAGAATAAGTGAACATGAGGCTGGGGTAAAAGTGGGTAAATAGGTGAAATGTCATGAACCAGCGGGTGTCCTAAACCTGGCTTCAGGGCACAGTGCTGGCCCTTCATGGATACAGCACACTGAGGGGTGCAGACCTGGGGACACGGACTTAGGGGTGCAGAATTGGGGACACAGGCCTGGGGACACAAGTGGAGGCAGCTGCTGGCCTGGGAGTCATCTGGAGGGGCTCGTCCTGGAGGCCAGGGGGTGACATTGTGGGACCCCCGTCTTATGTGTACGGAGAATGTCCTGGGTTTGAAAGGCAAGTGCAGACGGTCTGGAAAGCCCATCAGAATCCCTTTCCTTGGTGTGAATAGGGCACACGGACAGGTCTCACGAGTGACAATTAGGGGAGCCGTCCTTCTCCCGGAGGGACTTGCAGGTGTGGGAAATGGTGCCTTCTGCAGCTTCGCACAGGCTTGCGGAACGGCTCTCATGCTGGGCGCAGGCTCTCCCAGGCTACACAGGTCATGGTGGACATAGCCACAGCCCTGAGCCGCCTCTCGTTGTTCATCTTGGGGCCGTTTGCAGACTCCCCCAGGCTTGCCCAGTGAGTGCCAGCAGGGCTGACACCCCTGTCCTCTGGAGACGCGGAGCAGGGTGGAGGGGAACCAGGAACAGCTGCTCATGTGTGCATGGCTTCCCCCAAAACCCCAGGCCTGCCTGTCTGGGGGTCTTCACTGGATGGAGCAGCTTTCAGTGGGGGTGGCTGGTGCCTGGGAAGACAGCCCAGTCGAGTCTGGGACTCAGGTGTGTGTGGTTCATTCTTGCCCCATCCATGCTGTGGCTGAGCACATGCCTAATCCCATAGCAATCCTGGGAGTAGGACGTGCAAGACCCAAGGCCCATGTCTTCACTGACCGGGGCTCAGCCCCCTCCTGCCTCGCACAGGAGCGAGAGTTTGGCCCGCCCCACGGCGACCCTCTTCTAGGATGAGGGGCCCTGGGCAGTGTCGGGGTGGGGGATGTTGAGGTGGGGGAGCTGCTCTGGGGTGGGGCCTTGCTGCCACCTCACCAGGTGTCCCTCTGTTTTATCCTGCAGTGAACTTCGACCACTTCCAGATCCTTCGGGCCATTGGGAAGGGCAGCTTTGGCAAGGTAAGGCAGGGCCTGGGGTGGGGACTGGGCTGAGGGGGCAGGGGCAGAACCGTGGAGTCGGACATGCTGTCCCCTGAGCCCACCTACTCCCATCCTCCTTGGGAGAAGCAGCCTTACCTGGGCAGAGGCTCCAGGTCTTTTAGGGAGGACGTGGGCACTCCTGCCACGGAGGCAGCTGGCTGTGCCGCCATCAGACTGGGCCCCATGGTGTCACCAACTCCGCAGCGTCCAGGAGCCACCAGGAGGACAAAATCGCAGCTTTGGCTGAACTGGAGCCTAGAGGCCAGGCTGTGCCTGCGGCTGCTCCTCAGGACCTACAGGGGACAGGACGGAGGGTGGGTGCTGAGCGTGCATCCTCAGCTGGTCCTTGTCCTCATCCTTATCCCTGTCTCCAGCCCCGTCCAGAGTGCCCTGCTGCTGTCCTCCAGATAGGCCTGTTTGCCGGCCTGGACGGAGCCCGTTCCTTTACTCTCCTTTTGTTTTCTCTTGACCAGATCTAACTTCCTGATTGCCGCCTTGTAATATCTAGAGATTGGGGGTAATTATAACTCAAAGAGGCTTAACGAGCACTCGGAAAAGGTTGGAATTAGCCCTCCGGCTTCTGCGCGCAGCTCTGTTGTGGATGAATCACTTCTGAATGGACAGTTCTTTTCAGCTGTCCCGGGAGGCTTAGCAGATGGGTGCTGCCTCCCTCCTGCTCCTGGCTGTACAGCTGCCTGGACACTGTGTCTATTTAAGCCCCATAAGCCCTTTTTAAAGCGATTGCCATGCTACCGGAGCATAATACGTAGGGTATTTGAATGCGATTAATTACCTCCATTTCATTGTATAGCAAACGATGGCTCCACTGGGTTACTTGAGGCCTGGGATGATGAAAAGTCAGAGCAAATGAGCCCCTTTGCGCAGTGCATTGAGAAAGCTCCCGTGCACCAAGAAGAGAGTGCTTTTGAGTCCCTGCATGTTGGGAGGCGCCCGTGGACCTGCACCGTTTTGTTGCTGGTGAGGCTGGTTGACCATCGAGGTGAGGTGCTGAAGCTGGCGGAGTTCGTCAGAGACGCTCAGGGCTGTTGGGACTGACTCAGACCCTCCTGTCCTCCCAGCTGAGCCTAAGTTCTGTTTCCCAGGCCCACAGCGGGTGCACGAGGGGCAGGCAGGATGGAGTTTTGGGGGACTGCTCCCCTCTGGCAGCGGAGGACGGCAGCTGTGACCAGGTTCAGGAGAGGTGGCTTAGGGGGACCCTGGGAGTCACCAGGCATCCAGAAATCAGGTTCAAGGAGGGAGGTTGGGAAGCCTGGGCCCGGCCAGCATGTCTGGAGAGGGCCAGGCCGAGGGCATCTGAGGGGCAGAGACCTGCCCTGGGGAGCGAGGCTGGCGGGTGCAGGTGCTGTTTCCTGGGGCCCCCAGCATCTCCCCATTGCCCCTGTTGCCCCCGCCTCTGCTGGCCCTGCACTCCTGCCTGGGGATGGTCCCCTCCTTCTCATGAGCACAGGTGGGCAGCCTCAGCCCTGCCCACCATCTGTAGACTGCCAGGGTTCTACTCCTTGGACCAGTCCTTAAGAGGCTCGGAAACGCCAGCTGGCCCAGAAATGGGCGGCTGTGGAATGCGGGGAACAGGAGCGAGCTGCTGGGTGCCGTGTTCAGATGCGGGGTAGTCGTGCACCTGGAGGGTTCCTTCCGGCTCACAGTTAGGCCTCCTCATCAGGCCTGCAGGGGTTCTGTGCGGCGCTTGTTGATGGGTGCCTGGCACTGAGGGGAGGGTGAGGTGAGGCCTGTCACTGACCTGGAGGGGTCCTTCCAGCTCTTTCACTGGCCAAGGCAATGACCCCATGGCAGGAAGGATGAGGGCTGAGAAGGGTGGTTCTGCGTGTGGTTGGGCTGTAGCTGTGTCTGCTCACATGTGGCCTCAGTTCAGAGGGGCTGCAGCAGCAGGGGCCCCAGCCACCCCTGTTTCCCTGCAGGTGGTGGTGGGCCCAGGCTCAGCTGTGCCCAAGCCCTGCCAGTGTTTGAGCCACCTGTGAAAATGGCTCCGGGTTGAGGGGTGGGATCCCCTGGCAGAGCACCGGAGCCCACCCGTTCAGGGCGGCGCAGCATTTAGAGTCTGACCGGGTAGAGTCGGGTCCTGCCAAATGGCCCTGGTGCAGCTGCTCTACCACCAGGGCCATGGCTCCACCCTCGGGGCCGCCGCTCTCGGAAATGGATTATCTAGACCTGGCCCTTGGCTTTTGTTTTTGTTTTCAGTTTTTAAAAAATTACAGTGAATTACACATAACAAATTTACCATTTTCACTGTTTTGAAGACAGCTTTGAGGCATGAAGTACATGGTGCCCCCGGTTCTGTCCGGCTGAAAGTGGTGGCGGTAGTTAATTCCAGGACTAACCACTTAGCAGGGAGGAATCTAGACTTGGAGAAAATCTGTTTCTCCCTGCCATGGACATTCGTCCAGCCTGCCCTCCGCCCCTGCCTGCCCCCTTACCCGGCATAGACTTCCGTCCAGCCCACTCTCCACCCCCGCCTCGCCCCCAGGCTGCTCAGTGTGATTAGAAGCCTGCTGCCTCCTCAGCGTCCAGCCGGGGTTCCAGAGGCTGCGGTGTCTGAGAGGCTCGCCACCTCCCCAGCGCTGCCTAATTGTGCTTGTTCAGAATCCAGGACATCGCATTCCAGCCTTGGGCTGTGGATATCTCAGGCTGAGGGCCATGATCCCAGGAGCCACAGATGGGGGCAGCCCCATTCCTGCATCCTCCTGTGAGCTGGTGGGTGGGTGGCTTGGATGCAGCTGCCCCAGGGATGAGGGGAGGTCGCTGCCCCAGGGTCTCTCTGGGACCAGGCTTGGCTGGGGGGTGCAGACCAGTGCAGGTTGGGCTGGGCATGAACCCCAAGCCCATGCCGAGCCCCGGCCCCTCTGGCCTGTAAGGTGGGCCCCATCTCTGGACACGCATCTCTTAAAAGCCATTGACCTTTCCGGTCTGTGGTTCCCCTGGGTGGGGGTACAGCGTTTTCCTGTTCTTTGGGCCCAGGTTTCCCAAACCAAACGTGCCATGGAGGAGCCGCCCCTCTGGCTGCCTTCTGAGGCTGAGAGCCAGGTCTGTGAAACGTGCTGACAGTAGGCACAGGGGCAGGAGGAAAAGCATACGAATTTATTATTAGTGTTACGTGTGCAGGGCATCGTGGGGGAAAAAGAAAACACCCAAAACAGTGGTGGGCCCCAAGGGCTGATGTGCAGGCTGGGAGAAGGGGGCGCGGGGGGCCGCATGGGGGGCACACAGCTTTTGGGGAGACTACAGGGCCCTCGGAGAAGCAGCGGGGGCTGTGATGGTTTGTGACTGAGCCTGAGGCGGGGGTGGATCCTGGCCCCTCTCCCGGGGGAGGGTCCCTCTTCCTGGGCCGCTGGAACTGCAGGGGGGCTGTGCTGGCAGTTCCTCTTGGAGTGTCTGTCTTTAGGCAGATGAGGGGAGTTTGGAGAGAGCCCCCCCAACCTCAGGTGCTGTTTTCCAGTGGTTTCTGCTCCAAACAGTCAACAACGCAGAGTTTACTGGTGCCGTCGGAGCCCCTTCACCACCCGTGCCCTTCCGTCCTCCTGCTGCACTCCCCCCACTCGTCCCGTGTCCTGGGTGCCTTCAGCCGCCCTCCTCCCAGCAGCTCCCAGCTCATGGCCCCTCTCAGAGGACACCAGCCCCTGGCCCCCATACATGCTTGAAGGCCGTCTGCACCCAGCACTGCCTCATTCACGATCAGGGCAAGAAACGTTCTGTTCTGGGGAGAATGGAGTCCATCTGGAATTCAGCATTTTTTCAGTCAGGGTCTCACTGTGTCACCCAGGCTAAAGTGCAGTGGCGTGATCTCGGCTCACTGCGACATCCACCTCCCAGGTTCAAGTGATTCTCATTCCTCAGCCTCCTGAGTAGCTGGGACTACAGGCGTGTGCCACCATGCTCAGCTAATTTTTTTTGTATTTTTAGTAGAGACAGGGTTTCGCTATGTTCTCCAGGCTGGTCTCAAACTCGTGACCTCAAGAGATCTGCCCACCTCAGCCTCCCAAAGTCCTGGGATTACAGCTGTGAGCCGCTGCTCGTGGCTGGAATTCAGCACTTTTAAGTTGGCGGGCTTGAGGTCTGGAGCTGCTTGTGGACAGCCCGTCGAGGGTGCAGGCCTCTCTCTGGGCTTCCCGCTCTGTCCCCTGAATGAAGGGTTCGCTGACCAGTGAGTCCGCAGTGTTCTGGAGCCTCTTCTACACTCTGCCAAAAATGCCGGCTCTTCCTTCGTGTTTATTTTTCCACACGGACTTCTGAATACGTCTTGTCAAGGTCGAAAGTAACCCCGCTGGGATTTGGATAGGAGTTACGTTTTCAGATTAATTGAGAGCAAAGTTGAGATCTTACCCATCTAGGGGTCTAGTGTCTTTTACCCAAATAGGCGTCTGCTTTTTCATCTTGATTCTTCACATTTTGTTCCGTTGATGATACGTCGTTCCTATGGTTATTCTATGTCATGTTGTTACGTGGAACTTTTTGCTGCCGTGACTAACAGACTTTATTTTCTAACTTTTCCCAGTGTTAAATTGTCGACCTTGTCGTTGAGCCACTGCCTGGCCCTGAGCCCTGCCTTCCCGCAGCTGTCAAAGGGGCAGTCGGCGTCCTCTTTGGATGCCTCTTTGGAGCCACGGCTGTGCTTCTGGCTGGAGGAGTTGGGTGGGCTGGGCGTGTGGCTCTTGCACCCAGCCTGGGCAGCAGGTGTGGGTGGAGGGTCGGGTTTGGCTTTGCCAAGCTGTGGCTGGTGCTCCTGGGAATAACAGCCAGGCCCTCACTTAACTAGGAGTGTTTGGGGTGTGAGTGCTAAGTGCTGGGAGATCGTGTGTTCCCGTTGACTTCTGTAGGGGCAGAGGCCGGATTTCCACTCGGCCAGAATGCTGCAGGGAGCACCAGGACGCCAGCTTGACGGTGTCTGATGGGCACAGCTATCAGGAGGCAGAGGCGTGTCTCTAGGGGTGTGGTGCCCCTTTGGGGGTTCGAGAGCCCCTTGCCCAGATGGATTTCTCGGTGGCACGGCTGGCTGTTGGGCAGTGGGCACAGTTGGGTGCAGCCCCGCCCCTTGACCCTAAGTGGGTCTCTGCCCTCTCCTCTCTAACCCCCCTGGCTGGCTGGGCTCCTCGCCCTGCCCTGCGCACCCCTCACCCCAGGCCATCCCCCTGTCCGAGGGAGAGAGAGAGAAGCACAGGCGCACGGCGTCCGCATTTCCCAGGCTGTGGGGAAATAACTAAGAAAACAGGTCAAAAGGCCTTCACCACAGCCCCCACCCACCCCGAGGAACCGCCTGTCCTTGCAGTGACCCCACATCTCAGATGGACCCAACAGAGAGGCAAGAAGAGGATGAGCATGTTTGTGGGTGAAGAAGGTCTGCCTGGCCGGGCTCCCCAGCTCCATGCCCCCGTGCAGGGCCTGTGTACGTGGCCTCTGGATTCCACCTTACCTGGGCCCCCTGTGCCGTCTCAGCGAGAAGACAGTGCCTGTGGTCGCTATGGCAACCCGCCAGCGGCTGCTGTAGGACCACCCTGCCATGTGTGACTGTGACACCGTGGCTGAGCCTGTGGCCTCTGAGTCCACGCCGGGAGGAGCTGGTTCTGAGGGTTCCTCATCCATCGGGGGGACTCGCTGCAGGTGGCGAGCAGCACTGGCTGAGAAGAGCTTGCAGGTGTCCGGGTTCTGGGATGAAACTCAGTTGCCAGCTTGGGGTCATGGGTTTCAGGCCACCACCCAGGCGGCTTGAGTCAGCACTGCCTGTAGCCCAGGCTCTGCCCTGGGGGGGCTTCCCTGGGGGTCTTCTTTGGGGGGGGCCTCGTGCTCTCCAGGCCACCAGGATGGCAGCTCCACCGGAAGGCAGCCTGGGTGAACTCAGCCTGACAGGCAGCTCCGTTTCTTCCTCATGTTCACAGCCAGCGGACGCTGACGTCGATTGGAAGCTGGGTGTGCTGGGGGTTGCTTATCTGTGACGTGTGTTCCCATGGCGAGTGATGCGTCCCTGTCCTCACTGTCCAGACCCTGCTCCTGAGATGTCCAGGCCTGGATCCTGGGCTTGGGACCTGGGGAACCCGGGCCTATGTGCCGTGAGTGACCCCTCACATGACAGCCCCCTAGTGTCCGGGAAGCCTGGCTGAAAGGGAGCCATCAGTGGCCGCTAAAAGTTGACGATGTCCAGCAGCGTCTGCTGGCCTGCTGCCGGGCTCCCGGGGCAGGGGCTGCTGCAGTCACTGCGGGCGGCTGGGCCTGGGTTTCTCCCAGATGGCCCCCACTTTCCAGCAGCACAGGCTCTGGTTTCCTCACCAGCCCACTGCCTGGCCACCCCGCTCAGGGCAGCAGGAGCCCTCTGCGGCGGCCAAGTGCGTGGCATGGAGCGACCCCCATCTGGCAGGGAGTGTGCGGTGCCCCTGGGGACTTTGGAGCAATGGCGTTTCTGGACTCCATTAGTTGGGACTAAGATGGTTTGATACAGGCTTTGTTTGGGTTTTTGCTGACTTTGCTGTGATTCTGTGATTGTGTGTGTGAGATGGGCTCCCCCAGCTTGGGGAGGACCGTTTGCTGGTGCCGGGTCCAGAGAATGTTTACTGGGTTGAGCTGACCTGCTCTCCTGTGGGGACCAAAGGAATCTGCCGGCTGGACCGAGGGCCCCAGGACAGGCTGTGGGGAGGCTCAGTGCACACAGTGCTCTTGTCCTGAGCCCTCACACCATCTATAAAATACCCACCAGCATCCTGAGGGTTCCAGCCTGTGGCTCTCAGGATTGTGGAGTGCAGTACTGGCCACTGCAGACCCTGTCTGGCTTTGGGGTTTAAATGGTTAAGTGCAGTGTGATCTTCCTCCCTTGGACCTCTGATGGGGAGTGCTTGGCCCTGCATGTCCAGCCTGGCCCAGGGCGAGGGTTTCAGGAGCACTGAGGACCCGACAGGGCTGGACAGTCACCCCGGCACTGCAGCCTGGTCTCCGCCCAAGTGTCCACCCAGCGTGCCCGCTCCTCTGTGTGTGCATACCTGTGTACATGAACGTGTGTGTGCCTGCATGTCTGTGTGTTGCGTGTGTGTGCATGCCTCTGTGTGTGCATGTGTGTATGTGGTATGTGTGTGTGTGTGCATGCATTGCACATGTATGAACTGTGTATTTCCAACGCTTTAATGTCAGGGCCTTGCTGACCCTGGAGAGACTGCCCCTCCTGGGCCAGCCACTTCCTAGAGATCAGAAACACTTGCCTTTGGTTGCCTTTCAAATGCAACCCCCAGCTCACCCCCAGCCGTCTGCTCTATGCTTTCCCAGGCTTGAGCCCACATCCCCTGCATGAATCACCTCAGGACCTGACCCCAGACAACCAGGGCAGGCCTGTATTCCCACAGGCCAGTCTCAAACCTGCTCACCTGGCTTTCCCCGCCTTTCCCTGCTTTTCCCGAGGAAGCCTCCACTAAGGCTCTGCCCGTGTTTCCCCTTCACGTCGTCTGCCTCCGAGACCCTGGTCTTTGCTGTGTGGCCCCACGGTGTGGCATGCCCCTCCTCCTGTTGGTAACTATAACGAACGGTCTCATCAATGGCAGGCATCTCCTGATCTCACCCACCTGTGTGATAATAAAACCTACATTTTAAAGCAAGGGGCATCTCCTGAATCATGTGGATCTCTTGGACCTGCTGTGTAGCTTCCCGTGGGGGCCTCCGAGAGCAGCTGCTGCACCACAGTCCTCAGTAGAAGCTGCCTCGGTCCCAAGGAGGCTGCCCCGTGCCCTGGCCAGATGGTGGGAGGAAGTTCCCCCGCCAGCACTGCTGGCAGTTCCCCAGGCCTCGTCCACTTGCCTGCCACACTGAGGGGCCCAGCTTAGCAGCTGCCTTTTCTCTGGGAGGGTCAGGGCTGGAGAGTCTCGGGGGCTCCAGGCTGTGCTGGGTCTGACCACAGTGGCTTTGGAGGGAGGCAGAGATGCTGAGGATTAAACAGATCACCTCCCACCAGGCCAGCGTTGGGAGGGGGATGGCAGCACTGATTAGAGAACCCGGAGGAGCCCTGTGTACAAGGCAGCTGGAGGTTCCTAAATGGTCGGGAAAGGGGGATCCTGCTCTCCCTGCTGTGGGGAAGCTGATTCTTCCAGGGCTGGTTCTCCTCCAGGCTCTAGGGGCAGAGGGGTGAAGCCACACCGGGCCAGCCCCGCCGGCACACACTTGGGGGAAGAGGGGTGAAGCTGCACTTGGGGGCAGAGGGATGGAGCTGCACCGGGGCCAGCCCCGCCGGCACACTCAGGTTCCTCTGTGCCTCGCCCTCTGCTTTGGGTTCACCTCCGCCACCACTGCAGGAGCAAAGAAACCCTGCGTGGGGACCTCGGCGCAGAGTCTGCTTAGGAAGGAGTGGTTACCACGTGCTCCTAAATGGGCCAAAAGGCGGTGGGAATTTGCCGGGCCCGTCTCTCTGGGTCACCCAGGCTGCACCTTTATGCCTTAAAATAGCTGTTTCCCTCATGACTGATTCAGGAGGAGGAGGAGAACTTTCATATCCATTTTCTCATTTTCTTCCCTCGACAGGCGTGTGCATGGTCCTTGCCTTTGCCTTAGAGCTGCAAGGAAGCTGAGGCCAGAGAGGTGGCCCTACTGGCCTCTGGTCAGGTCACCTGGCTTGGGAGGAGCAAACGCCAGTGGAGGGCAGAGGGGCCCAGCCTGTGAGCCCAGGGAGCACAGTCCAGGGAGCACAGTCCAGGGAGCACAGTCAGGGAGTGGGAGCCCAGGGGCAGGAGTGGGCATTTAAAATGAAACCGCCCACCCAGCTGGCAGCTCCGGTCTCAACAGTCGGGAGGCTGTGGCCAGAGACCAAGGGATCCATCCACCCGTGTGGGTCCCTGAGGGCCGGCCTCGTCGTTAGGGGTGGAACTGGGGCAGACAGGGTTTCCGTGATACAACCACAGTGTGGAAGCTGAAGATCTTCTAGTACTTACAGACCTTGGCGGGCGCGTGGCAGGCCTGGTGCCCACAAGCACTTGGAGGTCGGGGGCACAAGCAGGGAGTGCAGGGACCCTGGGGCCAACACGTTTGTCGGGTCCACAGGAGGTCTGCTTGGTGGGTGAACCCCAGGCACCAGGTCGAGGGTCACACCGTGATGGACATGTAAGCTGGCAGGCACATGTCTGAATGGCCGGGAAAGGAAGCCTCTGTTAGGTGGGAGACACGCCTCTAAGTTTCTATCTCTGGCTGCCGGCTGGAGCCACTGGGGTGGGTGGGGGATAGTACTGGAAACCATGTTGAGGGTGACTGAGCCGTTCTGGTGTGGAAAGTTAAACTTGTCATGCTGCCTCAGGTCAGTCTCAAATATGTCATAGGCACCCCCTCCTGGGCTGCCTTCCTGGCTGTCCTGCAGCGAGCCCGCGAGTGAGAAGGAAGCTTCCTCGCCACTGCGCTGGGCCCACACGTGGCAGACACAGCTGCCCAGTGTGTGTGGGGCCCGTGCACGGTGGGGCTGCCACCTGCCACCCAGCCTCAGCTTCCTCATCTGGACCGGGAGCCCCTGGCCACCCCATCGGGTCACCCCCTTCTGCGAACCTCATGACAGGTTGTGGCATCCAGGACCGCGGGGACATTGTTGGCCATTTCCGGGGCAGTCGGGCCTCCGCGTGGGCCCAGAGCCCAGGTCCCAGCATTGACCACGTCCCTTCGCTGACCAGGCCGTGCGCAGGCTCTGCCACCTGGGGAAGGGGCCAGGGGTCCTTTCTGTGCTCCTGACTGAGGCCCATGTGTGGGCTTTGGGGCCACGGAAGCATTGCCTCAACTCTTCTCTTTTTCTAGTTTTTAGAAGATGCAACTCACATGGTATAGAGGAGGAACACTGTGACCCCCCACAAGCACCCGGGTCCGGCCTCATCAGGGACCGACGCGACACCAATCCTGTTACAGCCACAACCTTCGCCACCTCCCGCTGTGCCCTCGGTATCCGACATGAATTCCAGAGAGTGTGTCATTTTATCCACTGATAGTTTAGTGTGTTATCTTTAAAGATGAGGACTCTCTTCGTAGCCACCGCCACGGTATTTTTCCACACCTGAAACAACGGTCTTTACGATCCCATCACACTGCGCCAGGCTTGTGTTCTCCCAGTGTCTGTGAATGTCTTCTGATGGTTTCTCTCAATCAGGATCTGGATGAGTCTGTGCAGTGAGGTGGGTCCGTGACCGCCGGTCACTCTGTGGGCCCTGTCCTTGCTGTTTACTTGCTGAGGGCCCAGATGGCTCTGTGTCCTGAGCATCCTGTCTGCTTCTGCTGCCCACGTCACCTGGAGGCCCCGACACTGTCCCTTCCTCCTGCCTTCTCCTTCCTTCTAGAAATATCCCTTGTAAAAAAGATTTTAGTTCATATTTCCATTGATTGATTGATTTCTTTCCTTTTTTTTTTTTTTTTTTTTAAGGCTGAGTCTTGCTCTGTTGCCAGGCTGGAGTGCAATGGTGCAATCTCGGCTCACTGCAACCTCCGCCTCCCAGGTTCAAGAGATTCCCCTGCCTCAGCCTCCCGAGAAGCTGGGATTACAGGCACACGCCACCACACCCAGCTAATTTTTTGTATTTTAGTAGAGACGGGGTTTTACCATGTTGTCCAGGATGGTCTTGAACTCCTGACCTCGTGATCTGCCCGCCTCCGCCTCTCAAAGTATTGAGATTACAGGTGTGAGCCACAGCGCCTGGCCTGATTTCTTTTAACATATCTGTTTAATCTGCTTCTGCCATCAAGGGTGGCACACCACTCATACAGCTCACACCACTCACACCACTCACACGGTTCATACCAGTCACACAGCTCACACCACTCACACAGTTCATACCAGTCACACAGCTCACACCACTCAGACAGTTCATACCACTCACAGTTCACACTGCTCACACCGCTCACACCAGTCACAGCTTCACCTTGCTTTCTTCCCCAACCGTGTGTCTGGTGCCCCCTGTACAATGTGTATCCCTGCCCTAGGTCCCTTCACAGCCACATCACTTGCCCTGGTGGGCGTGCCACACAAGCTTCCCACCTGCCCCGGTGGGCATACTGCACAAGTGTCCAATGGCTGCTGTAACAAATTAGCCCATGTGCAAGGCTTTGAACAACACAGACTTCCTGTCTTTACCTGACCTCCAACCCCCAAGGCCCCCCCAGCAGCTCATGAGAGCCACAGGCTCGAGGCAGCCAGAGATGCAAGAAGAGGTGGTCCCTGACTGACAGGAACGGATGGCAGCCACACCTGCCCCGGCATCCCACCACTCCCCAAGCAGGAGGGGGAGAGCCCTGGCATGAAGGGGCCGGAAGCTCAGAAGGGGCCATACAGAGCACAGGATGCAGGGTGTGGAGGGTGAAACCCTTTGGGCTCAGAGCTGTGTGGAAACAGGTGAGAGAAAGCTCTCTGAGTGAAGGAGCACCCAGAGTCCCCCCAAGAATTCATAGAGACCTCACCTAGCAGCAGGGCAAGGCAGAAAAAGCGAAGTGGGCAAACCTGCTGGAGGAACCCCCGCTGTTTCAGAGGGGACCGTGGCAAGGCATGGGAATGTGGCAGAAGAGGAAGGGACGTGGAGGTGCCTCCCAGAACTCGGGGATGCATCGGGAAGTGTCAGGAGGACACAAGGGAGAAACAGCGGCAGAGCTCCCTTGGAAGCGGCTGTCAAGCTCGGGCAGCATGGAGGGTGGCCCTCAAGATGGATCACGGATTATGCACATCCTGCACACAGGTCCTCGATCCCAGGGCGAGGAGAGCTGGGAGTAGCCAGGCAAGGTGTTAAGAGCCTTGGTTATCCCCAAGTGGGAGAGTCCACGAGGCCACAGGTTCTCAGCCACTCAGGAGCAGCATCTCCAAGCTCTGTTTGAAGATAGCCAAGAATCCCAGACCTCATCGGAACGATCGCTTGCATGCAAGCACCAGAAAACAGTATGTCCATAGTAGTTCCACAGTGGCGAGGACTCAGACGGCGCCCCAGCCCATCTGCTCTTCCAAGCCCAGTAAGGCTCCAGCCAGCATGAAGCAGCTGAGGGGAGGCAGCTGTTGCCGAAGGGGCCATCCTGCAGTCGCAGCAACTGTGTGCCTTAGCCCCACGGCAATGTTCTGACTAAACAAGGGCTTTAGGCGGGAGCGCGTGTGGGCCTGGGAGGTAGCTCCGTCCCCTGGGAAGCCGGTGGGCTGAGTGCCCCTGCCTGGCCACCAACACCTGACAGCCATAGGGCATGGGGGGTTCCCAGCCTCTTGGGACAAAGACCCCCCTCTGCCATCTGCAGTGGATGGAACAAGAGCCTCAGTGCCAGGTGGTGCCATCGCAGCATGGCCACTACAGCCGCCACCCAGGCCCCTTGGTGAGCTTGCCAGGGTCCACCTCTTCTTGAGAGGTTTGTGGCCTCGTGAGGCGTCTTAACTTCACCAGCCATGGCCTAGGAAGCAGCCACTAGGCATCGGGGGAAAACTGAAACCCCAAAACGGATTCCCACTCACCGCGTTAGAATCCTGAGCTCATCCAGGGAGAGGGACCTGGGACAAGTGGCCTATGGGACACAGCTTCTCAGGGACGTCAAGAGAACAGCTTCAGGGGGGTCTCAGGAGGGGCAGGAGGAGAGTGAGAGATGGAACTGCCTCTGGAGTGCACGGGAGCCCGGTTCTGCCTGGGGGACCCCTCTGCCTCCAGTGCCCTCCCCAGAGGCCCCATACTGGGCTGCACCTTCTTCAGCCGCTGCAGACACCTTCTCCAGCCCCGTCCTGGGCACTGACCCTCCCGTTTTTGTGGTACCCAGCACTGAACCCTGGGAGGGAGCCTGCCTTGCCCTGTCCCGCCCTGCTGTCCCCACGTCCCCAGGCTCTACTTCTCCTTGGGACACCAGAAGCTCCCCCAGGAAGGATTAGGAGGTGGTTTCATTATACCGTTTAGAGGCCTTAGGTACTTGTGGTCAGGCATTTGCTTCTGGGGAACAAAAATTACTTGGAAAGAGAAAGAGCTTGGGTGAATCACTTAAATCTGCCAAATGCATAAACAGCATTTGGTTGAATTGGCAGTCACATGGCTGCAGGCACCAGCCTGTTCCGGGTGGCGCTGTGGCCTCCCCGTCAGTGGCGTTTCATAGGAAAAGCCCAGGGCTCCGGGTGGCGCTGTGGCCTCCCCGTCAGTGGCGTTTCATAGGAAAAGCCCAGGGCTCCGGGTGGCGTTGTGGCCTCCCCATCAGTGGCGTTTCATAGGAAAAGCCCAGGGCTCCGGAGCCCGGGGTTGGCTTGTTCCTCTTTGTGGTGAGACCTCAAACTCCATTTTCTCTTTGGGCTTAAGTTGGTGATTGGAGGAAGCGGCTGGGAAAGCAGGGACCAGTTTCCTGGAGGAAGCGTTTGAGTCGGACCTGCCTGCCCTCAGCCCCCCAGGCCTGGTCATAAAAGGCCGCCGGTTTCCAGTCTTTTTTGTAAACACTGCTCTGCGTGATCTCGGGTGCTGAGGTCCCTCCAGACAGAGACTGCACCAAACCCAGGGCTTTACGCCACCGCTCGTTGGAGCCTCCTGCATCAGGGGCCCGAGGGAGCCTGCCGGACCCGCCCTCTTCTCTGTTGTCTTCACCTAAGAGCACTTTGATGTGATTGACTTAATCAAATCCATTTCAACGGAAAACCCCACACCACCCCAAACCACCTTCAACGTGCCTGACAGTCCAGGCCTCAGAGGGCGGGTCCTAGTGATAAGGGGCAGGACAGGCTCCCCACCTGCTGGCCTGGGTCAGAAAATGGTGAAGGAGATTAGGGGAAGTGGGCTGCTGGGTTGGCAGGTGCTCCGGTGAGGGCGCAGCGTGAGCGCAGGTGAGGCTGCTGCCTGCAGGCGTGGCCGCAGGTGCTCAGAGTCTGCAGGGTGTTATCAGGGATGCAGAGACACAGGAGGCGTGGAGAAAGCGAGTTTCCCGCCACAACCAAGTTCCGTAGCTCAGTGTCTGCAAACAACAGAAGTTTCTCTTGTAGTCCTGGAGATGGGAAGCCTGAGACCTGGCAGGGTGGGCCCTCTGGGCGGCTCCGTGGGAGGACCCGCTGTGCCTTCTCCCGGCGTCTGGTGGCTGCTGGCCACTCGTGGTGTCCTCAGCTTGCCGCCATGTCACTCCATTCCCAGGCTGGCATCTTCACATCACTGCCTCTGCTCCACCTTCACACTCCCTCGCCCCCATGCCTGCGTCATCTTCTCTTTTCTGTCTTTTATCAGGGTGTCTATCATTGGCTTTAGGGCCCATCCCAATTCAGGACCTCCAGATCCTCAACTTAATTACATCTTCAGAGACCTTTATTCCGAATAAGGCCACATTCCGAGGCTCCTGGTGGCTGTGTCTTTTGGGGACGCACTCGGGCCTGCTGTGAGGGATCGAGGCGTTTCCACCAGGGTCTCCAGGGAGGCACCATGGCCACTCACCCTGCACTGCCAGTACCTTGCATGGGGCTGGCATATAGGAAGACTTGCAAGCTTTTCTTGAACTGCAGTTGAGCTGAGAATGTTCCAGGACACAGAGCCCAAAGACTCGGGAGACCTGAGTGTAACCCTGCCTCCCCTTGCTCCTCAGGGCAGCTCCTCCCACAGGGCCAGGCCAGGGGCTTGGACTGTGGCTGATGGCTCCACCATCCAGGCAGTTTGTTTCCCAGGTGGGGTAACAGGCTGGAGGCAAGTGGATCTGCTGCTTTGTTCTGGTGGACAGCAGAGCCGTGGGTGTGCGAGGCCAGGCCCTGTCTCGAGGTGGCTCTTCTGTCCCTGCTCCCTGGCTGTGGGTGATGGGATGCGTGTGACGGGGAGAGCAGGCTTGGGTCACAGGGCCAAGGGGCTGGTCCCAGATGGAGCCCAGGCCACATGCTTGGGAAAGCGGGTGGTCCTGGGTGAGCCTGTCTGGCAGGAGGGTGAGGTCCTGTCTGGAGTAGACACCCGGTCTGTGTCCGCCGCACATGTGACAGGGCCCAGAGGGCACGGGAAGCCCAGGTGCCCTGTCCCCTGGTGAGTGGGCTGTGGGGGTTGAGCACCCCAAGGGAAGGCGTGTTCTTCCAGAGATTCCCCCGTAAGAGCTGAGCTGCATCGTGAGCAGGAGGGGCAGAGGGAGCCTGGAGAGGGTTGGGTCGCCTGGGCAGGCAGCTTTCTGGGGTGGTGCACAAGCGACAGAAAGCCTGAGGCTTGGGACCGGCTGAAGACGGCCTTGGGCTGCGGGTGCTGGCGCCGCTCCAGGCAGAGGTGGGCTCTGCAGCCCCCCCCCCCCCGCCAGCTTCCCCCCCAGCAGCAAGAGCCCTGGCCCCAGCCAGTGGCCCCAAGCCAGGCTCCTGAGGGGCAGAGGGTGAGGGCCGGATTTTCCACCATATTTGTCTCACAGCCTGTCTGGTCCCAGCCCCAGGGCAACAAACAGCCTTTCTGGAGCAGTTTCCAGACCTGCAGTGGCCGCCTTGAGCCTGCAGTGACCGTCTGCAGGAGGCCGCGGGTGCTGGGGCTGGCGCAGGAAAGCACCGTTGCTTCTGCGCCTGTGCAGAGTGAGGCTGGGGCTTCCATCCCGGGCACGGGACTCCTCGGCCTCCTGCGGCCGTGTGCATGGGAGGAAGGCCGTGCTGCCGAGCCACGCGACTCTGCCCCGTTGGCAGTGGGAAGCGGCAGGAGGGGGTCCTGCCAGGGGCAGCCAGGGGCTGCTGCAGCTTACGCTCACTGTCATTCTGAAACCCTCAACTGGCTTTCAAAATAACAATTTAAAAAATGGTCATAGGAAATGCAGGAAGTTCAGGAGAAATCCCGCCCCGCCCCGCCCTCCCAAGGCGGCCTCGTTCAAGCTTAGTCTCCGTCTGTTCTCGGGCTGCCTGCAGCTGCCCCCGCTCCTCAGCAGGTGTGGCCGCGTGTTCAGGAGCCCCCATCAGCACACGCGCCTCTGGGCAGCCCCCAACACAAGGCTCTTCCTGTCCCTTCAGGCTCAGCTTTCCCCTCCCACCGGGCAGGGAGGTGCTGAGGCCACGCCTGTTGTCAGCTTCCTGGAGAGGCCATACTTAGAGCCCATGGTGCCAGGCCAAGCCACTGTCTCCCGCACCACAGTGCTGCAGCCGGATCCACCCAGGCCACCGCTTGGCACCATCAGACATGCTTTCTTAGTTTGGGCCAGCCCGGTGCTCTGTGCACAGTGTGACTCCCAGTGGCCCCTTGCGGGAGGGAGGGTCACCGCTTTGCTTCACAAAAGGACTGAGTCTCAGGGAGGGGTCTCCAGTAAGGGCCCCGGAGCCAGGATGTGACTGAGACAGGTGCCTCCAGGGCCACACACTAACCAGTACAGGAACCTCTGGGGGCAGAATCATGGCCTCCAAAACACCCACATCCAAATCCCAGAACAAACATGTTACCATTCGTGGCAGAGAGGAATGAAGATTGCAGATTGAATTAAGGTTGTTAATCATCTGACTTAATTTTTTTAGAGACAGGGTCTCGCCCTGTCACCCAGGCTGAGTTCAGTGGTACAGTCGTGGCTCACTGCAGCCTCAACCTCTCAGGCTCAAGCAATCCTCCCTTCTCAGTCTCCTGAGTAGCTGGGACTACGGGTGTGTGCCACCACGCTTTCCGGGCATGCAGCCAGGAGCCCAGGGCCATCTGTGGCCCACCTTGAGATCCAGAATCATCCATTTCCTCCAGGCCCCCTGCTGGGCTCCAACTCCTTGAGGACCAGAGAGCAGAGGTTGTGGAAGGCCTTGGAAACGGGTCTGGATTACCTGTCCTGGGAAGGTCTCTCCCAACCTGAGTGTCAGACAGGGGTTAGCTCTGCTGCTCACAATTTTGTGCCTTAATTCCTGGCTTCCCTTTGGGGATCTTCATCCTCAATTCTGATTGACATCCTTGGCCACAAGGGACCCCCCTGCTCATTGATGCTTCTCACCCGTCACCTCACTCTCATCCTCACTGCTAAGCAATTAGCCGTGTGTTTGCGGCATCAGTGTTGACACCGATGATCCATGCTCAGAGGGTACAGGCCTGAAGAGCTATGTGGGGACTGGCGCCCCGGAGGGGGTCCCACTGTGGTGGCAGCGGTGGCCCCCAAGCCCCACGCTCACTCTGTGTGTCTCCTTGCAGGACAGGGTGAGGGGCCTTGGCCTCACGGTGTTGAGACGGGAGTCGGTCTCTGGAGTGTGGAGTGATGTGCGTCCAGGGTGAAGCTGCAGCCATGGTTGATGAGGCTTCCTGAGCGCAGGGCTCTGTGCTCAGTGGGTTTTCGCATTCATTCCCCAGTACCCCTCCGGGCTGCTTGCTGCTCCAAGCCCTGGAAAAGGATGTTGGGGTTTAGGAAGGCAAAACTCCATGCCCAGGTCGTGGCTGGTGAGGGGCGCTCCCCGCACAACCAGCCACTGCTTGGCTCCAACTCACGCCTGGATGCTGTTAGGCTGGACCCTGTCTGTTTGCAGATAGCGCCTGTTGACAGATGTGTCCTGCTGCAGACTTGAAACGCAGGACTGAGTCTCAGGGAGGGGTCTTCACTAACAGCCATGGAGCCAGGATGTCACTGAGACAGGTGCCGCCAGGGCCACACACTAACCAGTACAGGAACCTCTGGGGGGCAGAATCACGGCCTCCAAAACACCCACATCTTAATCCCCAGAGCAAATATGTTACCATATGTGGCAGAGAGGAATGCACCTGCCGCGTCTAGGAGGCAGAGGGGCTGCGGCGCGTCCCCAGGTGTCCCCTTGTGTCCTGACGATGCGTCCCCAGGCATCCCCATGCATTTCCAGGTGTCCCCACGTGTCCCCAGGCGTCCTCAGGCGTCCTGCCGAACAGCCCTGTGCCCTCCAGGTGTGCATTGTGCAGAAGCGGGACACGGAGAAGATGTACGCCATGAAGTACATGAACAAGCAGCAGTGCATCGAGCGCGACGAGGTCCGCAACGTCTTCCGGGAGCTGGAGATCCTGCAGGAGATCGAGCACGTCTTCCTGGTGAACCTCTGGTGAGCCTGCCATGGCCTCGCTGCAGAAAGACTTACCGTCCTGAAGCCGGGAAGGCACTGGCTATCCTCTCCTGCCCTTGGTGCTCCTTGGCCCTCGTGCCTCGGAGATGCCTCTGCCACCCACAGGCCCTCTCTAGCCCTCCTCATCTATCCCCCTTCCTGTGCCCCAGGCCTGGCAGTGGCCCAGGTGGCCATGACATGCTGGGGTTGGTTAATGCAGTGTCTCTTCTGAGCCTGCCGGAAGACCAGGGCTTCCCTACAATGGAGATGTGCTCCCATGGAGTCTCTGGCACTAGTCAGAGAGGGAGAGAGTTTAGGGACTGAAAAACTCACCACTGTCATCACCATCACCATCACCACCATCATCGCCATCACCACCACCATCACCACTGCAACCATCATCACTCTCATCACCGTCATCACTATAATCAACACAATCACTATTGTCACCACCATTACCACCACCACCACGACCACAATCACTGTTATCACCATCACCACCACCCTCAGTCCTCACTACCGTCATCCTCACCATCACCGTCACCACCACCACCATCACTGCCATCGTCAACACCATGGATGCTGGTTGTTAAATGCCAGCTCTTTGCCCAACACTGTCAAGAGTGGTACCTACACGGCCTCATTTTCTGTAACAACCCTCCGAGGCAAATGTCTGTATCCCCATTTTACCGAAGAGGAGGCCGGGCAGCCTGAAGCACCCGGAGCTGGCACTGTAGCTCTGCTCTGCATTTGCCACTCCCAGGTGCCTCTGGCCCCAGCTGGGCCACCTCCAGCACAGGGTGGTGTGTCTTTCCTCAGGATCTGGGCTCAGAGCTGCTCTGGGCTGGGGTGCAATCAGTGCCTTGGGCAGGCCCCTCCTCCTGGGAATGCCTGGTGGCTGATGCTGGGGTGGGGCTGTGGTCCTTAGGGGGAGTGTGTCAGCTGTGGGAGCAGCCATGACTGGCTCCCCAGCTGTGCGCACAACAGGCCTTCCATCGGTGCCCACAGGTACTCCTTCCAGGACGAGGAGGACATGTTCATGGTCGTGGACCTGCTACTGGGCGGGGACCTGCGCTACCACCTGCAGCAGAACGTGCAGTTCTCCGAGGACACGGTGAGGCTGTACATCTGCGAGATGGCACTGGCTCTGGACTACCTGCGCGGCCAGCACATCATCCACAGGTGTGTGCGTGGCAGACGGCGCAGGTACCTGCTGAGGTGGGCGGGGCTGAAGCAGCCTTAGGTCAGGCTGCCGGCACGGCGGCCGTACTCCCTCAGAGCGGGTCTAGCTCCTCTGCCCCACCCTTGCCTGAGTGCCTGCCCCCAGCTGTGGCACCTGTGCCGACCAGGTCAGCCCCATAGCTGTGTGCCTGGTGTCCATCTGGGGGGACCTCGTCCCAGCAGCCCCAGCTGAGACTGGGCACAGTGGGCTGTTAGCCCTGGTGGACAGACCACCAGGCTGGGTCACAGCAGGTGGCCTTCACCTGGTCCATTTAACTGAAGGCTCCTGTTTGCCCATCCACCACATCCCAGGGAATCCAAACTAATTTTAACATTAGCTTAAAGCAGATGAAATTAGGAAGCAGAGCTGGTGTGATGGCTCTGAAAATAAAATTTAAAAAAAGAAAATAGGAAGCAGATTATGAAGGAAGTGAAATTGGGAAGCAGAAATTAGGCTGAAATTCCGCAGCAATGGAACAAAATGAAAATATCTGTGAGGTATATTTTAAAGTCGAATGGACTGGTGTTTGCATTTCTGCTCTTGGGGACTCGGATGTCTGATTATGACCTAGGCACCAGTCACTGAGCACTGGCTGTGTACCTGGAAAAGTTGGGACAAAGCAAGAGCCGAGGTGGCTTGGTCTCCTAGAGGCCGAGTCTTGGAGGGGGAGGGCAGACCCTGCCAGCAATTGCTCTCGTCCTCTGGGGCTCCAGGCCCCCTCCCAGCATCTGGTGCCAGGTGTGTGCTGCTGCCCAGATGCCACAGGGAACGAAGTGGCTGACTTCATCGCCTCTGCCCCCACGCAGGGGTGTGAGGTCCTAGCATCATCCAAGGACCAAGTCAAGCTCCCAGGCCTCTGCCTCGAGTGGGTTGGTGGGATGTCCTGGGGACTCCAGGGATTGTGACAGAGATTCCAGGGCAGAAACAGGGCAGATTCCCAACTCACCTTCCCACTTTCTGCTCTTTCTAGAGATGTCAAGCCTGACAACATTCTCCTGGATGAGAGAGGTGTGTGGGGTTGGGTGTGGGCAGCCCAGGTGGGTGGTGGCAGGGATGGGCCTGTCAGGGGAGGAGGATCCTGCACGCAAGGATGCATCTCTGGTCCTGGGACAGCCACACCTGACCCCTCTCTGCACAGGACATGCACACCTGACCGACTTCAACATTGCCACCATCATCAAGGACGGGGAGCGGGCGACGGCATTAGCAGGCACCAAGCCGTACATGGGTGAGCCCGAGCTGGGGTTCCAGATGGGAGCTGGCTTCCTCCAGGTGGGAAGGACAAGACCTCGGTGGCTTCTCTGTCCCACCCTGGAGGCAGCCTGGTCTCGGGATGTGGCCTCAAGGTGCCGGCCCTGTGCCCACGGGTCCGGGCTGTGACCCCGTGGCAGCTGTTTTTCCTTCTTTCTGTCGGAAAGCTCCGGAGATCTTCCACTCTTTTGTCAACGGCGGGACCGGCTACTCCTTCGAGGTGGACTGGTGGTCGGTGGGGGTGATGGCCTATGAGCTGCTGCGAGGATGGGTATGGACCCCCTGCAGCCCCTGGGCTTGGCTGCCAGGCCCCTGCTCTCTGCCCCCACCAGTGCTGGGGAGGGGGTGGCTGCCCCAGTGTCCAGGTGCGCAGGGATGTCTCCACTGTGTCTGAGGAGTCACGCTTTTATCGAAGTGTGTAGTTGGTGATGGAATGCCTGAGCAGGAGGAGGAAGGACAGACTCACTGTGGTTTCCCGGGGCCGCTGCTGGTGCCTGCAGGCCAGCCTCTGTGGGGGTGGACAAGGCTGAGAACTGGCCAGCAGGGGTGCTGCCTCGGAACTTTCCACAAAAAGTTTCTTTTGGGGCCCTGTGCTCTTACCCTTGTGGCCACGGCGAGGCCAGTCCTGGAGACCGGGAGGCTGGGGGTCCTCTTGTGGACCGTACCCCTCAGCCCTGCACAGGACCCCACCTCTGAGGAAGCCAGCTCCCTCCTGGCCCTCTGGGGCTGATCTACCTGGACCCAGGCCCCCTGGGATCCCAGCCAGATGGGCGCAGCAGCCAGGGCGCAGGACCCAGGCGTAAGCTTTATCTCACCCAGGCTCCTCCGCGGCAGGTGGAGGCCAGGCTGTGCTCAGAGCTGTGCCTGCACTTGGGGTGGGGGGAGGGGGTCCTCTCAGGGCGATGGCACCTGTGTCTGGCATTGTTCTGGGTGTCCTGGGGGCCAGGAGGACCTGCCCAGCACTGCCTCCCTGTCTCCAGAGGCCCTATGACATCCACTCCAGCAACGCCGTGGAGTCCCTGGTGCAGCTGTTCAGCACCGTGAGCGTCCAGTATGTCCCCACGTGGTCCAAGGAGATGGTGGCCTTGCTGCGGAAGGTGAGCCCCCATCCCTGAGCCTCCTCACCCTCCGAGCACCCACCTCCCTCCCTCACTTACCTGCGGCTCGGGACACCCCCTCCAGTGCACAGTTAGTGCCGCTTCCTGGCAGGCACAGATCCCTTCACTGCAACCTGTGGGGGCCTCCGCAGATGGCAGCCCCAAGCCCCAGGAAGCGAGCTGGTGGCAGGCTCTGTGGCCCTCTCATGGCGAGCCCTACCAGGTCACTGGTGTCCTGGTGATCCCCTGAGCTGCGTCTCCAGGCACCCTCACAGCAGGCTTGTGCGCCCGCCCTGCCGGTCACCACAGAGGAGCCCTGAGCCACGTCCCCTTGTCCCACGTATTGGAAGGAGGGTGTCGGGTGGGTGGGTTCAAGCCCATGCTATCTCCGGGACCCTTTGCCCCAGTGCCTCCTGGGGAAGGTGGGCAGCCACTGCCCACTGCAAACACCTCTCAGGGGACATCAGCCTGGCAGGGACACGGGCAGGGGTGTGGCCATCAGTAGTGCCTCCCATTTGTGATCTGGTGCTAGGCTGGGGCTGTGCCTTGACTGGGCTGCACAGCTCCCTGTTCCGAGCCTCGCATTAACACCATAGGGGGTTCGGAGTCAGAGCCAGGCCCAGGCAGGACAGGGAGGGGAGTGAGTGTGCCACACGGGCCCGGCTGCCTCCCGGCCCCCGTGTCTCAGGCAGGTGGGGCCTCCTGCCCTGGAATTGTAGCCAAGCAGCCTAAATCCTTGGGGAGGCCTTGCCTGCCGGGGCCTCTCCCCAGCCCCGAGAGTCTCTTAACTCTGCTGTAGCCCCACGAAGCTCAGTCACACCTGCCCAGGTGGCTCACAAGGTGGCACTGGGCTAGAGAGGGCCTGCGTGGGGACTGGGGATGACCCACACGCCCAAGCCCAGGTCTGGGAAACCTCGCACGGGGTCTGGGTCTGCGGCATTTTCCCTGGAAAGGCGGGAGGTGCCAGCGCTGGGATGTTGCTTCCCAGGCCATGCATGGCTGCCCCGGGCTCATCTGGCCTGTGGAGGTCCCATGATTCGGTGAAGGAAGTGGCTCTGGGATAGTTACTGTGAGGCCAGCCATGTGCCGAGTGTTAGCCGCTAGCCGGGCCTCGGCTGCCACCTCCTGGCAAATCCCAGCAGAGCCTTCCCTGCAGATCCCTCTGCTGTCCTCTGGCGCCAGGGGTTTAGGTAGCAGCACTGAGAACAGGCGTCCCTTGGGCCACATGCTGAGCCAGCCACGGTGCTTTGCCTGATGTCGGCCGTCGGCACCACCCTTCCTCGCGTGGCCCTGAGGTTCCTGAATTCTGAACCTCAGGCTTGGTGGGACCCTCCTCAAGGTGCCCTGGCCTGGGGGTGGCGGGCTATTCCGTGCTGGTGGGCTGTGGGCCCTGGACCCTCTGACTCATGCCTGGTTGCAGCTCCTCACTGTGAACCCCGAGCACCGGCTCTCCAGCCTCCAGGACGTGCAGGCAGCCCCGGCGCTGGCCGGCGTGCTGTGGGACCACCTGAGCGAGAAGAGGGTGGAGCCGGGCTTCGTGCCCAACGTAAGCCTGTGGGCGGCTCAGGTGGGGGGCCCTGGGGATGGATGTGGCGTCCTCCACGGGCCGGGGCTCAGCACCCATCCCTCTGTAGAAAGGCCGTCTGCACTGCGACCCCACCTTTGAGCTGGAGGAGATGATCCTGGAGTCCAGGCCCCTGCACAAGAAGAAGAAGCGTCTGGCCAAGAACAAGTCCCGGGACAACAGCAGGGACAGCTCCCAGTCCGTGAGTGCCAGGGCAGGCTCAGGGCGCGGCGGCGGGCTGGGCTTGGGGCTCCTCTCTACCACCGAGCAAGGCGTGTGGGGACCCCTGGCAGCGCACACGTCTCGGAAGTCCAGCAGACCGTTTCCTGAAGTCCTGAGAAGGCCAGAGACCTCCCTTCTGCCTTTCCCAGCCCCCACCTCGCTCCTTATGAAGCAGGTGGGCAGGGACAACCAGGGCTGGGGTTATGAGTGCACGGGGATGGCCATGTGAAGCCTTCGTGCTTGCCCAGGTGTGCTGGTGTTGGTTGTGTGTGCGGGGACGGCTATGTGAAGCCCTCACACTCGCCCAGGTGCGTCAGCATCAGGTATGTGTGCCGGGACAGCCATGTGAAGCCCTCACACTCACCCAGGTGCGTCGGCATCAGTTGTGTGTGTGGGGACGGCCATGTGAAGCCCTCACACTCGCCCAGGTGTGCTGGCTTTGGTTGTGTGTGCAGGGATGGCCACATGAAGCCCTCACACTCGCCCAGGTGCGTCAGCATCAGGTGTGTGTGTGGGGACGGCCATGTGAAGCCCTCACACTCGCCCAGGTGCGTTGATGTTGTGTGTGCAGGGATGGCCATGTGAAGCCCTCACACTCACCCAGGTGCGTTGATGTCAGTTGTGTGTGCAGGGACAGCCATGTGAAGCCCTCAGACTAGCCCAGGTGTGTCGGTGTCAGTTGTGTGTGTGGGGATGGCCACGTGAAGCCCTCACACTTGCCCAGGTGCGTTGATATTAGTTGTGTGTGCAGGGATGGCCACGTGAAGCCCTCACACTCACCCAGGTGCGTTGATGTCAGTTGTGAGTGTGTGCAGGGATGGCCACATGAAGCCCTCAGACTCGCCCAGGTGTGCTGGCTTTGGTTGTGTGTGCAGGGACGGCCATGTGAAGCCCTCACACTCGCCCAGGTGCGTCAGCATCAGTTGTGTGTGTGGGGACGGCCATGTGAAGCCCTCACACTCACCCAGGTGTGTCGACATCAGTTGTGTGTGGGGGGACGGCCATCTGAAGCCCTCACACTCACCCAGGTGTATCGGTGTCAGTTGTGTGTGCGGGGATGGCCACGTGAAGCCCTCACACTTGCCCAGGTGCGTTGATATTAGTTGTGTGTGCAGGGATGGCCACGTGAAGCCCTCACACTCACCCAGGTGCGTTGATGTCAGTTGTGAGTGTGTGCAGGGATGGCCACGTGAAGCCCTCAGACTAGCCCAGGTGTGCTGGCTTTGGTTGTGTGTGCAGGGACGGCCATGTGAAGCCCTCACACTCGCCCAGGTGCGTCAGCATCAGTTGTGTGTGTGGGGACGGCCATGTGAAGCCCTCACACTCGCCCAGGT
Source organism: Homo sapiens (assembly GCF_000001405.40). Classification (NCBI taxonomy): domain Eukaryota; kingdom Metazoa; phylum Chordata; class Mammalia; order Primates; family Hominidae; genus Homo; species Homo sapiens. The sequence goes on along the minus strand of NC_000010.11, from coordinate 132,221,286 downwards.
GCGTCAGCATCAGTTGTGTGTGTGGGGATGGCCACGTGAAGCCCTCAGACTAGCCCAGGTGCGTCAGCATCAGGTGTGTGTGCCGGGACAGCCACGTGAAGCCCTCACACTCGCCCAGGTGTGCCGGCTTTGGTTGTGTGTGCGGGGACGGCCACGTGAAGCCCTCATGCTCACTCAGGCATGCTGGTATTCTGGGGCTGCCAGGACAGGTGACCACGAATCAGGTGGTTGAAGAACAGCAATGCGTCTCTCTGAGATGGATCTGAGTCGTAATGAAATGGTCTCCTTCACAGCCGGCTGTGCGTGAACTACTCTGTCTCCTGCAGCTCCCCTGTCTTGATAATTGGCTGTCTAGGCAGCGGGTAAGGTGAACCCCTTGGGCAGTTATGTGATGATCTCAGTTTCTGTAAATCGGAAGTCCAGGCATGGTGCAGCTCTGTTCCCTGCTTCGGGGTCTCACCAGAATGTGAGCTAACATTGAGGTCGTGGCCTTGTCAGGTGCAGCTCTGTTTCCTGCTTCTGGGTCTCCCCAGAGTGTGAGCTAATATTGTCTGAGGTCGTGGTCTCATCAGGGATTTGACAGGTGCTGTGGTTGAAATGTTTCCCTTAAAACTCGTGTTGGAATTTGCTTCCTATTGTGATGGTGGTAGAGATGGGACTTTTGGGGGCTGATGGGGCCACGTAGGTTCTTCCAGCATGGATGGGGTTAATGCTGTTGTAGAAGGGTGACTTTAGTCCTCTTTTGAGTCTTTGATCCTCTGCTATGTGAGGACGTGGTGTTCCCAATGTGGACGTGGTTCGTGTTCCATGTGAATGTGATATTCACAATAGAGCATCAACAGGCTCCCTTTTAATCAGCAGATTTAAAAAGAAATGTGTTGTCTCATGGCTTGGAGGCCTGAGTCCAAAGTTAAGATGTCAGCAAAGCCGTGCCCCCTCTGAAGGCTCTCCGGGGAGGAAAACCAGTCCTTGCCCCTCTACCCTCCGGTAGAGGCTGCCTTGGCCTAGACGCATCCCCCCAGCCCCTGCTTCGCTGCCGCGTGGGGTCGGCCTGTGTGTGCGTCTCCATCTCCTCCCCTCTTCTCATAAGGACACCAGGCATTGGATTTAGGGCCCACCCTGATCCAGTATGGCCCCATCTTATCTTGATGATATCTGCAAAGACCTCACTTCCAAATGAGGTCACATTCACAGGTACCCAGGATTAGAATTTGAGTGTGTCATTTTTGGGGACACAGTTTGGCCCATACCACCAGGATGTGGCTGATATTCACCAAGGAGTAGCTATGGTTGTGTGTTGATGTCAGGGTGACGGTGATGACCCTGGGTCCCTCGGTGGTCCCCTTGCCCCTGAGTCTGCCTGAGCCTGTGGTGGATGTCCTGGGAAACTCTTGTGCCTCAGCCCCCGTGCAGCCTCCTCAGACCTGGTGGGCCCTGTGTTGCTCCTGGGCAGAAGACGGGTGTCAGTCCCCTCCTCACCATGATGTGGGGGGCAGGGGTGGGGTCATGCCCTGGGTGCCCTGATTTTGGGGGGAACACGGCCCCCCAGTGGGTCAGGCTCCCATCCTCGCCCCTCCTCCAGGACGGCTGCCGGCAGCCCTGGGTGTCCTCAGGCAGAATTGCTGGTGGAGAGCTGCTGTCTGCCAGGTGGCCACTGTGAGGCACTGCTGAGAGCCACAGGATGGTTGGAAGGTTCTCGGGGTTGGGGGTTCTTTGGCATTGCCCCCATTGGATGTTTAAGTTTTCCCTACCAGAGCATGTCCAGAGCCAGGGCTCTGGGGTGTAGAAACAGGCCCAGGATGAGTTAGGAACCCTCATGGGAGACTCAGGGATGGACAGTGTGCAGAGCCCAGCTGGCCATGCTGAGTTCCCAGGAGGCTCTGGCTGGGAACAGGTAAGGCCAGGCACCTGTGAGCGGGAGGAGCTCGGCTTTGTCTTGGGTTGGTTGTGTGGAGATGTTTTGGCTTGAGGGTAGGAGGTGTTCTGAAAGGAAAGCATCACTCCAAAAAAAAAGTCCCACTGTTAACCTTGAGGCTGAGAGAGGTTTTTGGAAACAGCTTTATTTTGATATAATTCACATTCCATGCAATATACAGTGCATCCATGTAAAGCATATAATTCCATGGTTTTTAATATAGTCACAGGGCTGTGCATTCTCCACCACAATCTGATTTTAGAACCTTTTCATGTAATGTAAGAGAAAGACCCCACCTATTAGCAGTCATGCCCCATTCCCCTCTTCTCCCCTCCCCTGGCAGCCACGAAGCTACTTTCCGTCTCTGTAGGGTTGCCTGTTGTGGGCGTTTCATGGAAGTGGAGTTACACACTATGTGGTCTTTGCAGCTGGCTTCTTTCACTTCGCAGGATGCTTTTGAGGCCCGTCCACGTTGTAGCCTGTCAGTGCTTCATTCCTGTTGATGGCTGAGTAATATTCCACATATGTATCACCTTTCCTTTATCCAGTCATCAGTTGATGAGTATTTGTTCTTTCCACTTGTTAACATTTTTCATTATCATGAATAATGCTGCTGTGAACATTCACATACAAGTCTTTGTGTGGATATGTACTTTTATTTTTGGGGGGCACATACCTAGGCATGAACCCGCTGGGTCATATGTGACTCTGTGCTTCATGTTTGGAGGAAACACCTACCCTTTTCTACAGCAGGTGTGCCATTTTATGCCCCTACCAGCAGTGTGTGAGGGTTCTAATTTCTCCATATATTTACCAAGTCCTGTTATTGTCTGGTTTATTTTTTAAAAAATCATAGTTATCTTAGTGTGCAGTGATTGTGTGGTTATGGTTTGCATTTCTCTGATGATATTGAACATCTTTTGAGGTGTTTTATCAGGCATTGTGTCTAGAGAAATGTCTATCCAAATGTTTTAAAATTTTTATTGTCTTTTTTTTAGTCTACTCTGACAATATATTTTAATTGGCATATTTATTTTACTTTATTTTTTTTTAGAGACAGGGTCTTGCTTTATTACCAAAACTGGAGTGCAGTGGTGCAATGAAGGCTCACTTCAGCCTTGACTTCCTGGGCTCAAGTGATCCTCCCTGCCCCAGCTGCCAGAATGGCTGGAACTGTGGGTGTGCACCACCACACCTGGCTCATTTGAAAAAAATTTTGTTGTAGAGACAGGGTCTCACTATGTTGTCCAGGTTGGTCTCAAACTCTTGGAGTCCTCCCACCTCAGCCTCCCAAAATGCTGGGATTACAGATGTGAGCCACTGTGCCTGACCTAATTGGTGTATTTTAGACCATTCACATTTAAAGCGACCAGGGAGGCTGAGGCAAGAGGACTGCTTGAGTCCAGGAGTTTGAGACCAGCCTGGGCAACAAGGTGAGACCCATCTGTATTAGTCTATTTTCACACTGCTAATAAAGGCATACCTGAGTCTGGGTAATTTATACAGGAAAAAGGTTTAATGGATTTACAGTTCCACATGGCTGGGGAGGCCTCACAGTCGTGGAAGGCAAGGAGGAGAAAGTCACATCTTACATGGATGGCGGCAGGCAAAGAGAGAGCTTGTTCAGGGAAACTTTTGTTTTTAAAACCATCGGATCTCATGAGACTCATTCACTATCATGACAACAGCACAGGAAAGACCCGCCCCCATAATTCAATCACCTCCCACCAGGTTCCTCCCACAACATGTGGGAATTGTGGGAGTCACAATTCAAGCTGAGATTGGGATGGGGACAGAGCCAAACCATATCATTCTGCCCCAGCCCCTCCAAAATCTCATGTCCTCACATTTCAGAACCAATCATGCCTTCCCAACAGTCCCCCATAGTCTTATTTTGGCATTAACTCAAAAGTCCACAGTCCAATGTCTCATCTGAGACAAGGTAAGTCCCTTCTGCCTATGAGTCTGTAAAATCAAAAGCAAGTGACTTCCTAGATACAATAGGGGTACAGGCACTGGGTAAATTCAGCCATTCCAAATGGGAGAAATTGGCCAAAACAAAGGGGCTACAGGCCCCATGCAAGTCTGAAATCCAGCAGGCCTGTCAAATCTTAAAGCTTCAAAATGAACATCTTTGACTCTATCTCTCACATCCAGGTCATGCTGATGCAAGAGTTGGGTTCCCATGGTCTTAGGCAGCTCTGCCCTTGTGGCTCTGCAGAGTACAGCCTTCCTCCCGGCTGCTTTCGTGGGCTGGCATTGAGTGTCTGTGGCTTTTCCAGGTGCATGGTGCAAGCTGTTGGTGGATATACCATTCTGGGGTGTAGAGGATGGTGGCCCTCTTCTCAGAGCTCCACTAGGCAGTGTGCCCCAGTGGGGACTTTGTATAGGGGCACCAACCCCACATTTCCCTTCTGCATTGCCCTAGCAGAGGTTCTCCATGAGGGCCCCACCCCTGCAACAAACTTCTGCCTGGACATCCAGGTGTTTCCATACATCCTCTGAAATGCAGGCAGAGGCTCCCAAACCTCAATTCTTGACTTCTGTGCACCTGCGGGCTCAACACCACATGGAAGCTGCCACAGCTTGGGGCTTGTACCCTCTGAAGCCACAGCCTGAGCTGTACCTTGGCCCCTTTCAGTCATGGCTGGAGCAGCTGGGATGCAGTGCAGCAAGTCCCTAGACTGCACACAGCAGAGGGACCCTGGACCTCGCCCATGAAACCATTTTTTCCTCCTAGGCCTCTGAGTCTGTGATGGTAGGGGCTGCCGCAAAGGTCTGTGGCATGCCCTGGAGACATTTTCCCCATTGTCTTGGTGATTAATATTCAGTTCCTTGTTGCTTATGCAAATTTCTCCTCAGAAAATGGGGTTTTCTTTTTTTTCTCTCTTTTTTTTTTTTTTTGAGACAGTCTTGCTCTGTCACCCAGGCTGGAGTGCAGTGGTGCAATGGCGGCTCATTGCCACTGCAACCTCCGCTTCCTAAGTTCAAGTGATTCTCCTGTCTCAGCCTCCCAAGTAGCTGGGATTACAGGCACGCACCACCACACCCAGCTAATTTTTGTATTTTTAGTAGAGAAGGGTTTCACCATGTTGGCCAGGCTGGTCTTGAACTCCTGACCTCAGGTGATCTGCCTGCCTTAACCTCCCAAAGTGCTAGGATTACAGGCGTGAGCCACCGTGCCCAGCCAGGAGTTTCTTTTCTATTGCATTGTCAGGTTGCAAATTTTTTGAACTTTTATGCTGTTTCCTTTTTAAAATGGAATGCCTTTAACAGCACCCAAGTCACCTCTTGAATGCTTTGCTGCTTAGAAATTTCTTCTGCCACATACCCTAAATCATCTCTCAAATTCAGAGTTCCACAAATCTCTAGGGCAGGGGCAAAATGCTGCCAGTCTCTTTGCTTAAAGCATAACAAGAGCCACCTTTGCTGTAGTTCCCAACAAGTTCCTCATCTCCATCTGAGACCAGCTCAGCCTGGACTTCATTGTCCATATCATTATCAGCATTTTGGTCAAAGCCATTCAACAAGTCTCTAGGAAGTTCCAAACTTTCCCACATTTTCCTGTCTTCTTCTGAGCCCTCCAGATGGTTCCAGCCTCTGCCTATTACCCAGTTCTAAAAAGTTGCTTCCACATTTTCAGGTATCATTTCAGCAGCGCCCTACTTTACTGGTACCAATTTACTGTATTAGTCTGTTCTCACGCTGCTAATAAAGACATATCCGAGACTGGGAAATTTATACAGGAAAAAGGTTTAATGGACTTACAGTTCCACATGGCTGGGGAGGCCTCACAATCATGGCGGAAGGCAAGGAGGAGCAAGTCACATCTTACATGGATGGCAGAGAGAGCTTGTGCAGGGAAACTTTTGTTTTTAAAACCATCAGATCTCATGAGACTCATTCACTATCATGACAACAGCACAGGAAAGACCCGCCCCCATAATTCAATCACCTCCCACTGGGTTCCTCCCATGACACACGGGAATTGTGGGAGTCACAATTCAAGCTGAGATTGGGGTGGGGAGACAGCCAAACCTTATCACCAGCTCTATAAAAGACAAAAAAATTAGGCAGGCATAACAGTGCATGCCTGTAGTTCCAGTGACGTGAGAGGATTGCTTGAGTCCAGGAGTTTGAGACCAGGCTGGGCAACATGGCGAGACCCTGTCTCTACAAAAAAAAATTATCTGGGTGTGGTGGGATACACCTGTGATACCAGCTACGCAGGAGGCTGAGGCAGTAGGATTGCTTGAGCCCAGGAGTTCAAGGCTGCAGTAAGCTATGATCATGCCCCTGCACTCCAGTCTGGGTAACAGAGAGACACGCTGTCTTGTAAATAAATAAGTGGTCATTTATATAGTTCAATATGATATCTACCTTATTTGTAACTGTAGTCTATTTATTGTTCTTCCTTTTTCCCTATTTTTCTGCCTTTTCTGGTTTTAATTAAGCATTTTATATTATTCTAGTTTATCTCCTCTCCTGGCCTGTTAATTATACTTCTTTTTGAAATATTTTTAGTGGTTGGCCTGGACATTGCAGTATACCTTTACCATACAGTCTACCTTCACCTGACACTCTGCCCCCTCATGTGCAGTGGGATGCCTTGTGACGGCACCTCTCGTGCAATCCTCCTGTTCCTGATGACATTGCTGTCATTCATTTCATTTATCTGTATGCTATAATTGCTCATTACATTGTTACTACTGTTATTTTAAACAGTTATCTTTTGGATCAATTAAGAAAAATTAAAAATTTCATTTTACCTCTATTCATTCCTCCTCTAAAGTGCTTCCTTTCTTTATGCAGACCCAAGTTGCTGACCTAAATCATTTTCCTTTCCCCTGAGGAACTTCGTTTAACATGTCTTATAGGACAGGTCCAACAGAGATGAATTCCTTCCCTTTTTGTTTGTCCAAAAAAGTCTTTACTTTCACCTTTAAATAATAATTTCACTGGATATAGAATTCTAGATTGGTAGGTTTTTTACTTTCAACACTTTAAATATTTCACTCCGCTCTCTTCTTGCTTATGTGATTTCTAACAGGCAGTCTGCTCTAATTCTTTTTCTGTAAGTAGAATTCCTCGCCACCCCCCACCCCCAGCTCATTTCAAGATTTTCTCTGTCTTTGGTTTTCTGCAATTTGAATAATGATATGCCTAGGTACAGATTTTTTTTTAATATTCATTCTGCTTGGTGTTCTCTGAGCTTCTTAGATCCTGTGGTTTGGTGTCTGTCATTAATTTCAGAAAATTCCCAGTCATTATTATTTCAAATATTCTGTTCTCTTTCTCTTCTCCTGCTGGAAATCCAATTATGCGTGTGTGGTGCCGTTTGAAATTGTCCCACAGCTCTTGGATATTCTGTTCATTTTTTTCACTCTTTTTTTTTTCTCTTTGCATTTCAGTTCGAGAAGTTTCTGTTGACATTTCTTCAAGCTCATAGATCCTTCCTCATCTGGATCCAGTCTACTGAGGAACCATCAAAGGCATCCTCATTTCTGTTACAGTGTTTTCTACTTCCAGCATTTCCTTTTGATCCCTCCTTGGAGTTTCCATCTCTCTACTTACATTGCCCTTCTGTTCCCCATCTGTTCTTGCCTGCTTTTCCCCTGGAGCCCTTGCCATATTAATCACAGTTATTTCAAATTTCCTGTTTGATAATTCCAACATGGGTGCCATATCTGGATCTGTTCTAATGTGTGCATTGTCTCTTCACACTCTATTTTTTTCCTTAAGACCTTGTAGTCTGCCTTGTAATGTTTGTTGAAAGCTGGACGTGATGTATCTGGTAATAAGAGCTGAAGTAGATGGGCCTTTAGTGTGAGGTTTATGTAATCTGGCCAGGTTTGGGGCAGGGTTTAAAGTCTGCTGTAGCTGTGGGCACCAGAGGCTTCACATTTGTTTTCATTTCCCGGGTTGCCCTTGGGCTTGCCTAAATCCTCCTCCTCAGAGAGAGTCTGCGTCTTGTGGCCCTCTCTGCTGGAATCCCTGTCACACTGCGGAGGCCCTGTGGGTGTGTTGGGAAGATGGTGGGGAGGGAACTGTTCCACAGTCTGTGACCAAATCTCAGTCTTGGGGGCCTGTGCCCCTTCACAGTTGTTGATCTGCTTTTCCCCTCCCCTTAGGTGAGACAGGCTAAAGCGGGGTACAGGCTGAAAAACAGTCCTCCCCCAAGTGAGATAAGCCTTTCCTTTGGAGAGCAAATTCCATTTGCTGTGGAGAATGCTCTGGGTGTATTTCACAGTGGTGACTGTCCCCATCCCATGCCAGAGCCAGGAAGGGATCATCCTTGGCTTCATTAAGACCTGGCAGGGTTCCTGGAGGGGAAACCCACAAAACGTTGGGGGCCTCATAAGACCGCAGCCGCAGGAGTTCTGCACACGGCCCCGGCCGCTCCCCAGAGCTGCCCAGGAGGTGTTCCCACACACCATCAGTTCTGCTCCAGGCCAGCAGGTCTCAGCTGTGACTTTGCTCACCTGTCTCTCCAGACTTGGGGGTCGCCGCAGCGCTTTGACCTCAGCTCTCTGATAGGTCCAGGAAAAGTCATTGATTTTCATTAGTTCAGCATTTTTCCTGTCGCAGGGATGGGAGTGAGGCCTTCCACGTTGTTTACCGCAGAGCAGAAGCCAGAAGTCCTTGCTCGTCTCTGTGTTTCTTCGTCGGAGTCATGTCTTTTATTTCCTGAACGCAGGTGTGTGGTCAGACAGGAGATTGGCAGGTATTTCCTCCTGTTCCATGGGCTATCTTTTCTCTTTCTTGAGGGCATCATTTGCAGCAGGGAAGTCTTGGACCTTGACGTTGTCCGATGTGGCTGTTTCCTCCTTGGCTGCTCTGCTTTGTCTAAGGATCCATCACCTCAGCTGAGGCCACAGGGATTTACTCCCACACTTTCTTCTAAGTCTTGTATAGTTTCAGCTCTTGCGTTTAGCTGTGTGATTCATTTTGGGTTAATTTTTATGAACAATGTCAGGTGAGGGTCCAGCTTCATTCTCTCATCGGTGGATATCTGACTGTCCTAGCACCATTTGCTGAAGAGAGGATTCTTTCCCCATTGAATTGCTTTTGACATCATACCTTGTTTTTTGACTTGCCGTTTTATCCCATTGGTCCAGACGTCTGCCCTGCGCCGGGACTGCACCATCTTGATAACTGTAGCTTTGTAGCAAGCTTTCAAATCAGGATCTGTGAATCCCCCAGTTTTGTTCTTTTTGGACATTATTTGACTGTTCTGGGTCCCTGGCATTTCCACTGAATGCTGAGGGGTCTGACAGTTGCATCTGAGCTGCCAAGCAGGTTTGTGGCGGTGCTAGGGACTGAAGCCTGCTCCATTTCCCAGGCCCCTCCTCGCTGTGGGTGACATCTGGGGTCCGAGGCTGTGTCTCAGCATGTGTGAAGGTGCCACAGGTGCCCTGAGATGGGGATTCCTGGTCCAGTTACTCAGAAAGTGCATCCAGGAGAGACCCCCGCCCTTCTCGGGATGGGAGATGCCAGCAGAGCTTGGCTTTCAAGCAGAAATCTGGAAATCCTGTGGGGAGTGGCTTCGGACTTCAGGGGACCTGGAGCGTCACTTGCGGTTCAAGAGGTCCCTGCCCTGAGGGAGCTGGGCTCTCAAACACCCACACCAGTCAGTCATGGGCGAAGGGCCCCTCTGTGGCCTTCTGACTGTGTGTGTGCTGGCAAAGGGTTCCAGCCACCCAAGGAGGAGGCAGGGGCTGTCAGAGGAAGAGCAGGGCAGATCCAGGCCAGGCACAGACCCTGCCATGGGGTACTGCTGGCGGCGCTACACACACCTTGGGAAGGGAGTCCCTGTGGAAAGGGGTCGTGGTCACACATCTAGGTGACACAGCCCGGCTTGGGCGCTGCTCAGAGCCACCCCTTCCAGATGGTTCTGGAGCAGCTCCTCAGGCTTCTGGTGGCCTCTCTGCCTAGGAAAACATGGCTGTGGACGTTGCAGGATGACCAACAGCCCCTGCCACTGGGCTGCACACAGGGCCACGACGGGCGCTCATGTTCTGCATCACTGGCGCCCACCCCAGCCCCTCCCACCTTGTGTCGCTGTGAATCGCAGGATCCCAGCGGCTCAGTCGGACCCTCATTCCTGAGTAGTCTGAGCCTTAGGTCACCGTCACCTTCTCAGGCCGGCCCGAGTTTGCAGACTTGTCTGTCTATATCAGGGTTAGACCAGAGAGTGCTGAGACACAGCAGATCACCCAGCCTGTCCTCTTCTTGATGACTAAGGACAGGTCCCCTGCCAGGATCGTGACTCCTTTAGGGGAGGCCACAGTGACAGGGCAAAGCCTGGAGGGAGAGAGCCACATGGAGAGGAGAGGGCTGCCCGCAGAGAGCGTGGGAGTCTGCCGGCTTCTTCTCGAGTCCTTGGCAAGGTGCTGGCCGCTCACACCGTGTACGTGTGGGGAATGCCCAGGACCAGGGTGACACCACCAGGAGGAGCGGGCGGGACAGTCCCCACTCAGGGCTAGGAAGAGAGAGTCCACATTCCCGCTGCCAGGGTGAAACCCTCACACCACCACAGATCCAGGAGAGACACGGAGGGCACTGCCTCGGGGTGGGGAACGTGAGCTGCTCCCCAAACCCAAGAAATGTGTTGAGCCCTATGCTTCCTTCCTCGTGGGAAGAGGCGCAAGGTGAGACCGCTTGTCCTTTATCTTGGCGGGCACGTCCGAGTGTGACGCACGTCAGCAAATCCCTGAACCGTTCATCGGAGAACAGCCTTCTGCATCTCCCACACTCTGTTCGTGGGTTTACAGGGTGTCCAGAGTACTTGCCACTTGGCAATCAGCATTAATAGGATCCACAGGGCCAGGCATGGTGGCTCACGCCTGTAATCTCAGCACTTTGGGAGGCCGAAGCAGGCGGAGCACCTGAGGTCAGGAGTTCAAGACTGGCGTGGCCAACATGGTGAAACCCCGTCTCTACAAAAATTAGCTGGGTATGGTGGTGGGCACCTGTAATCCCAGCTACTTGGGAGGCTGAGGCAGCAGAATCACTTGAACCTGGGAGGCGGAGTTGGCAGTGAGCCAAGATCACGCCACTGCACTCTAGTCTGGGTGACAGAGCGAGACCAAAAATAGGATCCATGGATAGCAGGCAAGAGTGTCCAGGTGTTCGAGGCACAGACGACACTGTGACAGGGAAGAGTCCCCTTAGCCCTGGCTGGGGCCGTGAAAGCATGCTGTTGTCCGTCTCGGGTGAACGCAGACTGTTGTCACGCATTGCATAACGATGCTTCCGTCACTGGCCAATCGCATGGGGGGGTGGTCCCGTAAGATGGTAACACTGGGTTTTGCTGTACGTTTTGTATGTCTAGATAGGGTTGAGCGTTCTGGTGTGTACCCACTCACACGTCCCCTCCGACCTTCAGAGCCCAGCTCCCTCCCTCCCAGGGCCTTGGCTGTGACGTGGGTGACTTCCTATGGATCTGAGGTTCTGTGGTCCTCACAAGTGGGCATCCTCTGGCCTCAGCTGCAGGAGGTGGGGGCCCTTTTAATGCCACCCGAGGCCTGCGACTCCCTGCACTTTTCACTGTGACTTGGCTCATCTGGGTCTGTCATTTGCTCACGCGTTGGTAGTGACCAACGTCACCATCCAAGTTCACGGTCACCATAATGATGCTTTCCCCACACCATGCCAGCGCTGAGCGGCCAGCACCCCCTCCACCCCACCCACGCCCTCCCCCGACCCCTGCGTCCTGGGAAGTGGTCCTGCTGCCTGAAGGAAGTAGTCCTGCCTGCCCATCACACACCAGTAAGGGTGGGTCCTGCCAGGGGCAGCCTCCGTCCACAAGCTTGCCCTGAGGACCTGCTTCTAAGACAGCCCTGGTTCCAGGATTCTCTGGGCAGGGCCCCAGAAGCAGGCCTGGGACAGGTGTGTGTGTGCTGTGATGAGGGGCTGGGAGAACCCGGTATGAGACGGGAAAGGCCCGGCAAGGGAGTGGTTTCCAGCAAAGTCCCGCAGAGAACAGCTTCTGCCTGGTCCTGCAGGCCCCACGGAGCAAGTCCAAGCCATCCACCCAGAGGCAAGGGAGCTGGGCCTTGGCATCCTCGGGCTTGGGTGAGTCACCCGCAGAGATGCGAGCTCCCGGGCAGTCTGGCTGCTGGAGGGCCGGGGCACTTCAATAGCCCAGAGGCCGTCATCCAAAGCCACAGGTGGAGGCCCGATGGGGATGCCCAGACACTCACTTGAGGGGACATGGGCGGAACCTGGACAGCGTCCCCCACGCTCACGTGTGCCTTTCCATCCACAGGAGAATGACTATCTTCAAGACTGCCTCGATGCCATCCAGCAAGACTTCGTGATTTTTAACAGAGAAAAGTGAGTGTGTTGGGGGTGGGTGGGCGTGGTGGCAGAGAGGAGGAAAATGGGGCTAAGGTTAAGGTTTTCTTGGCCACGTGAGCGGGCACCTGTGGGCCTGGGGTGCGTGGCCCTGCTCTCTTTGGGGACTCTGAGCAGCAGCTATGGAGGGGAGCGGCGGGAGGCCCCTGCCAGGCTCTGGCATGTTTGTGCTCCACGCGGGGCCCGTGGCTGGAATCTTCTGGGGAGAGACACATCATTTGCCCAGATGAGGGGTGGTGACTTCCTAGGAGGCCCCATCAGAGCCACGTCAACTCCCCCACCCAGGCACGCCCTCAGTCTCTCAGCAGACCTTTCCTGAATGTCAGGCCCCAGGGGACAGAAAGGGCACAGATGACTGGCAGCAGGCAAGGCAGGCCAGAAATAGCAGCAGCTGCCACGGTGGGGCCCAAGGGAGGATGGATGCTCCCTCTGCCCGCACGGGGCAAGGAGGGCCTCCTGGAGGAGGTGGGTCTGAGCTCTTATGGACAGGACGTGCAGGGCAGCACGTGCAGACGGCTGAGGGCACTGACTGGCACCCTGGGGATCAGATGACCGGGTGAAGAATGAGGCTTAGCCGAGCCTCATTCCCAAGTCACTGACCTATGGCACCTGCACAGTCAGGCCTTTCGGCTTCTGGCTGGAAACACGCCGAGCCTCGCCAGCATGCTCACGTGCCCCCACCCGTCCCCAGGCTCCCTGCCAGTGTATCGGGAGCATGGCCTCTCCAGCAGACACCGAGCCTGTGGCCCACGTTTGGGCATCCACGCCATGGCCTACCCCATGAGCCCGTGGGCAGGTCATGGGACCGTGAGGCCAGGGAGGTGGGGGCATAACGCCCTCCATGTGTTCCTGCCACCCCAGGCTGAAGAGGAGCCAGGACCTCCCGAGGGAGCCTCTCCCCGCCCCTGAGTCCAGGGATGCTGCGGAGCCTGTGGAGGACGAGGCGGAACGCTCCGCCCTGCCCATGTGCGGCCCCATTTGCCCCTCGGCCGGGAGCGGCTAGGCCGGGACGCCCGTGGTCCTCACCCCTTGAGCTGCTTTGGAGACTCGGCTGCCAGAGGGAGGGCCATGGGCCGAGGCCTGGCATTCACGTTCCCACCCAGCCTGGCTGGCGGTGCCCACAGTGCCCCGGACACATTTCACACCTCAGGCTCGTGGTGGTGCAGGGGACAAGAGGCTGTGGGTGCAGGGGACACCTGTGGAGGGCATTTCCCGTGGGCCCCCGAGACCCGCCTAGATGGAGGAAGCGCTGCTGGGCGCCCTCTTACCGCTCACGGGGAGCTGGGGCCATGGATGGGACAGGAGTCTTTGTCCCTGCTCAGCCCGGAGGCTGTGCACGGCCCTCGTCACAAGGTGACCCTTGCAGCACAGGCCGCGGGTGCCCCAGGCTCGGCTCAGGTCTTGGAGGTCAAGGGCATGGGTTGGGGTAGTGGGTGGGGAGGTGAATGTTTTCTAGAGATTCAAACTGCTCCAGCAATTTCTGTAGTTTTCACCTCTGAGAATTACAATGTGAGAACCGCTCGATGTTGCATGTTCTGCGTACGTCCTGTGTCTGCCTGGCCGTCAGGCCGGTGCCTGCCGTTTCTGGTTGGCCTGGACTTGGGGCAGCCAGTGGGGTGGGCAGCTCCTCAGGGCAGAGCTCCCGGACCATGGCTTTGGGGTGGGTGCCTGTCTCCGTGGCCCTGGAGCCGTAAGGCTGTGGAAGGCAGAGACGGTCCTGGAGGCAGAGGAGCCCAGGACAGCACCGTGCACCGTGGAGCCACCGCAGTGCCGGGCAGTGCTTGGCCCTCCATAAAGGGACGTATCCCTCTCACTGTGGCTGGGTGGTTCTGTGGTTGGAACTGTAACTAACTGGGTAAACGGCCTGTGTGCTTCTCTCTGGTCTCGCTGGAGGAGGACGGGCTCAGCCCATCAGCCCAGCGCTCCAGACAGGCCTGTGCTGGTTTCCTCTGAGGAAATGGGTGTGGCGGGTCTGTGCCCCTTCCCAGGACAGCGGCCATAGTGGACATGTGCCTAGACCTGTGTCCATGAGCCCCACTGCACCCCTGGCAAACAGGGCCCTCCCGTCCTTGGCTGGGCTGCGAGATGGAGATGACAACGGCCAAAGAACATTTGGGGAAGAACCGGCCATGCCACGAGCAGAGTCAGAAGTCCGAGGGGATAGAATGCAGCTTCCCGTCCCCCACCCACCCCTGTCCTCTGAATCATGGCAGAAACTAGCCTTCCAGCCCTCAGCAGCTCACATGGGGGACACGGCACCCAAATCACCACCAGGAAGGGTGGCCCGGTCTCTGCGAGGGCCCAGAGGCGCCGTGTACTCGGTGGAAGTCTGGCGATGTCAGAGACAGGCTCGGGGCAAGGACAGGTGTGGGGGTTTGAATAAGTGCATTTGGGGAACATGGCAGGGTGGTGCACCTTGTCCTCCTTCGAGACACTGGTGAGGTGTGGGTGCTGTCTGGTTCCCTTGATCGCCCCCCACACTGGGGCAGAGTGGGAGATGCTGGTGTGGGGGACATCAGCTCCCACATCTGGGCCAGAGGGAGCCCCGGGAAGGAAATGCTGAGGGCCCAGGGCCTTCGCCTGGGATCTGCACAGCTTTATAAGCAGCCCAGGGTGAGAGATGGGCCTGTCTGTGGTTCCCAGAGACCACGGCAGGAAATTCTCTGTCACCATCGGTGCATGGGCAGGGGCCAGAGAACCGGTGGCACAAGGTGTCCCTGGCTCTCTGCTCAACAAACAGCGAGTGCCCAGTGACTGCGACCAGGCCCCGCTCTTGGGATGAGGACAACCGTCTGGGAACGTCCACGCACCCTTTGAGACACAGCACGCGCCAGCACCGCAGTCACACACCGGGGGCTCGGGTCAGCCTCATAGCTGCCCGGCCTTGAGTGCTGGGCCTGCGTCTGTGAGCAGCGCCCACCTGGGTGGCGGTGGTGTGTGCTTCACTTCCACACACTCCCGTGCATGCTCCCCGGCCTTCTGGGGTGGCTCGGGCTGTCCGGTGAGAATGTAGGCGGGGGGGGGGGGGGGCCTCTGTCCCGCCCTGGATGTTGGCTGCCCTCTGCCCCGCCCTGGATGTTGGCTGCCCTGCCGGCCCTCTTCCCTGTGAGAGGGTGCGCTCCTCCCTGCCATTGAGGGGAGAAGAGCTGCGGCTGCAGGAGTCGTCGGACCAGCCCACAGCCAGCCAGGCCCCGCCTGTGCAGAGACGGCGTGGGGGAGAGGAGACGGGGCCTTCCTTCCATGCACAGGCGGCTTCAAACCCAGACGTCTTTAATGGGCCTGATTCACATCAGAGGCAGGATGACTGCCTGTCCAGGCGGTGGGTGGCATGCACAGGTTCCTGGCTACAGTGTCCTCAGTGTACAAAGCTGCTACTAAGAAGCCTACGGAAATACACAATCTGTAATAAGAGGACAGTGTCTTCCTAAAGGATCGCAAAACTTCCCTGGATGAGGGCTACATGGAAGCTTAGGTGTGGGCCTTGGGGTGCGTAAAAGGGACCCTCCACGGGCGGGGCTGTGCTGCACCAAGTTCTGATGGGTCCCTGAAGTCTCAGCAGCTGTGTGAGCAGGAGGGCTCTGCGCCCACTTTCCTCCCAGGCCTGCGATGGGCACAGGCCTCTGAGGAGCGGCTGCGGGAGTGTAGGGCTCTGCGAGGCAGTGACTGGTGGTGGGGAGGCGGCGGCAAATGCCCACCAGGCGGGACTCGGCCCCTCGCCGGTTCACCAAGAAGCCTGGTGTCCAGCTGCTCCCACACTGTGAGCCCGGCAGGTTCCCTGTCCCCAGGCTGGGCCCAGCGGGCACTGGGGTGCCTGGGCTCAGGCTGCCGGCATTGTCCCTGCCATGTGGCTCCACCTCACCCTGGCAGTGACATCTCCCCAGGTTCAGCCCTTCTCTTGAGGGGCTCTTGGCAGCAGGACCTGGGACCCCACAAGGAGAGCCTGTGGGGAGGGGGAAGGCAAGACCGCCAAGCACCTTCGAGAAACTTCTACAAAAGAAAATGCTAAGGAGGGGGGCGAGTGCCCTGGGGCCCCCGCGGCCTCGGGTGGGGCCAGCACGGCTCACAGGGCCGGTCCTGGGCGTCTAGGAGAGAGAGGTGATGTTGGAGCGGCCGCCAGGTGGTGCCATGATCTTCTGTGCTGTGCGTCGGGCGATGTGGTCATCAGCCTGAGACCCTGAAGAAAGGGCACAGATGGGCAGGGGAGAATGAGGCAGGGGCAGGGGCCCTTCTATTCAAGGCGTGAGGCAGAGTCAGTGGCTGCGTCAGTGGGGCCAGGACTGCAGAGCCCCCGCACACCTGCCACCACCAGAAGGCCAAGCAGACCAGGTGCCCGGCAGGACTCCCATCCCTGAGGCCCGGGGTGCAGGTGAGGCTGCCCAGGAGATCATGAAACCTGCGGGGACTGTGGGCTGCAGGAAGCCCTTCCTGTCCCGAGAGGAACCCGGGCCAGTCCTGCCTCGTCCCTGCTCTGGGTTCCGGGTGATGAAAGGCTGCCCCTGGCCTCCCAGACAGTGCCGGGTTCTCAGGGACCTGCCCCCAGGCCTGAGTCCCCAGGAGGTGAGCAGGGCTTTGCTATCACCTTCCTGGGTCCGGAGAATGCACCAGAAGCGACGCCAGAGGCCGGACCCTGGCAGCCTGAGCCCTCCCAGGCATTCTCGTGTATCCCTCCAGGCCCCGGGACACAGCTCAGACCCTCCCTTGTGCCTCACGCTTGGTTCTGGGGCCTGCTGGGTGGGGACCTGGATTCCACATGATCCTGAGATCCTCGTCAAGGCCTCCCACCTCCCCTGAGGCTGGATCCATGCTCACTCCTGGGTTCCATGTGACAGCCTCACCCCAGTGCCACTGTCTTGAAGGTGAGGGTTCATCACAGCTGCCCTGGGCAGACAGCGGGCAGGAGGGGCCTCCCTAACTGGGCTCAGCCCTTGGCCCCCACAACACCCCCAGCAGCATCTCCTGCCCCAGTCCCCAGCTGGGTGCCTTCCGTGTGCAGCCCCTCTGGGCACAGGCTGGGCCCTGGTACCTGAGGCCCTGGATGCTCCGGCAGAGCCCCTCACCCCCACTGGTGCCCCAGGCCCAACTCACCAGATAGGCTGAACCCCGACTGATGTAGGTTGCGCACAGGAGGGACGGAGATCTTGCCTGGGCAGGACGCGCGGGCCGGAGCGCCACTCCCTGGCTTGGCAGGCACCATCACCTCGTGGACGGGCCCGTCATACAGTCCACGGGGCACACCGTGGATCTCCGCCAGCTGCCGGGGGGGTGGGGGCAGAGACAGGGCATGAGGGGCTGAGCCTGGGCAGCTGTGGGGCCAGAGATGGGGCATGAGGGGCTGAGCATGGGCAGCTGGAGGGCTGGGCCTGCTCTGCGCCTCTCCAGTGCCAGCTTCAGGAATTTGGGGCTGCCCTGGGGGGGTGCTCAACCCAAGTTCACACACGCCTCCCTCCTTGCAGTCCTCCCCATACGTGTATAATGCCCGCCTGCGGTCCCATCTGCATGTGTGTGCAAACGTCCCTCCCCTCAGTCTTACCAACACAGGTGCACATGCTCAACCTCCCTCCGAGGCCCCACGTGCACTTGTGTGTGCACAGACGCCACTGCGAGTGCCCCTGTGCGTGTGTGAAGCACCTGGTGGTCTGGGGAGACCACACCTGCTGCACCGTCAGACACGGATGATGCCGGGCAAGCGTGGCGTCACCACAGTAAGAGACTGGAAGGCCATGGGGGGGGGGCTCCCGTGGCTGAGCTCCTGAGAGCCCATGTGGAGAGGAGCACACGCCCCAGTCCACAAATCAGCGTGCACGTCTGTCCATGGGGAATCCCAGAAGGACCCACACTGAGGTCCAACTGGGCAGCTCCCGTGGGGAGCTAGATTTCTGCTCACTTTATATCTGTATTTTCTCTAACAACCGTGGATGACTTGGGTGGGACCCAGCTGCCGTTCACAGGCACTTGCAGAGCTGATCCAGGGCCTGAAGGTCCCAGTGCCATGGGGGCCTCCCCTGCCATCTTCCGGGAGCAGGCTCTTCTCCACTTAGACCCACCAGGGCCCTGGGCAAGCAGCGGCCCCGCTCTGTCTTCCTGACCCCTCGGGAGGCCGGGCCAGGTTGACCAGGGGTGCGTTCTGGGCCTAGAACTCAGCGCCCACCTGCCTACCTGCACAACACCCTTGCGGGTGCCGCCCTACCCTGTTGCGAGCTTTGATCCTCTTGTAGACAAAGTCCGGGAATGTTTTCCGAGGGACGAAGCGGCCCGCCCCCGGGGTGACAAACATCTTCCCGTCCTCCAGCGCCACTCGGCCCTGACTTATGACCACGGCAGGCGCTCCCCGGCACTCCACTCCCTCGAAGATGTTGTACTCCACGTTCTGGGGAGAGAGGCCCGAGGGTCCAGTGCCTCCACGCTGGGGCCCAACAGTCCCATCCCCGTTGAGCCGCTGGAGCACTGTGGCCGCCCAGCGTGGAGCAGGCCCGGTGTGCCTACACTGAGCCCCTAGCAAGATGCTGGAACTGAGGGGTTGGAACTCGGGAGGAATGCCCCCCCTCGGCCTACGGACCTCGTTTCTGAGTCCCGTTTCTCTCGAGGACAAAGGGGACAGGCGTGGGCAGGCAGGGAGGGTCACTTCTCCCTTGGCTAGGCAGGTGCACACGGCACCGCTCTGCCCCAGCCTCCTCCATGGCACAAGGGGACCACAGATGCAGCGGCCACGCAGCGAGGTGACGTGGACAGGGCCCATTTCAGTGTCTGGCCTGGGACAGGCTGTGTGGACGGCCCTGGGATGGCTGAGGCCACTGCTGCTGCCACGTGGGCCTCTGTCCTGCGCCTCTCCTGGGAAGGCTGCCCTGGGGTCCCGGCCCCACAAAGGCCAACCCTGACTTACAGCCGCCTTCTCTTACCAGATTGTGGGTCTTGGCAGAGATGATCTTGGTGGCCTTGGGGTTCCATATGACCAGGTCAGCGTCAGAGCCCACAGCCACTCGCCCCTTCCTTGGGTAAAAATTGAAGATTTTGGCAGCATTTGTACTGGTCACCGCGACGAACTCATTCTCGTCCATCTTCCCAGAGGCCTGGGGAACAAGAAGGCTGAGCTGAGGGCGACGGGTGGGGTTGGGGTGAGGCTTGCGCGAGGACAGACACTGGGCCACCAGGACCCCACAAGGATGGATGCCAGGTCACCAGGCCCCCGTGAGGACAGACGCTGGACCACCAGGCCCCCCACAAGGTTGGACGGCAGGACACGGGGCCCCTGCCAGGTCAGATGCTGGACCGCTGGGACCCCACAAAGACGGATACCAGGCCCCCGTGAAGACGGGCACTAGAGTGCCACCCAGGCAGCCAAGATCAGGACAGGGCTCCAGCCACGGCCCTCGCCATGGCAACACTCAGGGTAAGAACGCCTGAGTAACCCCTGGGGTAAGAACGCTGCACTGGTGAGTCAGGGAGCCCATCTCAGTGATGCCTGCTGGTCTGCCCCTTCCTGGGCGAAGCCTTTCTGCATTCACTTTGTGGGTAAAGCTTCCACGAAGGTTCAGCGAGAGTGGAGCTTCAGTGGCAACACCTGTGTCCCCTGAAGGACGTGACAGTCTCCTTGGGGAGCCCTGGAGGCTGGGAAGGCAGGAGCAGCTGAGGGGAAGAGCTCAGTTGCCCGGGGAGGTGGGGCTGAGGATGCGGGAGGGCGCAGGACAGGGCGGTGTGCGACGGGTCGTGAGGGCATCGCGGGGGAGCACTAACATCACAGCGTGGAGACCCCATGCTGACCCCTGGGCAAACACAGTGTCCGGGCAACACTAGAGTCTGCTGAGGGGTGGGGGGCTACCAGCTGCCCCTGTTGCTGTTGGAGTCTCATCTGGAGGGGCCAGAACCACGTGTCTGAGGCGCCCTGGGTGGGGAATCCGCCACCCCGGAGCCCGTGTGCTCTGATCTGTTTCACGAGTGTGCACTGGTTAGATGGGCTCCCTTCTGACCAGCCATCACAATCCCGCCCACAGCCGCTCCCCAGACGGCGTGCCCCGGCCAGGCCTGTGCTCACCACACATTTCTCCCAGACCATCGACATGCGCTCCTCAATGCCGTTGGTGCCCTCGGGGATCAGCGCGAAGTTGTCCTTGCCCACAGCCTTCTGGGCAGTGGTGAAGGTGCAGTGGGCGCTGCCTGTCACCTGGAGGTCCCCGCTGGAAACAAGCCAGGGTCAGAGGGTCCTGGCCTTCCTGAGCCGGCAGAGGCCAGGTCAGCTCCAGCCCCCTTGGCCAGCACAGCCGCAGGGGCTAGAGGTCATCTGAGTGGCTCTCGCTGGGCAGAGCTGGTGCCTCTGTGCAGGGGAGCGGGGACTGGTTCCTGCCAGGGGAGCCCCCGCTGGGACCAAAGGGCTCAGACTTCCCCACCCGCCACTGTCCGGGCTGCCCTATGGGAGCCGTGGGAGAGGCCTGGGGTGTCGGGGCCACAGCCTTGGCAGGGTGTGCAGCGGGCGGCCAACCTGGGGCCACCTGGAGAGGCTGCTTACCTGGACAGCAAGCAGGTGAGGTGGTCCGCCGTGGTGGGGTCTGGGTTGACAGGGGGTGATGTGACGAAGGCTGCGGCCTTGGCCCAGTTCTTGCTCCAGTAGTGTGAACCGTCGGTGCCCAGGCTGGCGGTGATGGGCTCCCCAAACACGACCACCCCTGCAGCACGAGGCCCATGAGAGGTGCCCCACCGACCACCTGCACCCCCTGGGGCCCCGAGAACTGCTGCTGCTGACACCCACGACTGCCCCTCACTTTCCTTGCCTGGGACAGCTTGTGCCCAGTCTAGAGTCCCTGGCCCTGGGCAGGAAGTGGGGCAGAGGCCTGGGTCGCGGGCAGACGTGGTTGGCCCTGGGGGTCCTTCTGGGAAAGGGAGTCTGGCCTGCGGACGCCAAGTCCTCTCTCTGCCCACACCCCACCCCAGGACCCCGGGCACTCCAGCGGGGCCAGGGCGTGCCTGTGGGCTGCGAGGCACAGTGAACTGCATGGCGGCTGACTGGCCGGGGGTGCCCTGGCCATGGCCTCACCAGGGTTCCAGCTCACAGCTGAGGCAGCTCCCACCAGTGGGTGGGGGAGAAATGCTCCCAGGTGGGGTGGGGCACCCCCCGAGAAGAGCCTGGCGGGTGGGGTACCCCTGAGAAGGGCCTGGCCTGCTGCCCCGAGGCTGCTTGGTGTCCTGAGTGAGGCCCGGGCCTCACCCCTGCAGACCCCCATTCACCTGCACGCCTCAGAGTCCTTTTCCCAGTTAACTGAGTGGGTTTCAGTTTCAACCCTCGATGCAGGAAACACATAGAAGGGCACCACCCACCACCACCACCACCCCGCCCCCCACCCTGCCCAGGGACCTGCACAGCCCCAGGCAGGCCCAGAAAACGAGGTCTCTCAGGACTCAGTGCGGACAGCAGGAGGAGGGGAAACCAGACCAGATCCAGAGGCCGCCTAGGGGATGCCCCCTCATTTACCCGTCACCTGGGTTCTGTGCCTGGATCCTTGGCCCTCTCCAGCCCCAGTGATTGCTGGGGCTCCATGGACCCTCTGAGCCCAGTAGCCTCTGGGGGACACCACAGTCAAGCCGCTGCCAATCACAGCTCTGGGTGGCACCCCCCCGCCCAGGCCTGAGGCTCTCTGCAGTGCCAGGCTCCAGCTGGCTGGCATTCTGTGGGCAGGTAGCACCCCGGCTCTGGACACAGCAAATAGCAATGTAGGGAGGGCCTCCTTGTTGGAACTGGAATTCTCTCTTGGAGACCCTCCTCATCATTCCATTCTCCCCACACCCACCCCCACTGGAAATGGGATGAGCGTCCCCATGTTTTGCCTCAGGGCCCCTGGTGAGCAGCTGCTGCTCCAGCAAGGCTGGAAACTCAGGTCCAGCCCCTGCCCCGATGCAGGGACTCAGGGTCCAGTGCCCCACCCCGATGCAGGGACTCAGGGTCCAGTGCCCCGCCCCGATGCAGGGACTCAGGGAACCTGCATCTCCCCAGGGCTGCACCCAGGAGGCCGAGACCATGGCCCCTCGGCATCAGAGGCGGGGCTGGGTGCTCACCTCTGCGCTTGGCCTGAGCGATGGCGTCGGCCGCCCCCTTGCTCATCACCTTGGTGACGTACAGCGGGCAGTTTGCCTGCTTGGCGATGGTGACAGCTCGGTACACCGCCTCAGCCTCCACCTGGGGACGAGATGAGAGGGATGAGGCCACACGAGGGCCCTGGGGCTCCAGACCAGTGTGGGCAATGGGGATGCCCAGGTGTCACCCATGGGATCCCAGGCTCAGGGCAGCCTAGTAGGAGCGGCCCAGCCTCGGGCTCAGTGCCTGGGCCTGCCCACGCCACCTTCTGGGCCTCGGGTACAGGCTGTAGGGTTGTGGGGGGATGGAGGACAAGTGCCTGGCACGGGGAGGATTCACGCCTCCCAGATGAGGTCGGGGCGAGCACAGTGGCAGGGCCAGGAGCCCAGGGCCAGGGTCAGCACAGCCCCAGGCAGCAGTGGTCTGGGCGGAGTTGGCTCGGGTGTGCTGTGGTGCCCTGGGATCTTACCTCCTCGGGGTGGCTGAGCACGTGGCCCTCGGGGCCAGTGATGCCGAGCTCCAGCAACCGCTTCTGCTCCTAAAGAAACCAACAGGATGCCTCGCTCCAAGCCCTGAAGGGAGCCTGGGCCTTGGATGCTAAGCCCAAGGCTGGGAGGCCCCATTCCCCAAGTGGTCCTGGACCCCCAGGCCTCCCAGAATTTCCCAGCCACAGAACACTCAGAATAGAGGGCAGAGGGGCTTGGAGAGGTGTGATTCCTGCTCCCTGAGTTACCAAGGAGGGGACAGCTCGGATAGGGGAAAGTGGCTCCCCCAAGGCTGCAGGGCTCCTGACTGATGGCACCAAGACCCCACCCTCCCACCACTATGCCCATCACGCTGCCTCCCCCAGCGGGGGCATGTGTGGGGGTGTGCACAGGCAGGGAGGGCTCTGCAGGTCAGGAATGGACGACCACTCCTTCCTCCAGCACTGCCTTTCCGTGCAGATTTGCACTACGGCATCCGCTCGTGTCAGGGAAGACATGGTACCGGCCAGAAGCAGCAGCCCCAATACTGAGGCTCCCTCCCGCTGTATGTGGAGCATCCCTAGACCCAGGACAACCTCCTGACGGTGCAGCCGGGGCCTGGCCTTGGGCCACAGAAGTGTTTGTGATGCCCCGATGCCCTCACAGCTGGACGGGTGGACGAGGACACTGGGGACCCCCCACATGCCCCTGCCCGAGTGCCACCACCTTCCTGTAGAGCTCAGGAGGTGGGCAGAGCCCGTCCCGTCCCACGAAGTCTCACTGTGGGTTTGCAGTGTCAGGGAGGTGTGTCCTGTGTGGTGACCCCCACTGAGGTCCCACGGGTATGGGGTGGCCCACTCTCTGAACTCCATCTGTACCTGTGGGTGCCTCTGCTAGAGGGGAAAACAAGGTGCAGGGCCAAGGTTGCCTCAGCCCCAAGGGCCTGGGGGGTCGGCGCCACTGCACGCGGGCTCAGGCCCTCCCCAGCCCGGTGGGATGTGTCTGAAGGATGTGGCCCTGTCAACATGGGTGCCCTTGGCTGGAAGGAAGGTGGTAACCCAACCCCCAGCGGGTACCCCGCTCCACAGGAGGGGCCTCGATCCCTGGGGCTGACACTTTGCTTTTGAGGTATTTTGGATAAGAAGTGTTGATCAAGGAGAAGCTGTTTTATGGCCTCAAAGCTCCCCATCACCCCCCAGTCTCTCTAACTCACTGGTTGACCTTTGACTCGGGGTAAGCTATGACCCTCCCTCAAGGTTTTGTGGGATTCTGTGCTGATGTCTGCGTATCATGAAAGTCACCCTCAGACCCCTGCCCCACCCCACAGGCAGCCCCTGCCCCACGGCAGCCCCTGTGCCTGCCCCACGGCAGCCCTGCCCCACGGCACCTCCTCCACGATGTCCCCGTTCTCAGCGTGCACCTGGGCCAAGGCCCCCAGGTCCCGGATGATGCTGAAGATCTCGTACATCTGGGAAGAGAAGTGGTGGCGTCCTGGGTGGGGCTGCGCCTGCACCAGCAGCGGCCTGGGATATACCTGCCCACTCCGTTCCCCACGCCTGCCCTTACCTGGCTGTCGCTGCACTGGCACCGGTCCTTGTATGCCATGAAGACCAGGAAGGAGTTCACACCTGGAGAAGAGGCAGGGGTCAGAGGCTCAGCCATCACCAGTCAGACAACCTACGGAGCCTCTGCTGCTCCTGCCCACTGGAGGGTTGGGGGTCTTGGGCCCCTCCCCCGCAGTGCTTCCCTCACTGGCTTGCCAGCCCTGGGAGCAGTCCCCCGCTTCCATGCACACACCAGCAAGCTGGGAAGTGAGGCGGAGGCAGCTACATCCAGGCCCTCCTTGCCTGCTCCTGTGCTCCGGGTTAGGAACTGATTGTCCACCCAGCGGCAAATGCAGGTGAGAACCCCTCACACCCATCCAGCAGACCCCCCGTTACTGGAAGAGCCGCTGTGCCTGGGCTCTCGGCCTGGGTTCCACTGGCTCCCTCCTGGAAGTGCGGCCAGGGCCGCGCTGTGCTGGGGACCTGCATTCTGGCCGTCCAGCACATCCAGCACCTGCCTGCAGGGCCTTGGAGCCCCACTTGCCATGCCTGGCTCACAGTGCAGGCTTGTGGGACCACCCAGATCTCAGGGCTGGGCCCTTAGGACGAGCAGAAGGATGAGGGGCTGCCTCTGACGTTGGGGCCCAAACAGGAAGAGGGCTGAGCTCTCCTGTTTCCTGGGCAGCCACAGCCCATCCACCTCCCCCAGGACTCGGAACTTGTGTGGGGACCGGCCTGGGCCTGGAGGCAGGATCCCAACCTCCCATCACTCAAGCCCACCCAACCCATGGCATCTCCTCCTCGCTGGGTGGAAAGTGCTAGTGTGACAAGCTAAGGCACACTGGGGAAACTGAGTCACACTGTGCCCCACAAGCCATCCCTCCAGGTAGCAACCTGTATGTGACCTGGAGTTTGAGGCCTGCCCCCGAGTGTCTGAGGAAGGTCATGTTTGGGTTGCGCAGTGCTGTCCCTGCAACACTACCCCGTGGGCACAGGACTGAGGACTCCTGCATGGCTCTTGGGGAGCAGAGGCCCCAGCACTGCCAACACAGGGTGAGGGGAGGTGCAGGCCCTGCTTCCACCTCCGCTCTGAGACACGAGGCCACAGGCCTCCCGAGTCCACTCACAGAACAGCATGGGTGGCAGAGCAGCTGCCTGGAGTGAGGCCCAGGGACTGAGGATTGACGGGCTCCACCAGCCCCCGGGCAGGGAGGTGAGGGGTCCTGACATCAAGGGGCACCTATGTGATGACCGTCACCCTCTGAGGAATGGGAACCCAGAGGAATGGCCTTGAAGAAATGCCCCTGCCTCCTTCAGGTCTGTAGGGGACGGGTAGCAGGCATCCCTGGGAGTGCCAGGGCCTTGACAGGCTCCTGGGCTTGCTTGGACCCCATCCCGCCCCCACCTCCAGGCTGGAAGCTGTGGGCCGGACTCAGATTAGGAGAGATCGGCTATAATCAGATATGCCACTTGTCAAACCCACTATGAAACTCTGATGTAGTTTTAGCTTCAGGGTTTTTTGTGGGGAAAAATGTTAACTTGTTTATAGACTGATCTGTTTTAGCATTGGTGACAACAAAGAGATATGGATTTAAAAGGGTCTCCCTCTGAAAGGATCCCCAGATGCTAGGAGACTGGGGAACTGCTGCTCTTCCACCCTGGGCAGCCTCTCTTCTAAGAAACGACGGATCTGCTGCATCTTTTCATCAGGAGGACAATTCCAGGATGGGTCCCTCGGATTGGGAAAGAGAAGGCCTCTTGGTCTAGAGCCTTTGAAGGTGGGATGGGCCTTCAAATGACTTTTCTCCAACTTCCACTCAAACCTGGACACCAGCCCCCAGGGCAGAGCAGCACCATCGGCAGAACACAGGGTCAGGGCAGAGGCTCCTCCACCAGGCTCCATGCCCGCCCTCCAGCCCCTCCAGCCACCCTCACCCTTCTCCTTGACCAGGGCCTCCAGCTCCTCCTTGATGCTCTCATGCCATCGGGTGATGTCCACGTGCAGGGAGTAGTCGCAGCAGGCCGCGCTGTCCGCCCGCTCCCGCCACTGCTCGTAGGCCGCCAGCAGGCTCACACCCGTGTCGGGGAAGACGTGGTCCACTGTGAAGGCAGCATGGTCAGCAGCTTCCCCCACTGGTCCCTGGTTCCCACCTCTGCCTCCTCCATGGGAGATTCTGTTTCATGTTCCCAAGAGACCAGAGGACCATTTGAGGGAGACACAGCAGAGGCCACCGGCCCCTGAGAGAGGATGACGCTGCCACGAACCCGTTCTATTGCTTTGTTCAAAGAGGAACCTTCTGTCCCAAGTGCCCCAGCCACCCTCTGAGCACAGAAGGGAGAGGGGAGAAAGGAAAAGCCCCACCCCAAACCATCCCTACTCCCACATCGCACTTGGAGGAGCACAGGAGGTCGGGGCTTTGCCCTGCCTCCAGCTCCTGTCAGGCTGGGTGAGGCACCCCGAGGGCCAGGCTGGGCCAGTGCGCTGTCCAAGGTGCTGGGCCCCACCTCTGGGTGCCTTCCTAGAACAGTGGGAGCTGGGCTGGTTTCCCGAGTGCCCCACAAGACTTGAAAGGGGCCATCCTGCCCCCTGCACACAGCCATCATGCTGCTGCCCCACCAACCACACACCCAAGGCCCGAACACTGCTCACTGGCCTCTCCTGGTGCAGCCAGACACAGCTCCAAGCCAGGTGGTCGGACAGGAGGGCGCACCCGCCAGGGATGCCTTCCTCCAGCACAGCCCTCCCTCGGGCCCCTACTCATCCCAACAAGATGAAGTGGGCACCCAGCCTCCCTGCAGCCACCCACAGTGCCAGCCTGGGCCTGCAGGCCGAGGAAGACAGAGGCAGGATAGAGGCCAGCCTCGTGTCTGTGGTGTTTCTCTGTCTTCGCGGGGACCCACAGCTGGCCGGGTGCCTTGGCACTGGCACGAGGCAGGTGGTCTCGACTGTGCAGACGTCCTGACCGGCTTGGGCCGCCCCCTGAAGGGCGCGAGCAGTGGCCAGTCTCCTCAGACTGCAAGATGGGCTGCTGCTGGTGTTTTCTCCCTTTGTGGCTGAGTAAACCAAACCAAGCTGTGATTTGGTAATGGCTAAATGTCCCGCGAGGTGTTTCAGGGTCCTCAGAGCTGCCCTCCCCGGTGTGCCAGGGACACAAAGCAACTGACGTGCATTAACTCACACATGCCTCAGAAGCTCATGAGGCCAGTGTTCTGTTTTACAGATCAACAAAGTGTGACTTATAAAAGCCAGCTGAGTTTATCTGGAGTCACACAGCTAGAAAACCATACAACCAGGTTCAGCTAGGCTCCTCAGACCCGTTCTCAACCACAGCAGCGATGTCTGTGCCAGACGGACGCCGCAGAGTGAATGGCACCCAAGGCCACACAGTGCAGTCAAGGTCTAGGCTCTGAGGCCTCGTCCTGCCTCCTGAGCTCACCACGTGCTCGTGGTGGGCAGGCGGACTCCACTCACCCACCTGTTAAACTAGGCTTAGCTGAGCCCAGCTGGGCTGAGCTCAGAGGGTTTTAGGAGGAGAGCATGTGAGCCGATGGGTGTCAGGATAGAGCCCGTGCCGGGCACGCAGCCAGCACTACAGAAATAGCAACTCGGGTTATTTTTTGATGGGATAATAATGAGCATTGCTTTTATCTTTTTCTAAAAATACAGTCTCCATCCTTAACTCTTCTTGACATGAGCAAGAACCTTCCAGATATGAAGCTTCCGAGGCATGTGGCTCAAGGTCAAACATGTATCTGGCATTTCAGACAGCATGACCCCTCCCCTCGCCCAAGGCATTTGAGTTTTCCAACCCCCAACTCCGAGCTGGCTACTAGTGCCCAGGGAAGAACAAGTGGACACACGTCAGTCACTGATTTCCAGTCCTGGAAATCCCAGGAGCATTCCAGCACTGGCCACACAGAAACACCCAGAGTGAGACACAGGGATTAGAAAAGCACTCCAGGTTCTCAGACAGATGCAATAAAGGCAGACAGCTGAGAAAGGCACCTTTAGGCGACACTCCTCCTCCCACACACACCTGGCCAGAGAGAGGGGCAGCAGACGCTGGCTGCCCCCTGTAGAGGAGGAGACCCAGACACTCACAGATCATGGTGGTTCCTCCTGCTAGCGCTGCCTTGGTGCCCTGACAGAAGTCGTCAGCCGGTGTCATGCCCAGGACAGGCATCTGCAGCCTTGTGTGGACGTCAACGCCACCAGGAAGGACCATCAGGCCGTGGGCGTCAATGGTCTTGATGCCCCCAGGGACGATGAGGTTTTCTCCGATTTGTCTGAAAGCAGCAGAGATTTCACTGGTTACAGGGAGCCCAGGTCAGAGCCCAGATGGGCTCCCAGCAATGCAGCAGAGCTAAAGGGTTTGCATGAGCTCCAGACCCCGAGGAAAAGGCCAGCACGGCCGGCCACTCACTGGACTAGCTCCTCGGGAGTGCCAGGGAGCAAAGCATCACTCAGCGCAGCTCAGGACGGTCACTGCAGGGTCCAGCCTCACGCAGACGCCACGCCCTGTGGTTTTCCACTCAGGTCCCTGGTTGGTACTTTTTTGACTAGAGGACGGAGCAGCTTGACAAACGGAAGCAGGTGCGCTAATAGATGTGGGCACCAGTATTTAGGAAGCACCTGCTATGAGCCAGGCACCATACTAAGTGCTGCGATGAACAAAGAAACGTGGAAGCTGGTGTCCTGCTTTCGCCCACAGCCACCCAACATACCTCTGCCCTCACCAAAGGCCGGGGCTCTGACAGTGGCCACCAGCTTACTGCTGCCAAGGATGGGTTTAGAAAAGAAGAAACCTCTCCCATGGATTTCACCCAAAAGTCAATGCCTGGATACCACGTGACCAGTGTGTACACAAGAGCTGGGAACTATTTTCACCTGCCTGGATACCACGTGACCAGCGTGTACACACGAGCTGGGAACATACTTTCACCTGCCTGGATACCACGTGACCAGCGTGTACACACGAGCTGGGAACATACTTTCACCTGCCTGGATACCATGTGACCAGCGTGTACACACGAGCTGGGAACTATGTTCATCTGCCTGGATACCACATGACCAGCGTGTACACACGAGCTGGGAACATACTTTCAACTGCCTGGATACCACGTGACCAGTGTGTACACACGAGCTGGGAACTATTTGCACCTGCCTGGATACCACGTGACCAGTGTGTACACAAGAGGTGGGAACATACTTTCACCTGCCTGGATACCACGTGACCAGCGTGTACACACGAGCTGGGAACATACTTTCACCTGCCTGGATACCACGTGACCAGCGTGTACACACGAGCTGGGAACATACTTTCACCTGCCTGGATACCACGTGACCAGCGTGTACACACGAGCTGGGAACATACTTTAACCTGCCTGGATACCATGTGACCAGCGTGTACACACGAGCTGGGAACTATGTTCATCTGCCTGGATACCACATGACCAGCGTGTACACACGAGCTGGGAACATACTTTCATCTGCCTGGATACCACATGACCAGCGTGTACACACGAGCTGGGAACTATTTGCACCTGCCTGGATACCACGTGACCAGTGTGTACACAAGAGGTGGGAACATACTTTCAACTGCCTGGATACCACGTGGCCAGTGTGTACACAAGAGGTGGGAACATACTTTCAACTGCCTGGATACCACGTGGCCAGCGTGTACACACGAGCTGGGAACTATTTGCACCTGCCTGGATACCACGTGACCAGTGTGTACACAAGAGCTGGGAACATACTTTCAACTGCCTGGATACCACGTGACCAGTGTGTACACAAGAGGTGGGAACATACTTTCAACTGCCTGGATACCACGTGGCCAGCGTGTACACACGAGCTGGGAACTATTTGCACCTGCCTGGATACCATGTGACCAGCGTGTACACACGAGCTGGGAACATACTTTCAACTGCCTGGATACCACGTGGCCAGCGTGTACACACGAGCTGGGAACATACTTTCACCTGCCTGGATACCACGTGACCAGCGTGTACACACGAGCTGGGAACATACTTTCAACTGCCTGGATACCACGTGACCAGCGTGTACACACGAGCTGGGAACGTATTTTCATTTTCGGCGGAAACTTACTTTATCAAGCCATCTTCCACGTGCACATCAGCGTAAAAGGACTGGTCGTCATTCACGATCCTCCCACCTCTGATCAGAAGGCGGTCACTCTATCGGGAACAACAAAGGGTAATTTTTCTCCAAACTGAGTTACTCAGTAACACTCTTGGTGCAACTCCTTCCTCTGAAATTATGACTGAAACATTCAGGCAAAATTTCTAGACGTAAAAACGAGCACAAAAGCCTGCAGCGGCTTACTATTCCCCAAGAAGTGGCACCAGGCGCTCAAAAACAGTTGCCCCTGGAAGTGCCACGCACGCCCCACAGCTGCTGCTCAGACCTCGCTGAGGGCAAAGCCCGTGTTGGTGAAAGTGTGGTAGTGCCACAGGTCATATTTATATCTTCTGATTTACCACTGGATTGAGGAGCCCCAGCCTGAGGTGGGAGGCGAACGCTGCCTCATGGCCTCCTGTGCAGCCTCAGAGATCCTGCTCTCCTCCACCCTGTCTTCCACCCACGCAGAGGAGGCTGGGAGCGGACGGAGCTGGACTTTGGTTCCACCCAAACACTACAGACCAGTGATGGTGCCAGGAGGCGGAGGCAGACAGCGCCCCCACAGGCATGGTCCCCACCCCAGGAGGCTGCCTCCCACTGAGGGGAGACCAACGGCAGCAAAAACACACGTGCACAGATCATCACAGTCGGTGACGAATGCGCAGAGCACAGTGAGGGCGCCATGGCAGGGCCATGAGAGAGGGGCTGGGAGAAGGACCTCTGGGGCCAGGGTGGCTGATACAGGGGCAAGGCAGACATGGCGAGCGTTCCAGCCAGGAAGCAGCCTGGCCTTGGGGCAGGAAAGGGCTTGAGCTGCCATCAGCAGACCTGGGAGGAGGCCGAGGGATGGAACCTTCTGGTGGGGTGGTGGTGCCAGAGGCAAGTCGGTGCCCAGAGCTTGGCAGGGGCAGGATATGTAGGCCTGGGGACTCCATGGCTGCCCCCTGACTGGGGGCCTTAAGCAGGTTTCAATCCTGGTTTGATGTTTTAAAGAGATCACCTTTGGCTGCTGTGTTAGAAAGTAGCTTGTGACAGGTAACAGTGGGAGCCGGATCATTGCTGGGGTGATTTCTGAGTGAGATGAGGGGCTCTGGGACAGGACTATGGGAAGGGACGGGAGGAGAGTGGATTCCAGAGAGGCTGGGAGTCAGGAGGGCAGGACTTGCTGACCAAGAGGCCATGGGGGTGATGGGGAAGAGATGGGGTGACCTCGGTTCCAGTGCAGCTCGGACGCACTCCCAGTGGGACACAGAGCGTCAGGCTGGTGAGGCCCGCTCTTTGTAGGTCAGCCCTGGCAGCACAGAGCTGTGGCGTTAGACAGGGATTGACTCCAGTGCTTGGCAGTCATAAATCCACTTCTAAGAATCCTACCAGATGGCCGGGAAGCAGAAGATTAGGCAGAAAGTAGGGTGTCACTGATGGGACTCTGCATGACCGTCAGAGGTGAAGATCTGACCTCATTGGAGAATGGGGGAGAGAAACACAAAAAAGGAGTGAAAGGAGGTGGAGAAGGACGCGCCCACGGGCTGGACTCGGCAACGCTTTTCCCTCCACCGTCTGGCGTGCGCCTCAGCACGCCCTGCAACTGACCCGGCAGGACTGACCGTCTGCATTTAACAGGGAGGTCCGGCCGCCTGCTCTGGGTTTCCAGGGCCCACCCATAGGTGGCCAGGGCCCTAGCCTGGGGCTAGAGCCTTCACGCACCGTCAGTCTGAAGCCAAGAGCATTAAACTGAAGTGCACAATTGGTAAAACTCTCAGAATGAGAAGGAGTTCATTATCTAGGAACTCCATTACAGGATTCACTGCTGACATCTAACTGTGGGGCTGTATTTTCAGGATCCCAGTGACTTGTCAACCTCTACCCCATAGTCTACAAACGGTTGGCAGACTATGCCACAGGCCAGACCCAACCCTCTACCTCTCTTCATACAGCCCTAGGCTAAGAATCGTTCTTGTATATTCACTGAAAACAATAACAAGAGTATGTCATGACTCAAAAATTCTATGAAGTTCACACTGCAGCATCCACAGATGAAGTTTTGTTGGAACACAGTGGTGCCCATCGACTTCCTAAATGTCCAGGACTGCTTTCCTGGCAGGGCCAAGCAGCTGAGACAGGAACAGCGTGGTCCGCAAAGCTGACAACATTTACTCTCGGGCTGGTTGTGGAAGAAGTTTTAGACCCTTGGTCTACAGAGCTGTCTGTTCCCAGCCGCTGCACCTCTCCTCCTCCTGCCCAGTCCCAGCTGAGCGCCAGGCTCAGCCCTGACCCGGCACCACCATGCATTTGCAGAGCCTCTGTGGCCGCATCAGGCCCTGGCTGCCTTCCCGGTGCTGTCCCTCTTCTTCACTTTCCACCCCTCCCAGGGGACCCACGCATTTTCAAGGAAGCCCTAGAAAACGCAACCGGGCAGAAGGAGGCTTGAGGAGACGTGTGGTCTGGGCTCTCTGCTCATAGGCGCCCAAGTGTTCAGGCACCCGCACTGAGACTGGGTTTGGAACCCAGAGGAGACGCAGCTGGGGTGTGGGGCTGTGCTCTTCTTACTGCACTCATCCGGATGGAGGTGAAAGTTCCCGGGAAGCAGCTGCCCCTCCGCACTGACATGGTTGCCTGACCTCCCCTGGGAAGGGGTCCTCCTGCCACCCCCAAACTCGACCCCCACATGCCAGCTGACTGGCAAGACCTCCTGCATCAAGACCAGACCCAGCCGGGCAGAACCCTCTGGAGGCAGCAGCCCCTCCCATCTGGAGAGGGGAGGGCTCCTTCCTCGCTCAGAGTCTGGGGGAGTGGAGCCCACAGCCCACGGCTCGAGCTAATGCCAGAGGTCAGACCCCACGGCCCTCCCGCCGAGGCCAAGTCCAGAGTCGGGTCTGGGACCCCATGGACTCCCCCGCCCAGGTCCTGCCGGGTCCCGAAGCCTCCTTCCTCCCACCCCCATCTCCCCCCGCCCGAGCGGGGAGGCTTTGTTTCTGGCAGAGCGGGACCTCCCGCGCCGGTGCGTGTGGGTGTTGGGGAGGGGTCTCTGCTCTCGAAGGTTCAGGGGCTGCCAGGGTTCCCGGCCAGTGGCCCTTGACCGCTCGCTTTCCTTGGAGTCGCTGAACCCAGGTTACTGGAAGGGTTCGGGGCCACCAGGGACTCCGGCCAGAGCGGCCGGGGCTAAATCGCTTTGTCTCGGACAAAGAGCTCCCGACGCAGCGCCAGTGCGTCCAAGGGGCGGGCGACCCACGGGCTGCGCCGGGAACGGCATCTCCCCGCGCCCCGGACCAGCCCGGGCCAACAAAGGGCCGCGTCCGCCCGCCTCGCCACCCGACCGCCGTGGGAGAAAGGAGCCGCTAGCGCTCCGAGGGACAGGCCGCCCGGCCCCGGGTTCTCCCCGGGCGCAGCCGAGGCTCCCGGAAGCCGGCAAGGCCGGGCAAGGCCGGGCAGGGCCCGGCAGGGCCCGGCAGGGCCGGGCAGGGCCGGGCCGGGCCGGGCCTGGGCGCCCCGCTCCTTAAGGGGGTCTGCGCGGCGCTAGCGGGGACTCTCGGACCCTGGGGCGCGAAGGAGCCGAGCAGGGAAGGGCGGGCGCCAGGACAGGGACCAGACGCAAAGGCAGGGACCCCCCACCCACGCACAAGACCAGGAGGGTCCGCCCGGCGTCCAGGCCCCACTCCGGGCGGCGGGCAGGGGGCGCCGGGCGAAGCGGGACCGGGCTCACCGTGATCCGGGGGATGCTTTTCTTGCCCTGGAAGGACATCCTGCTCCTGGGGGTCTCTGGTAGGGGCGGCACAAGCGGGGGCGGGCGGGCGGGCGGGCGGGCGGGGGGACGCGTGAGCCGGGACGCGTGCGTGGGGACGGCGGGAGACAGACTGCGAGCGCGCGGGGCCGCACGGCTCCGTTCCGGTCCCGCCCCCGCTGGGCCCCGCCCCCACCCCGGCTCCGCCCCCGGCAGGCCCCGCCCCCGATAGGGCCCGCCCCAGCCCGAGCCCCGCCTCACCCCGCCCATCAGCCCCGCCCCCGCCCTCAGCCACTCCTTCGCTTTAAAGCCCCCCCAGCGCTGGAACCGCTGCAGGGTCTGATCTCTGCACCCCGGGCCCCCGCGCAGACCCGCGGACGAGCGCTGGGTGGGGATTTCAACCTGCTCCAGCTGATGTGCGCGGGGTTTGCACCCCGGGGAGGCGAGGGAGAGAGTCCGGCCACGTCCTGCCAGGCCCCGCCCGCGCCCCCGCTGCCCTCCAGCGCGGAACCCAGGTCCCAGGAGACGCGAGGCGCCCAAGGCCCCGGGATTCCGAGCCAGTCAACCCCGGGCCGCGACGCTCTGGGAACCACACCCGTCCAGGAAGGCACCTTGGCCAAAGCCGGCTCCTTCGCAGATGACCCGGGCCAGGGTCCGAGCGCCAGGCTGTGACCCCGCGAGGCTGTTCCACGCTGGCCGCGAGAGACGGAGGGCAGGAGGGGCCCGAATAGGACAGAGAGAGAGAGAGAGAGAGACAGAAGGAGGCGCACGCGCTCCCCAGGGACCGGGACGCGGTGGTGGGCGGGACCTCGCGGGGGTGGGGGGTGGTCGCAGGACCCAGAAGGCTCAGGACCTTTACGGATAGGGAGGACCCCGCAGGGGGGAGCGGGGGAGCCCCACGCCCGGCGTCCTCCGGGTGCGAGGGTCTCGGGGAGTCCGAGCCCGGGCCCACGGCCTCTGTCCCGCGGCCACTACCTGCTGGGGGTCCCGGGCCTGGGCCACGCCGGGCTGCCCTCGGGGACTTGCTGCGGCCGTTGAGGGGTCTCCGCGCGCCGCGCAGACTCGCCTCCCAACCCGAGGGCCCGGGCGGCCGCCGCCCAGAGCGTCCAGCGGCAGCGTCTTGCTCTCGAAGGCGTCCTCCACGCAGCGGAACACGCAGCCAAGCTTGGGCCGGGCCAGAGGCCTCGCGGGCTCCTGAGGCTGCCGCGCGGTCACGGCAGGAGCGGGCGACAGAATCCGGTCTCGGAGCCTCCTGTAGCGAGGTCTGCGCGGCAGGTGCACTGGGCGGACCTGGAGGCCGCGCCCTCCCCCCCCGCCTCCTGCCGCCCGGCAGCGCTGCGCGGAGCTGGCTCTGTCCACGTAGCGGGTGCTGAACGCCCCATTCTGGCCCCTGGGTGCTCGCTTAGTCCCGGCCACGCGTGGCTGCTCGCCCTCGGGACACACTGGGCGCTGGGAAGGCCGGGCGGGGAGCGCGCACCGGAGAAACCGCTGTGGGAATCCCGGCCACATTTCCAGGCCCCTTGGGCCGTCCCACGCCAGACAAGAAAGCCCTGACTCCGAAACCCTGGGCGAGTGTGGAGGGCGCGCGGGGGTGGGGTGTACCCGCCCACGCAAACTGCTGCTGATCTCCCTTAAAGCCGAGTTAGAGGCTTGGGGCGAGACAGGAGTGACGGGCGATGCTGTCACTCCATCTGTCATTCTACCCAGCCTGCAGCAGCTGAATTCGAACCCAGAGACTTCAGGCCTTTGCGTTGTTACCGCAGTCCGCATTTCAAAGCCAGAGTTTGGCCACTGAGTCACCATGACCTCGAGTACTGGCGGGGCCCGAGCCAGCAGAGCTAGGTCCAGCAGCTTCCCACCCCTTCGTCCTCCTCTGGGCTCCCCCTCCCCTAAATGATTAATGCAATGTCTGTTACTCACCTGTGTGGGACCGTCCACGGCAAATATCACCAACTGTTCTTATGCACGTGCAGAAGTTCCGTCCCTTTCCTAACTGTCTGATCTCTTCCATGGTTCACATTTGACCAACAGCCACAGGAGGGAGCCTCCCAGGTGGTCGACCGGAGCCAGGTGCTGCCAGGCACCCGACTGCAGAGCTTGCCCTCCAGGTGATCTCGCAGGTGAGAACTGGGGCTTTCCTCCACAGTGGGCGGAAGGCGCGGACTCCGTTTCTGGTGTGCAGAGGCACTGTTCAGAGAATGAACTCAGAAGTGCAGAAATGGCTCATACGGCTTTCAGTTCAAACTTTAATACCTTTGAGGGGACTTTAATCGTCTAAGATTTAAAACATTTTTTATTAAAACTGTACAATAATTTACAAACGAGTAAAAAATTCTCTGGTATATATCATAGGAATCACAATACAAAAATATTTGTAAAATCTTGTAGATCACCATACAAACCTATTTTAGGCCTGTGAATACTGCTTAGCATGGAACGGAATGTCACGTGGTTAGAGGGTGACTATGAAGGGAGTGCCTGGGAGAATACACACACTACCTGGCATGCCGCCGTAAGAAAACAGGCCCGGTTAGTTTTTGCATAAATTTACAATAAAGCTTTTTAAAAAATATACAGTAAACAAATATATGATTTGATACCTATATTCACAATATGAGTTTCCTGAGGCTAAACTGAATTCCATTACTGTGATAAAACACACACTCTCTCTCAGGGTTTCAAGGATGGGATGACGGTGAGTTGGCGAATGCGTCAGTGCCTCCAAACCCACACTTGGGCACTCTCTTCTTTTTGACTTCTAGTATCGGTGTTCACAAGCCCTGTAAGGCACTCGGGGTATCCTGAAGGCTACAGATTCTGCAAGGGCAGAGACTTTAAGGAACAGCCATAGTCCTTCTCCAGCTCAAAATCTGGACCATGGGCACAAGGTAAACAACACACTGGTGTCAACAAAGGAATCTGCTATTTATGTGGATTTTTACTTTAGACAAACTAAAGTATCTATGTTGTTCTGTGTGTTGAACACAGAGTGTGATGATGTTAATATAATGTAAATGTTGATGTAACAGTACATTTCTGGCAACATTTCAGGGTCCTTCCTCTTGCCTTATTAGGGGGTGATGCATTCATACAGACTTCCCCTGTTAGAAGAGCTAGCAGTAAGACAGCCCAAGTACTTGGAGGAAATTCACTCTAGCCCATTGGTTTGGAAAAGAAGGTATAGCCTGCAATTTAGAAATGCACCTTATTTTTAAATACTTGAATTCTGCTGCTGCTCACTGGACCAGGAGGAGTCAGTGATAAATGCTCATATTTACCTTTTTGGGGGCAAAAACCCAGTTCTGAAATGCTGGGTATTGTAATCAGATGTAAAGAAGGTGCCTATGATAGACGAGTGAAAACAATGATATCTAAGGAGAGGAACTGACGCTCCAACTAGATGTGTGCTTTCAGGAATGGGGCAGAGACGCGATGCAGTTTGGATGTTATTCAGCACATTCCTTGCACCTTCTCCCGTTCCTATATACATACTTTTTACATATAAACAATTACAACTTCATAAGGATTTGGTACATATTTACATGCTTCTCTTTGCCGTATAGTTTGCCTTATTATTATTACAGAACTGTGATTAAGAGTGTCTGTGGTGGATAGAGGTGTATGAAGTGCTCCAGACATATATACAACATGCTAAACCATGATGACCCAAATAAACATGAGGGATGTGAATCTGGGAATGTGAGTTTCACTGCACATCTTTAGATCCGAAACAGCTGGCCCATGCAGCTGTTGTTCCCATGCAGGTACACATTGGGACCATGCCAGGAGCTCTCCCAGAGGAGGAGGCCAGGCTGGCAGGGAGCCAGGTAGAGTTACAACATATTTCTGGATGCCTGCATCGTAGAGTCCATCGGACTTCAACCCAGCGGTTCACCCACAGCGCCACGGTAGCTTTTATTAACACAAGGCTATTGTGTGCCATTCAGTTGTGAGTATAATAAATGTGCCAAGAAGATGCAGTCGTTAAAATGAGACAAAACTATGCACAGAGGACTAAACAGGATTTCAGACTCGAGACGCAAACCCCGAGGTCAGGCTCAGCTAGAGACACTGAACTGGCCCAGTATCTTGCCGAGTAAATCAGGAACTGTGGCTTGAATGACAACAGAAATGGATGGGTCTTTCTTGGACAAGTGCTGATTAATAGTGCATTTTCCAGCAAAAATCCTGCAGCCACCAAAGAAAAAGCATATCTGTCTGATACTATTAGCTTTTCCCTGATTTCAACCTAGGGAGCCATGCCTGGTCCGCAGCCACCGTGTCATCTGCCCCAAAGTCAGACATTTCTTCTGACACAAATATAAAATGAGCCTAATACTTCCAGACAACCCAGTCCTCCCTACGGCAGCTGAGTCGTGTCTTTTATACAATGCTGCCAGTAACAGTCACACCTGGCTGCACAGCTGGCTGCCTCAACTTCTAGGTGCCTCGAAATGGCTAAATCCCACGAATGGCTCTTCTGGTTGCGTGAAAACATGCATAAACGCATGCTTGTGCACACAAGTGAGCACACACACACACCTCCTGTCAATTCAGCTCTGAGAGCAGAACCTTAGCCCACCTAGGGTGGGAGGACACAGAAGTTCCATCTGCAGCCAGTCAGGCTCCATCCACAGGCTGGACGAAGCTCCCGGGCTGCGTCCCGGGTCTCCCAGCAGGAATGGAAATCACACCTAACGTTGCCTTCACCAATGCACTGCTTCCTCTCTGAAAAAGAGTGGAGAAAACGCCGTTTAGTGCGACGACCTGGGGAATGTGTGTGACCCACCACAGGTCAGCACTCAAGGCAGTTGGGGCCTTGACCAGGCACTGGCTCTGCACAGGATGGTCACTGAGCCAATGGCAGGCACTGCCCTCATGGGTCCAGCACCAGCTACAGCGCCACGTCCTGAGCCTCCAGCCCGGGAGACGCACCTGGCACCCACCGAAGGCCACACTCTCAGGAAGATGAGTCCATGCTCCTCACAAAGCCCCTACAGAAGTGACCTTGGATCTTTCTCACCATGTCTGGGCCAGCAGCCCGGTTTCTACCCAACTTCCCTCATTGCTTAGAAAGTGGGCCTCTGCTAAGTTCAAAGTTTTTATTACCTTTCCATTTTTTCATGTTTTTGAAGAAGTTATGAAGGATCTGCTTTTCACAAGGGCGGGCCCCGGATCAGTCCCTGGGGCATGGCAGCATCGGGTGGGAGGCCACGTGGGCTGAGGGGCGGGAGCGAGGGCACGCTGGGACAGAGGCAGAGGGGCGGGAGTGAGGGCACGCTGGGACAGAGGCAGAGGGCCCGGCCGTAGAGACACCACGGTTTTCTAATCTAGGAGAGGTCTGAAGAGCTTTTTGGTTTTTGATTTAACCTAACTTCTAAGTAAGAAGATATTACCTCAAACAGAATGAAAAATAAATGTAGTCAAATGACACATACATGTTTACTTCTTCCCGTATTAAGCGTTACAGTTGAAATCTCTGCTGCAGTTAACATAGTACCTTGTTCTTTGTGCCTTTAATCGGGTTCGTTTCTAAATAGGTTGTCCCGGAACCATCGATCTCTAGAAGGTACAGGAGGAAGGGGACCTGCCAGTCCAGCCCTCATATTTTACAGAGGGAAAAGGTGAAGCCCCATGTAAAACAGGGATTTCCCTCGGTGACACTTCCAGGCTGAGAAGGGCCGGGGATCTGGACACCTACCCAGAAACACTCCCACCCTGTCAATGCCTCTCTGAATTATGTGATCAACTGCCTGGAGTATGAACTAGGCACATGCAAATAGAGAACAGAGGTCTTGTTGAAAATATGATGCTGAATTTTAAAAACTCACTCCCCAAATTAAAGGAACAAGACCAGAGCATTTGGTTTCCTGTGGTCACTTGATCCCTCTCCAGAGCCAGCTGCTGCTCTCCATTGTCAGCACACTCCACTCACTGCCCTATTTCCAGAACAGGAGACTTTCTGCCCCATCCATGGCCGCAACATACCACTCACACACACACACTACATGTGCACGTACACACAATGCACAATACACATACCTGCACATGTGCAAACAGCACATACACACTGCACATGCATGTACACACAATACACTACACACACATGCCCACACAATACGCACAAATGCACTGTACATGTGTACACACAATGCAAAATACACATACAGGCACATGCAATGCACAACACATACACATACATGCACATGCCCAAAGACACCACTCACACACAGCACACACATGCACACGATATATACACACATGCATACACAACACACCACTCACAGCACATGCATACGCGCACACACACACACGCACACACACGCACACACGCGCGCGCACGCACGCACACACGCACACACACGCACACACACGCGCACACACACACGCACGCACACACACGCGCGCGCACACACACGCACACACGCACACGCACACGCACACACGCACGCACACACGCACACACACGCACACACACACGCGCACGCACACACACACGCGCACGCACACACACACGCACACACACGCATGCACGCACGCACACACACACACACACACACAGTTCTGCTTCCAGGTTTGCAGTCTTCCCAAATCCCTCCCGCCCTACCCCATCTGTTCCGTCTCTTCTAGGGAACGTGATCTTCTCCCTCCCACCCACCCTCCCCTTTCTGGGCACTGTCCCTCACAGTCAGCTGAGGACCTCATCCAAACTGGAGCCATGTCAGGCACAGGACAGGTGGGAGGCAGCCATCCATGGGTCTGGCCTTGGTCTCTGTGGCTCCATGGGGCTCCTCAATGCCCCCAAGCAAGCTCTGGCACCCCAGGGTCCTCACTCAAGAGTGTCTCTGTGGACAGGCCTGAGGCTGCTAGCTGCAGAAGTGCCTGCTTGCAACGGTGGCCATTGGCTGGCGTCTGGGAACTTGGCTTCGAAGCATTCCTTTAGTGAGGAGGTTCCTGCCTAGACTGTGCAAACAATGTGATTCATGGCAAACACCAGCCTTCCTTTTGAGGGCCTGGCATGTTAGTGGGTGGGGGGCGCACAACTGAGTAGCCCCCAAATCAAAACCATGAATTTTGGGTCTTAGCTGGAATTTCCCGAGCAGAAACACTGCATATATGGGGCTGTGTTTTGCTGCTGGAGGGAGTGTGTGCCCCGTGTGCACCTCACAGGGGGAAGAGCATGGGAGGGGAGAGAGCACAGGAAGTCTGCTCACAGGCCTCTCCAGGCTGTGCCTGTGAACTCTTCCCTTGCAGATCCAGCCATGCCTCCCGATTATAGGGCTGCGATAATGGTGTGGCTGTGCCATGGTGTGGCTGTTGTGGTGTGACCCTGCCGTGGCGTGACCCTGCTGTGGTGCGACCCTGCCGTGGTGTGGCCCTGCTGTGGTGTGACTGTGTGCTGAGTCCTGTGAATCCTAGCGAGTCCCCAGAGATGCAGGTGGTCTCGGGGACCCCCAGAACATCTGCTTTCACTGTTGCCTGGAAGTGTGGGGGGTGGGGGGAACATGGGGCTGCGAATTGCCTTCAGGGAGCGCATTCTTTTACGTACTTGGCCATTCACGTGGCAAATGTTTATGTGAGTGTATCAGTGCCACAGTAAGGGTTCCGCGGGAGAAACCCAGATAATCCTCATCCCAAGAGCTCCCAGTTCTCAGGGAGGGGGCAGGAAAGTGCTGCTCAGGTGGCTGAGCTTCGAGTGACAGGAGAGAGGTAGGATGTGGGGAGCTCAGGCATAGTGCAGGTGGAGCCCCAACCAGCTCAGAGCCCGGGGAGCCCAAAAGTC
The DNA here is from genome assembly GCF_000001405.40 of Homo sapiens. Lineage (NCBI taxonomy): Eukaryota > Metazoa > Chordata > Mammalia > Primates > Hominidae > Homo > Homo sapiens. The sequence goes on along the minus strand of NC_000010.11, from coordinate 132,179,301 downwards.
CCGTCAACAAATACAGCCCCGTGACCGTGCATGATGCTGGGGGAGGATGAGCACTGAGGGCCCCTGCCCTTCACGCTGGAGGGGAAAGCCTGGGTAATTTTATCTTGGGCTGCAACGAGGATAGCTGATGAAGTGTAGGAACAAGTTGACAACCACAATCATGAACTTGGCTCATTGGACAGTGCCAAGGGCGGCAGCAGGGACAGGAGATGGCAGCATGCCTGGGGCACCACCCAGGGCTGACACAGGGTGTTTCCACAGGTCGGGGCCCCCAGCCCCACGGGCACGAAGGCACCAGAACCTCGCTAAAAGCTGCAGGGCAGAACCCTCATCAATACCACCATGGGTACCACGTGCAGACGTAGTCGTACATATGGATCAGGAAACAGCATTCTGATTGATGTCAAAACAGAGCCGGAGGAACAGGCCCCTGCCGTCTGTGTGTGCTGGAAATTTCCACTGGGATCTCAACTGTTTGGAAACATAACTCAGTTGGCAAGGAAGACAAGAACCTTCCTGGGGTCCGGAACTCTGCCTGCTTCAGAATCAACAGATGATGAATGCCACTGGAAGGCTCGGGACCTACAGCCTCAGTTTCCAAAAATGTGCATGAGACAAGCAACCCCAGGGTTCTCACACAGGGTGAGCCGCTTGGGAGGGGGTGAGACCCTGCAGTCTGGATCCTTGCTCTTCCCCAACACCGCCCCACAAATACACAGATTCCCAGCTGATAGGACATGGAGTGAGGGCCAAGCACAGGACCTTTCCCCATATGCTCTTTTGTCTGAGAAACTTTAGCCAAACATTTTCAAACCAAACAGAAACAAATGGCAGCCACTAACTCTGCTCACAGTCAAGGTATTTTTTTCTTGAAGCTCTGATTTGGGGAAAATATGAAACAGACCTTACCCAGACACAGGCTGTGCCTCCTCCTCCCTCTTCCTCCTCTACCCCCTTCATGGGGTCTCTCTCAACTCTACAGAGGGGACCAGTGCTGTTATCAACTCCCTGTCTGCCCAGGGCCGCCTCTGAGGTCATCCTCTCCCCAGCCACCACGGCGGAGCCCCATGTGGCTCACACGGATGCTGGAATGGTCCTCCCATCCTGGGACAGTCCTCAGGCACGTGGTGCTCTGCTCTGGGTCACCCTCCTACTGATTTTGGCTCTACAGCTCCCTAATAAATAATAAAGGCAGAAGCCACTTTGATGGTGCAGGTGGCAGGTGGGACAGTGAAGTGGGTGCACAGAAGCGGGTGCACAGGAGCAGGTTCACACACAACCAAATGCACAGTGTGCACAGACACACACACTACCCAGGGCACAAGAGCAGGTGCACACATACACGCACACTACCCAGGGCACAGGAGCAGGTGCACACACACAACCAAATGCACAGTGTGCACACACACGCACTACCCAGGGCACAAGAGCAGGTGCACACACACGCACACTACCCAGGGCACAGGAGCAGGTGCGCACGCACAACCAAATGCACAGTGTGCACACACACGCACACTACCCAGGACACAGGAGCAGGTGCACACACACCACCAAATGCAGTGTGCACACACACACACTACCCAGGGCACAAGAGCAGATGCACACACACCACGGCCAAATGCACAGTGTGGACACACACACGCACACTACCCAGGACACAGGAGCAAGTGTATACACACCATGGCCAAATGCACAGTGTGCACAGACATGCACCCTACCCAGGGCACAGGAGCAGGTGCGCACACACGACCAAATGCACAGTGTGCACACACACACACACTACCCAGGGCACAGGAGCAGGTGTATACACACCACGACCAAATGCACAGTGTGCACACACACATGCACACTACCCAGGGCACAGGAGCAAGTGTATACACACCATGACCAAATGCACAGGCACACTCCCCCCACACACTGGCATGTGTGCACACACGTGCGCACACTTTCTGCCTGTTCTCCATGGGTTCCTGGTTTCATTTTGTATCTGGTGGCGGCAGCTGTTCTCACAGGCCTCCACAGCGATGCCCAGCTACCCTTTCTGAAATCGGCTTCTCTAATAATGACATCCCCTATTAACGGCCCCATGGCCAGGCTAGTAAAAGGATCCATTATTGCTTTAACCAAGATGGTTGCATTATAGATTGCAAGACAGCTGGCCCGCAGGCTGTAAGCTGCTGGCTGAAAAGAATAAATTAGACAATAGAGCAATAAAGCGGGGAGGGGGACTCATGGTTTCAAGTCAGTCGTTCAGTTTCTGAGATTTTGTGCAAATCACCCAGTAACATTTGAGAAACACCTTCGCCCTTGGTAAAAACAGAAAGATTCTAAACAAAGAGCAAAGAGAAATAGCTCCAAAGCCAATAGGAACCAGAAAAGAGGTTGGCATCATCTCCCAAAGTCGAAGATTCCAACTCCTAATGTGACCCATGAGGAGTCGCGGCACCAGCGCATCCGGAGACTCCACAGGAATGTTCAAGAAGCAGCACTCGTAACAAGCAGAAGCCTGGAAATAACCAAATGTCCACCAGAGGGGAGGTAAAGCCCCAGCACGAGGTCACAGATTGGAGGGTGCACATGGCTGAATCCCTGCAGAGTGATTCCAAGCACAAACACCCAAAAAAATGCCCGTTAACAAAGATTTCAAACACAATTAAAGAGTCTGCCTTTTGGAAATGTGTCTGCTGCCGTGATCGTATAGCGGTTAGTAGTCTGCGTTGTGGAAACGTGTCTGCTACAAAGCACTGCACAAAGCCCTCATGGGGAGGGGATGGGATGGGCCACGAAGTCAGAGGTCAGTGTTTGTTTTGGGTGGCAGCCACAGATGTAACAATGAAGGGACGAAATGAGCAAGCAGCTGCTGCAGACCAGCAGCAAGAGCGAGGCACACACCAGCACCAGGACCAAGGCCATGCTGTGCACCAAGAAACACGAGGACGATGCTGTGCTGAGGATGAGGGGACCAGGCAGGAGCTGCCAGCAGGGACCCTCCCGCTGGTTCTGCCATGCAAATGCAACGTGACCCCATGGCTGCCTGTGAGCTGGAGGCTGCACGGGAGCTGCTTCTGCCATCAGACAAACACACGGCTGAGCCCAGGGCAGAGTCCCTCCCCGTTCCCTCTTGCGGCTGGAGCCCTGGCTGATGAAGCTGCCTTAACGGGCAGGTGCTGGGGGGCAGATCCTGCAGGGAACATGGTGAGGCACCTTGAAGACTCCGCCCCCTGATCGGGATCTGGCAGCCTCTGCTTCCAAGAGAGACAGGCAGTGCCTGGGCAGTACTCAGGGAGGGGCGCTTCCCCCAGCTCAGCAACTGCCCTGGGAGGGGACAGCCCCAAAGGACTAATTGTTCACACTTGGGTGAGCTGTTTCTAAACACCTCATCTTTTATTTCTCTTTCTTTAACAATATAGACAAATTCAGTAAGAAAACAATTTCACTGGTCTATGATGCAGAGCATTACACATTTCTTTTAAGTGAAGCTTCCTGCTCCATCATGCATGATGGCCATGAACTGTGGATACATCCTGAACAGGGGCAGCCTTTTAAAATCCCTGGATTTTAAGATGACCAAACAGACATCATCTCCAGCAGCAGCATGGAGGCGGCAGTCTGTGACCCAGCTCAGAAGAGCAGGGCTGCTCATTGGCATTCAGGCGCCTGCTCCACAGAAGCTGTAAATCTGAACCTGCTGACAGTTAATCAACACACCTCGAGCTTCCAGACCCTGAGTGGCCACAGGCCCAGGCCCTAGAGATCCAGCCCACCCTGGGGTCAAATGGGGACCAGACACGCTGGCTCTGCCGGCTCAAGGGACCCCACCAGCATCCCTGCTTTCCCATCTTGTGGTGGCAGAGTAAGGTGGACACCCCAGCCAGGACGGCACTGACCACAGAGCCAAGCAGAAGGGACTTTAATAACAAAAAGGAGGAGTTATTGACCATGGGGTGGAAGGAGACAAGGATGTTCTTGGGTGGACATTCACATGCAAAAAATAAACTTCAATCCATACTGAGCCCCATATGCAAAAGTTAACTCAAAGTGAATCACAGGTGTTTTAAATTTAAGACATAAAACCACAGATTCTAGAAGGAAATGGGAGAAAATATTTGTGACTTTGAGTTAGGCAAGGTTTTCTTAGTTCTAACATCAAAAACCACGCTTCATTTTTTTAAAGTAGATAAATTAGACTTCATCAAAATTAAGAATTTCTGCTCTTTAAATGACACTCAAGGGAATGAAAAGATGAAAGACAGACTGGAAGAAATACTTTTCAGCGGTGTATCTGATAATGGCACGTATCCAGAATAGAGGAAGAGCCTCTCAAAACTCAGGAATAACAAAGCAAACAACCCAATACAAAAATGGGCAAATGATCTGAACAGATGTTTCACCAAAGAAGGTATAAGGATGGAAAATCAACACACAAAAAGATGCTCAACATCATTAGTCAGTAGCAAGATGCAAATGAAACCCCAAATAAGATGCCACTCCCCCTCTATTGGAAGGGACCAAATAAGGAGAACCAGCCTAACCTGTGAAGACGTTGCGTGTGGGGCAACGGAAATCCTCCCAGCGCCGGTGGAAATGCAAAATGGAACAGTCACTCTGGACAACAGTTACTTATAAAAAGTAAGCATGCACTCACCATGTAATCCAGCAGACCCAATCCTAGGTATTTACCCAAGAGAAAGAAGACTTGCTTTCGTGAAAAAACCTGTCACACATTATAGCAGTTTTGTTCACATTTGCCCCAAACCGGAAACCACCCTGACGTCCTTCAACAAGCCCCTGGTGCACTGTGGTCCTTTCACCCGAGGGGATTCCGCTCGGGAACAGAAGGAAAACCCACGGAGCCCACAGAGCCCACGGAGCCCACTGAGCCCACGGAGGCCACGGAGGCCATTGAGCCCACCAAGCCCACAGAGCCACACAGCACAAGGAACCTTATGTGGGTTTTGCTGAACGTAAACACAGCCAGATCCCCAAAGCTGCACTATGTGACTCTATTTACCTGATGTGGAAGAGGCAAAACTGACACAATGAGAAACAGGTCAGGGCTGCCAGGAAGGGGCCACTGCACAGGCAGCAGGAGGCAGCTTGGGGATGGGACGGTCTGTGTTGGGGCTGGGTTGGTGGATGCATGCACTGTGCATGGGTCACAACCGAGAAAGCCATTGCAGACACACCACACACACCACAAACACACCACCACAAGCACACCAGAAACCACCAGACACACCAGAGACCACCACAGGCACACCACACACCACCACTAACACATCACAGACACACCACACACTACCACAGACACACCACAGACCACCAGAGACACACCACAGACCACCACAGACACACCACACACACACCACCATGAACATACCACAGGCCACCACACACCACCACTAACACATCACAGACACACCACAGACCACCAGAGACACACCACAGACCACCACAGACACACCACACACACACCACCATGAACATACCACAGGCCACCACACACCACCACTAACACATCACAGACACACCACAGACCACCAGAGACACACCACAGACCACCACAGACACACCACACACACACCACCATGAACATACCACAGGCCACCACACACCACCACAAGCATACCATAGTCAATTGTACTACATGTAAATTTTTTCAAAGAGTCAATATGTGAAGAAACATGAATGAAATATCAGCTGTACAAAGGCACCTGGCTGTATTACAAATGAGCAGCCCTAGGGAGGGTGGGTAAGAAGAGACCCCACCTGAGTTGTTTGGAAAACAGTGTTGTGTGTGGACACCGTGAGGCTGGGGGGAAAGGAATTGTGCTCCAGCTGGGGCATCTGTTTCCTACAGGGTCTGGGTTAGCAATCCTGAGGCAACATGGGTGTATGCCAGGGCCGCACAGATGAGCAGGTACATTGCAGACAGCAAGCGCCAAGTATCTGCTACCGCCAGTGTCACAAACAAGGAGGGGAAGATGGCTGCGAAGAACCACACACCATTGGCCTGGAATTGGAGGCATCACTAAGAACTTGTGGTTTTGTAACAGCAATAGATAGGTAGGTAGATGATGAGAGAGAGAGGGAAGGAGGGGGGGAGAGAGAGAGAGAGAGGGAAGGAGGGGGAGAGAGAGAGAGAGAGAGAGAGGGAAGGAGGGGGAGAGAGAGAGGGAAGGAGGGGGAGGGGGAGAGAGAGAGGGAAGGAGGGGAGAGGGAAGGAGAGGGAGAGAGAGAGGGAAGGAGAGAGAGAGGGAGAGAGAGAGGGAAGGAGAGAGAGAGGGAGAGAGAGAGAGAGGGAAGGAGAGAGAGAGAGAGGGAAGGAGAGAGAGGGAAGGAGAGAGAGAAGGAAGTAGAGAGGGAAGGCGGGAAGCACAGGTGTGTGGGTGTGCACAGGTTGGTTTGCACATGTATTTCCAGGCTGTCTCTGAGACAGCCTAGAAATACTGTCACCCCAGTAGCAACAAGCACACCCAGGTCCAGAGACCTTGGTTTCTGCACACTGCTCTCCAACACAGAAGCCAGAGCTCCCTGGGGAAGGGGTTATGGACCCCGCCTTGTGGGGACAGAGAGGAAGAGAGTGCTTTGCAGGGCGCCGGCCTGGAGGAGCGCTGGAGGCTCCGTGGCAGCGTCTGGGTGAAGAGACATTAACAGCCTGGCTGGGCCACGACCCAGGGACAGACTGAACGGCTGGAAGCATACAGTGCGATACATAAGCAAAGAAATAGGAGAAAAGGGGCAGGTCTTCTCTATAGGAAAATTCTAACCAATGAAATAGAAGGAAGGGGGAGAGCACGTCCCCACAGGAAGACATGCTGCAGGGAAGATCCACCAACGGGTGCGGAGATCGGGGCAACGTTCACAGAGAAACGTGGTGTTTTCAGTCTCGGCGAATCTCCCCCAGTACACGCATAGATTACAAAGGACTCCTTCTCAGTGGAGACCCTGGCAGACACCCCCTTAGGCAAGTGATCAAGGTTACGGCCTCAGTGATGAAACACACCCATCTCGGGCACCCTGGTGTGGTACTTAGGGTCCATCACTCCTGGGGCATGCCCCCCAGATGCATTATCTCCACGGAACCACAGGCCAGGCAGATCCTCCTGAGGAACCTTCTACAAAATAACCCGCCAGTTCTTATCCAAGCGTCGAGGCCAAGAGTGACGAGGAAGAACTAAAAAAGTGTCACTGATGGCAGGCACTACAGAGACAGGATGAGTGAATGCAACGTGGGGTCCTGGAACAGAAAGGAGCATTTGCCAGGAGGAAACCTGGAGAAACCAGAACCCAGGGTGTGGCTGAGTTAAGTTTTGAAAATCTATCATGATTATGCAAGACAGGGACAGGCCGGGCGCAGGGGCTCATGCCTGTAATCCCAGCACTTTGGGAGGCCGAGGCAGGCAGATCACGAGGTCAGGAGTTTGAGACCATCCTGGCCAACATGGTGAAACCCCCGTCTCTACTAAAAATACAAAAATTAGCTGAGTGTGGTGGTGCCTGCCTGTAATCCCCGCTACTCGGGAGGCTGAGGCAGGAGAATTGCTTGAACCCAGGAGGAGGAGGAGGTTGCAGTGAGCCGAGATCGCGCCACTGAACTCCAGCCTGGTGACAGAGAAAGACCCTGTCTCAAAAAAAAAAAAAAAAAAGAAAGAAAAAAATAAGACAGGGACATCAGGGGAAGCAGGCTGAAGGGTACACAGGACTCTCTACACAATTTGTGCAACTTTAAGTCTAAAATTATTTCAAAATAAACAGTTGGGGAAAAAAGCTAATTGGAGAGAAGGGAGATGCTCACTGGGACAGCACAGTAACGTCTCGCGTCTCATTTACTGGGCAAAAATACACTCGGACGGACATTGTCGCAATTCCTCTACCACAGAGCAGGGCGCACAGTGCACCTGCCGGGCTGTGGGTGAGGGGCCCTCTGCTTCCCATGGGTGTGGGGTTGGTGGTCCAGGGCTGGGAGTGGGGACTAGGGCACAAAAGCCCCTTGCTGGCTGCAAGTTTAGGTAGTAGCTCTTTCCTGACACCCTTCAAACTCACGCTGGAGACTGCACACTCGGAGCAGACGCGGTGGGAGAGGATCCCGAGAGGATGACAGCCGCCTCGCTTCAGAGGAGCCCTGTGAGCTGGCGGCCTCGGCCCAAAGTCCCCGCTCCGTAACCTCCCCCAAGGGAGCCTGCAAAGGCATCGCTCTCCTCTCCTCACTTGACTGAACATGCTCAAGAAGGCATTGCTTCTGGTGCTCCAGCGGGGACAGGTTTCTGCTCACAGGTTTCCCCACCCCTGGGTTAGCTGCAGGGTTGGGTGACAGCCCTCCACGAGCATCTGGGGCTGACAGCTCTGCCTGGTGCAACGTGACGCTTGGGGCCAATTGACTCACACGTTTTCCTTTCTGATCTAGCATTCGAGGCTCACTCCCTGATCCCGGGAGGCTGACGGGACTGGCTGAGAAGTCTTCTGTGCGGAGCTGTACAGACGCCTTGTCCACAATGAGCCTGTGGCTTGTCAGCCCCCGAGCGGAGCGGCGCCCACCCACCTCTGTCCCCGCCATGCCGACAGGCCTGAGACACAGTCTGCACGTTGGCGGCCGGCTGCCCCTCCCTGATGACGGTGTGGCCTGTCTACCCTGACCGCCCCCATGGACACACGCTGGGAGCAGGAGAAGCTCCGAGTCACCTCCAGGTCCAGTACCCAGGAAATGGCTCCATCCAGGGATGCCGTCCATGGATGTCCAAGTCCCAGATGTCACCGAGGGCAGCTGTGGGGGGCCTTGCTCCCCAGGCCCCCATCTCCTGACCCGGCGTCCCCTCTGTGACCTGTTGTGGGAACCTGCTCGGGGCTTAGCATGGCCTGGATGGTCCACCTGCCCCTGCTGTGAGGCCTGGCCCGCAGGGGGTGGGAGTGAGGCAGCCGGGAAGCCTCCGCGGGGAGGTTCGTATGGCGGGGAGGTGCGTATGTCCACGCCGTGTGTGTTGTTGTGCTGTGGGGCGTTCCCTGTCCCCAGCCGCCCTCGGGGGACCCTGGAGGCTGTGGAGCTCCCGACCTCTGGCTGCGCTGTCCTTGCCGCACAGTTAGAGATGTTATGCTTGGAGCTCCAGCTCTTGCTGTGGGACCAGAAGTCTCTGGGGACTCGGCAGCCATGTCCTGAGGGATGGTGGGCCTGCGGCGCCCTCGTGTGCCAAGCAGCGGGCGTCCTTGGACAGGGCTGGGACTGCTGGTCTCCCGCTCCTTCTAGAATGAACCTCTGCAGCGAACCTTCTGGCCTGAGGCTGTGCCTGGGCGCCCTTGGTGGATGCAGGAGCCAGATGCTGCTGGGTACCCAGGTCCCGACCCCGCGAGGACGCCGCCTCGTCCACCACGCACCTGAAGAACGCGCCCCAGGGGACCTGCAAGACGGAGCCGCCGCCCCCTTCGCACCTCCTCCTCGCTGCGGACCCCTCCTGAGTCAAGGGTGAAGATGGAGCTGCCGCCCTCTCCTGAGTCCAGGGTGGTGGTCGCACCTCCTCCTCCCCCTCCCATTTTCTACGCAGGGAGCATCTCCCGGGAACAACAGTGCCCGTGGCCCACAGCCGCTGCCCACTGCAGGAGACACAGGTGGCTCTCAGACACGGTGTGGGTCGGAGGTGGGGGAGATGGAGCGCTCCCTGGGCGGCCCCCCATGGGGCTGCCACTGCCTCCCCAAGAACCGGCTCACCCTGCCCCAGGGCCCCGCTGAGTCCCACAGACACAACGGATCCACAAACCCTCCCATAGGGAACCCCGCTGGCGAGGAAAGCTCCACGGTGGAGCATGCCCAGAGTCCTGACCTCCCTCCCTCCCTGCTGGGAGCACCCAGAGTCGCCTCCCCAGAGCGGACACCTCAGGTGCCGGGGCCGAGTGTGGGGCGGCGTCCACGTTCAAGTGCACGGGAGCAGCGGAGGGAGGCGCACTCGGAGAGCGGCCTCATTGCACCTACGGGGTTTCTCCCTTTTCCCGCAAGCCTCCTCCTGCAAGTGGGAGGAGGACCAGCTCTGCCAGACGCCAGGTCCCCGTGGAGCACCATGTCTGCAGACCCTGCCCCAGCGACAGCTCACGCCACGCTCCACACCAGCCCCCAGGCCCTGTCCCGTCAGTGGCGGGAGAGGTGATCTTGACGGGTCAGCAGTGGACGGGGTGGCAGCGTCACGCATGTGCAGACGGGGACACAGAGGTGTGAAGAAGCTGGAGCTCACCTCGCAGGGAGGGTGCAAAGGCCCTCCCCGCGGACAGATGGCAGCCCTTACCTGTCAGCCTCTTGGTCCACGGCTCGTGCAGCGTCCCCACACAGGGCGGGAGGGGAAAGGCCGTCCCCGCGGTTCCCTTCTTGCGCCCGCCATCCCCACCTGGGCTGCTCCTTGTGTGCAAAGGCTTGGGGTGAGGCTTCGGTGCCCGCCGGGGTCCATGGCCTGCAGGGCTGGCCCGTGCAGGGGCTTCCAGGCTGGGTGGCTCTGGGTGCCCAGGGCCTCTGTGACTTCTGGAGATTCACTATGGAGGCAGCCTCTGGCATCCGTGTTCCAGCCAGCTCCGCCCCCTCGTCCCACCTCCTGTCACCACGCTCCCCACGCCTTCCTTGGCTCAGTCCCGCGGTGCTCCCAGCTGGCGGCTTGGGCGGGATCTTGGCCTTCCTGTCTCAGGTTGAGTAGGGAGGCAGAGGGTTGATGGCACCACGCGGCCCGCGGCGGCCACGGCTCTTGTCTGTCCCCACAGAGATGATGATGAACGAGGGTGGATGTGGGGTCTGTTGGCCAGCGGGTGCTCAGGACCCCAGCAACATATTGCAGCATCGGAGGGGCCCCTGAGGCGTCGGGGAGCCCTCCCAGGACCATCCCAGGGAGCCTCCAGGTTCCCCTGAATGAAGGTCACCGTCCAGCTTTCATCTTGTCATCAGGCCAAGCCTCTGTTGTTTCTGAAAATCTTCCTCCAGACACCAGTGGCAGCTACTGTGAGAACCAAGAGAGAGGAGGGGACCCGCGGCTGGTGCTTCTGCACAGAAGCAGTTCTCACCCCTGCTTGGCAGGGAATGCTACACATCCCTGGAAATGGGATGGGGGCTGCCGTCCGGGAGAAGGGACCCAGGGTCCAGCAGCCAAGGCCAGGCCCGTCCCGGAGAAGCCCCCGAGAAGTCGGCAGAGCCAGTTCTAGTTCTGGCACATCCCACGTGGACGGCAGCTCCACGCCCCACACACTGCCCCTTCTCACTCTTCCTCCACGGGACGGGCGTGCAGAGACCAAATCTCCCTGGGTCTTCAGGATGGAGACGCGACGTCCCATTTTGTCCCTGCTTTCTGGTCCCACTGGAGGAAAAGGGTCCGATTCAATGTGGGGCTGGAAGAAATGAAACGTAGAGTGCAGAGTCAGCGAGGCTCCGCTTGGCTGGAGTGAGGGGCGAGGGCCGAGGGGCGAGGGGCGAGGGCCGAGGGGTGAGGGGCGAGGGGCGAGGGCCGAGGGGTGAGGGCCGAGGGGTGAGGGGTGAGGACCGAAGGGCTGCGTGGAGAGGATGTCAGGGAGACTCCACTTGGCTGGAGTGAGGGGTAAGGGGTGAGGGATGAGGGGCTTCATGGAGAGGGAGAGCCCTGCTCCCAGGGGAAGCTCCTCTCGGGACCTGCTGAAGGGTGCAGACTCGAGGACCGAGGCGAACAATGATGTGACGTCCTACTTGCCCCTCCTCCAGTTTGGAAGGAGGCAGCCATCTATGCTGGCGGGTGCCATGGTAGCAGCAGCCATGACCTGTAGACTCCAGCTATCCTGGCCTAAGCTGCCCGGCCTGGCAGGGAGACCAAGCCCTCCTGGCTGAATCTCCAGCACCGCCCGAGCTTGTGCTCAGCACCACCCAGAAAAGAACAAGGACGAATCACAGAACCACCGTGTCTGCCCCCAGGGCCTGCTGCCGAGTGCCACCAAAGCAGAAAGACCCCCTAGAGAGGGTCCTGCATGTTTCTGCTACACTGGGGTGGTGGTGGGAACCCTGCTCTCCTTCCCGTTCAGGAAAGGTGAGCACCTTGCGGCCTCTACAGTGGAAGACTCCGGGTCCTGACCCCCAGGGAGGGACTTCCAGTGTTGAAGGACGCGGGTGGCTTTCTAACAACCCTTTTGGGGATGCTGGGTCATCGCCTTCCAGTTGATCGAATGGCAGGTGGGCAACTCCCTGGCAGGGCAGGGGCAGAGGAGTCTTCCGGGAAGCAGAGCGGGACCCCTGCTGGGCCCTGCCAACGAAATACTCACCACGTCAGGGTGCCAAGACGGACTATGACCAGAGAATGAAAGCTAAGGAGAAAAATAAGAACAAAAATAGAAACTGAAACGGAAAGGGGAGGATGGAGAAACGGAAGGAAAGAAAGAGAAAAAAGAGTTTGTAGTGCTTCTGGCAAGAAATACACGCGATTACAGACTGAAGACAGAGCTGTTGGCAGGGAGGAGAGGACGCTATTAAGGACTGTGCCGAGGGAGGGATGCTGCCCAAATCCCCGGGTCTGAGGGGTGGTGCCGCCACCCCTAGGAACGCACTGGGGACTCTGCACCGGGCAGATGCGGGTGGTGGGCGCTGGTCAGGGGCCCCACACCCAGCGTGTCCCCAGCACCACAAGGCCAGCCTCCCGGGGACTGGGTCTCCTCCTCCCTGAAGTGAAACCCATCGCTGAGACCTGCTGCAGGAATTTTTGGCAAGAGCACCAATGGGGTAATAATAATGGTGAACGTTGTATTGAAAGACATTCCAAGTGCCCAGCAAACAAAAGCAGGCCTGTGAGAATATTGTGGTCTCAGTCCCACCGTAAGCAGCAAAGTACAACCAGCACCCTGAGCAGACAAAGCGCACACAGTCTCACTCTGGGCTGGGGGTCGGGAGCCAGGCCCATCTGGACACGAGAGAAAATCGGGCAGTGGGGCATCGCTTGGGAATGAAGAGCTATTTAGCTAGATTTAAGAAATAACACCTGATCTATTTTTTTCTTTGGAGACAGGATCTCAGTCGGTCACCCAGTCTGGAGTGCAGTGACGTAATCATGGCTCACTGCAGCCTCAACCTCCCAGGCTCAGGTGATCCTCCCACCTCGGCCCCCTGAGTAACGGAGATTATAGGCACGTGCCACCATGTCCAGCTATGTTTTAAAATTTTTTTCTAGAGACAGGGTCTCACTATGTTGCCCAGGCTGGTCTTGAAATCCTGGGCTCAAGCGATCCTCCCATCTAGGCCTCCTAAAGTACTGGAATTACAGGCATGAGCCACCACGCCTAGCCCTCACATTTTTCTAGTATTTAATACAAACAAATATCCTTAGGTTAAGATGCAAAATGAAACAGACATTTGGTTTGGGGAGAGGCTTTGCCCTCTGAGGCTCCAGCCCCCAGAACACTGTGTCCCCTCCCGGCAAGGCCGGGTGCCCCTGCGTGCTAGTGGGTGCTTCCCCACGTGGCCTGGAGTCCACCGGGGCCTCAAAGGCTGTGCCTTGAGTAACTCGTTCCTCAGGATGATGATTCTCACAGGCGGCAGTGAGTGCCCAGTGGAAGGGCATGGGTGTCACCGCCTACGAGGGGCGGGGCAGGGCTAGGGTGGATGTGGGATGACACACGGCCCGTCTAAGGCGACTGCTGTCCAGAGGGACCCGGTCTCTCCTGGCAATTGCAGAGCATCTGTGGGCTCCTCCTCAGGCCGGGACCAGCACATGCCAACCACAGGGGCATCCCAATGCCAGCCTCCTGTTCTCTCCGGAAGGATGAGGCAGAAGGTGGGGCCACTGACCATTTCATTCAGCCCTCGGAGGGAGCCCGTCCCTTCAGTGAGCTCCACCGCATAGCAGATTTAGCAAAAAGTCTCACTCTGAGCTGGGGGTCGGGAGCCGGGCCCCCAGGACCAATCACAATGGAGTGAACACTGTCACCCCCAGACATGACTGAACCAGCCCCACGTGGGAGAACAAGCGCTGCCCTGAACGCCTGCAGGCAACCCCGGGAGAGACTCTGCTGTGCTCCCCTCATCCTGACTTGGGGAGCACCAAGTCTGTTATGTGCATGGACAGAGCAGCCCTGACCCCACACCTCACGGAGCTGGGACCCCGAGAAAGAGCCAGACAGCCCTCCCCAGCCCTGGTGTGTGGCCTCTGCCTAACTGCACGTCAACGGGTGCTTCTGATCCGGGAACTGGATTCTTAGACCAGTGCAAGGTGAACCTGCACGGATCAAAGGCTTCCACACAGCCCAGGCTTCAGTGATGGGAGGAACCCGAGGCCGTTGGCTCCAGATGGGGAAACTGAGGCCACAAGAGGAGTGGCTCCTCTGCGGTCGCATGGCTGGGCCCTGGCAGGGGCATTCCTAGACCCTGGGGCTCCTGTCTCCGGGTCCAGAGCCCTTGCAGCTACCACCCAGCTCAGCTCCGCCCAGCTCAGCTCCGCCCAGCCTTCAGGCCTCCAGGCGGCCGCTTCCCGCTGCTGTTGGGAGCGAAGTCTGCTGCCCCAACGGCCTGGAGCTGAGTGACTCAGGTCGGGGTGACACCGGGTTCCTCTCCCTTGATCTTAACAAGCAACCCCCAAAACTGCATTTGTTTTACCTTTTCCTCCAGTTCCTTTATTTGTCTCTTCTGAGCTTCTATTCTTTCTTCTAACTCTTTAATTCTCTGCAAGATTAAAAGGAAGAACATCTTCAATAGTCACAGTACTCGGGAAACCCAAATCCTTCAAGATTTTCATTCATTTCCTTGGTAACAGATCGTCGCAGAGCAGCTGGCATGGCCATGGCCCGTGGCTCCTGACGAGGACACAAGCCTTTGCTGCACTGCTCTGGCAGGAGAGTGGAGGGTCTTCGCCATGCCACACTCCCCGTGGTGGGAACAATATCCTTCCAATTCCTGCAACTTCAACTCAGAAAGCACAACGCCTGACAGCCAGGGAAATGGTAGGAATGGATTCCCGGTCCCCCAGATGCCACCGCAGCGGAGTAAGGGGCCGCCAGAGGGTCGCAGGAGAGCTGGGCACAGAGAGAGCCTCCCGGTGAGGGGGATGCTGGCGCCTGGGGTCCCCCAAGCATCCGAGCTCCAACCACAGCCCCTCTGAGGCAGCAAAGGGGTTGCAGGTCACTGTCCTCACCCTGAGCCCCTGGAGACCAAAGAGGCCCAGGAGGCTAATGAGGAGCCAGCAGAGCATGGCCAACATTAACCCACCGATGCCCACAGCCAGCTGGCACACAGCACACTTGTTTATGTGAATTTCAACTAAGCCTTCGCTAGTGGTGTTCTTAACAAGGAATACATCCATAAAGCCGCCTCCCAGCCAACCTGGCTCACGGAGAAGCTGGGCCGTGTCCTACACATCCAGGCCATCTAGTCAGCAGGGCTTCTCACCTCCCATTAGAGCAGAACTGACCCAACAGGCCTGAGGTCCCACAGTGCCCTGAGGCAAAGGCAGGCCTTGGGCTGCTGTCCCCAGAGAACATCCTTGCCATCAGGAAACAGTGTCACGGAAAAGACAGTACCCAGGGGTCCAAAAGAGGGGAACTGCCACCCAGAGGCCTCCGCAACACGCCCAGGACACTAGGCTGGTAGGGGAGGCAGTCTGGCCTGAGTGCCTGCCATTGACAGGCATGGCCACCAGGGGTGTGGCCATCAGAGGGTGTGGCCAGCAGGGGGCGTGGCCATTCTGGGGCATGATCATCAGAAGGTGTGGCCATCCAAGGCTCTGTGTGGAAGGCGTGACGGTTTGGGGGCATGGCCATCAGGGTGTAGCCATCAGAGTGTGTGTTATGAGGGGTGTGGCCACTGGAGGGTGGGGCCACAGAGGGGTAGTGGTTGGAGGTGTGGCCGTGGGAGGACCCCCCCTGGCTCTGTGCAGGTCCTGGCCAGGTCTTCACGCCAGCCCTGCCCCCGCCTGCCACACACCTGCTGAGCCAGCTGCAGCAGCTCCATGCGCTCCCGCAGGATCTGGGCGTCCCGCTCGCGCAGCTCACTCATGACCTGGCGCTTCCACTGCTCCACGGCCACCTTGAGCTTCTCGCGCTCCTCCTCTGACAGCAGCTCAGCCACCTTAGCCCCGGCCTCCTGCTGCAGGGCATCATACAGCATGGCTTCCAGCTCCAGGATGTGCTGGGGCGGAAGGGGAGACGCCTTAGTCCTTGCCTTCTCCCCAGAACAAACCTTTCAGGAAGGGCAACGGAGGCCGGGCCACCCTCCGCCTGGGAGCAGGGCCAAGAGGATATGCAACAGGGAGGGACCCAGTGCTGTGGCCTCTGCAGAAGGACCAGGGGCCCCACGGACCTCCCCAGTCTGTGAGAAGACCCTAGAAGCAGAGACGCTGACCAGGCCAGCAAGAGCCAGGACCCTGACCCCAGAGTGGGGGAGGACTGAGCTATGAAGTGGGGAAGCTGAGTGGGAGGTGGAGGGGCTGCAGGTGGCCTGTGGGGATACAGCAAGGTGGGAGGGAGCTGAGTGTGGGGTCACACGCTGCCTCCCCAAATCCAATTCACAGACCCATGGAACCCGATCCTGGTGCTATAACCAGCAGCCAAAATACATAATAACCCAGCAGCCAAAATACACACCTTTTCATGAATTCCTGGGGTTTGGCAGTTTGCTCTGTATATTTCAAAGCTTTTCTTAGGCAAATTTTATTGATACAATCTTTGTAAAAAACAAATTCTCACACTACAGAGGCTCTTTCTTCCCAACCAAATGTAACATCTTCAGAGATAGCAGAAATATTAGGAAATGGAAACAAATGCTTTTGGGCCTCAGTTACACTTTATTGTTCTTGGCGGCCACAAAATAAACTGTCCCCAGCTGTCACAACCAGCTCGCACATCAACCTCCACTTCTTACAGTCACAACCAGCTCACATGTCAACCTCCACTTCTTAGAGCAAAAGAGCTTGGTGCCTTTAAGATGAGCTCCAGCTTCTAAAAATAAACCTGGTCAAGTGCTGGCTTGGAATTAACCTCATGGTGGCTTCACGTGCACCTGGTGGTGGGAGGTGCTCATCAGGACCTCCGTGGTGACACGAACTGTGGGCTGCCTGGATGAGCCTCCCTGCCTTCGGCAGCCACACAGACCACGGTCTCCCACACCCATGTCCAGAGAGGCAAAGTCGGCACTAGCCCCTGCCATAAAGAGCCACCACTGCCCCAGGAGGAACCAGTCATTCCCCTCCTTGCCCCAGTGTCTCCCAGAAGCAGAGCAGGAAGTGCAGAAAAAAACCTCGGTGCTCACAGGCCTGTGGGTCACCTGAGGGCACCCGAGCGACCGAGAGCCACACCATGAACGACATAGGAGAGAACCGGGCGAGTGTGCAGGGAAAGGGAAGGAAATCAACAGTGAACTCAGAAAACTCGGAGCATCCCAAACAAGGGGGCCTTCCTGTTGGAAGTGGAGAGAGAGGCCCACACATCAAACAGGAAGTGGCCCCCCCAATATCACACAGGAAGAGGCCCCCCCAGCATCACCCAAGAAAAGACCCCCTAGCTTCACCCAAGAAGAGGCCCCCCCCAGCATCACACAGGGAGAGACACCCCCCAGCATCACACAGGGAGAGACACCCCCCAGCATCACACAGGGAGAGATACCCCCCAGCATCACACAGGGAGAGATACCCCCCAGCATCACACAGGGAGAGATACCCCCCAGCATCACACAGGGAGAGATACCCCCCAGCATCACACAGGGAGAGACACCCCCCAGCATCACACAGGGAGAGACACCCCCCAGCATCACACAGGGAGAGATACCCCCCAGCATCACACAGGGAGAGACCCCCCCCAGCATCACACAGGGAGAGGCCCCCCAGCATCACACAGGAAGAGACCCCCCCAGCATCACACAGGAAGAGGCCACCGCCTGCATCACACAGGAAGAGGCTCCCCAGCATCACACAGGGAGAGGCCCCCCCCAGTAAGACACAGGAATAGACCCCCCCCAGCATCACACAGGAAGAGGCCCCCCCAGCATCACACAGGGAGACCGCCCCCCCAACATCACACAGGGAGAGACCACCCCAGCATCACACAGGGAGAGACCACCCCAGCATCACACAGGGAGAGGCCCCCCCAGCATCACACAGGGAGAGGCCCCCCCAGCATCACACAGGGAGAGGTCCCCCAGCATCACACAGGAAGAGACCCCCCAGCATCACACAGGAAGAGGCTCCCCAGCATCACACAGGGAGAGGCCCCCTCAATAAGACACAGGAATAGACCCCCCCCAGCATCACACAGGAAGAGGCCCCCCCAGCATCACACAGAAAGACACGCCCCCAGCATCACACAGGAAGAGGCCCCCCCAGCATCACACAGTGAGAGGCCCCCCCCAGCATCACACAGGGAGAGGCCCACCCAGCATCACACAGGGAGAGGCCCACCCAGCATCACACAGGAAGAGACCCCCTAGCATCACACAGGAAGAGGCCACCGCCTGCATCACACAGGGAGAGGCCCCCCCCAGTAAGACATAGAAGTAGACCCCCACCAGCATCACACAGGAAGAGGCCCCCCCCAGCATCACACAGGGAGACCCCCCCCCCAGCATCACACAGGAAGAGACCCCCCAGCATCACACAGGAAGAGACCCCCCCAGCATCACACAGGGAGAGGCCCCCCCAGCATCACACAGGGAGAGGCCCCCCCCAGTAAGACATAGAAGTAGACCCCCACCAGCATCACACAGGAAGAGGCCCCCCCCAGCATCACACAGGGAGACCCCCCCCCCAGCATCACACAGGAAGAGACCCCCCAGCATCACACAGGAAGAGACCCCCCCAGCATCACACAGGGAGAGGCCCCCCCAGCATCACACAGGGAGAGGCCCCCCCAGCATCACACAGGGAGAGGTCCCCCAGCATCACACAGGAAGAGACCCCCCCAGCATCACACAGGAAGAGGCTCCCCAGCATCACACAGGGAGAGGCCCCCTCAATAAGACACAGGAATAGACCCCCCCCAGCATCACACAGGAAGAGGCTCCCCAGCATCACACAGGGAGAGGCCCCCTCAATAAGACACAGGAATAGACCCCCCCCAGCATCACACAGGAAGAGGCCCCCCCAGCATCACACAGTGAGAGGCCCCCCCCAGCATCACACAGGGAGAGGCCCACCCAGCATCACACAGGGAGAGGCCCACCCAGCATCACACAGGAAGAGACCCCCTAGCATCACACAGGAAGAGACCCCCCCCAGCATCACACAGGAAGAGGCCACCGCCTGCATCACACAGGAAGAGACCCCCCCAGCATCACACAGGAAGAGGCCACCGCCTGCATCACACAGGAAGAGGCTCCCCAGCATCACACAGGGAGAGGCCCCCCCCAGTAAGACATAGAAGTAGACCCCCACCAGCATCACACAGGAAGAGGCCCCCCCAGCATCACACAGGGAGACCCCCCCCCAGCATCACACAGGAAGAGACCCCCCAGCATCACACAGGAAGAGACCCCCCCAGCATCACACAGGGAGAGGCCCCCCAGCATCACACAGGGAGAGGCCCCCCAGCATCACACAGCGAGAGGCCCCCCAGCATCACACAGGAAGAGACCCCCCAGTATCACACAGGAAGAGGCCCCCCCAGTATCACACAGGAAGACATGCCCCCAGCATCACACAGGGAGAGGCCCCCTGAGCATCACATAGGGAGAGGACCCCCCAGCATCACACAGGGAGAGGCCCCCCAGCATCACAAAGGAAGAGGACCCCCAGCATCACATAGGAAGACATGCCCCCAGCATCACACAGGGAGACACGCCCCCCCAGCATCACACAGGGAGAGACCCTCCCAGCATCACACAGGAAGACACACCCCCAGCATCACACAGGGAGAGCCTCCTCCAGCATTACACAGGAAGAGAGCCCCCCCACCCAGCATCACGCAGAAAAAACACACCCCCGGCATCCACAGGAATAGGCCCCCTCAGTAAGACACAGGAATAGACCCCCCCCAACCAGCATCACACAGGGAGAGGCCCCCTCAGCATCACACAGGGAGAGGCGCCCTCAGCATCACACAGGGAGAGGCGCCCCCAGCATCACAGAGGAAGAGGTGCCCCCGACATCACACAGGGAGAGGCCCCCCCAGCATCACACAGGGAGAGATGCCCCCACAGCATCACACAGGGAGAGATGCCCCCACAACATCACACAGGAAGAGATACCCCCACAACATCACACAAGGAGAGACGCCCCCAGAATCACACGGGGAGAGACGCCCCCAGAATCACACGGGAAGACACAACCCCAGCGTCACACAGGGAGAGGGCCCTCTGACATCACACAGGAAGAGACCCCCCCCAGCATCACACAGGGAGAGGCCCCCCCCCAGCATCACACAGCGAGAGATCCCCCCCAGCATCACACAGCGAGAGGTCCCCCCCCCCAGCATCACAAAGGAAGATGCCCCTCCCACAGCATCACACAGGAAGATGCCCCTCCCACAGCATCACACAGGAAGATGCCCCTCCCACAGCATCACACAGGAAGATGCCCCTCCCACAGCATCACACAGGAAGATGCCCCTCCCACAGCATCACACAGGAAGATGCCCCTCCCACAGCATCACACAGGAAGATGCCCCTCCCACAGCATCACACAGGAAGATGCCCCTCCCACAGCATCACACAGGAAGATGCCCCTCCCACAGCATCACACAGGAAGATGCCCCTCCCACAGCATCTCACAGGAAGATGCTCCTCCCACAGCATCTCACAGGAGGATGCCCCCAGTCCCCTCCAGAGTAGGGGCCATTAATCCTGGCCCAACCAGCAACCATGTGCCTCCCCACTGGTCTTTGGGGCTGAATGATCCCCTGAGCAGTTGGCCCCATCTGAGGTCTGAGAACACAGCTACTGTGGAGGTGGCAGAGAGAGGTGGCCTCACAGAAAGCTGAAGCTGGGCTTTGATCTTCTGGAAATGTGTGTGGAGACCTACATCTCTAATCCCATGGGGTGTCCATGGGATGTTTGATCACAAGGACCATGGTGGCAGTTGCTCTGGGCCAGGGCCCCCACTCCTGGAGCTCTCTATGCTCAGATCCTGCATTCTGGTCAGGTCAAGGGGGCCCATAGGCCACTTCTCCACTCATGGGACAACTCTCCCGACCCAGTGGAGGGATTCTGGGACTGAGGCATCACTCCAGACACAATCTTACAAAGGGGAATTATCTGTGACGTTAGGGTGGAAAAGGTGGATGGCTGAGTAGACAGATGCTGCCGGGGGCGGGGCGGGGCGGGGCGGGGCGGGGGGGCGGTGGGCAGCCATCCTGGAGGTGCATAAATTTCCATTTCCTCTTTACACCTGCCTCACACACACCTCAAAGTAATGCTGAAAGAAAACACTGGAATTTTTTTGTACAATCTCTTTTTTTTTTCTGTACGAAGTTGAAATTATGCCATAAAACCTGGAGGCCATCAACCTCGTAAAAATTACCCAAATTCTGCCAGGCCCTCAAAACAGTGTTTGATATCAAAGAGCAACAACAAGCTGGGTGAAATATTTGCCATGTCCCATTCTTCTGACTAAGGAAATAAAGGAAATATTTGCAATGGATGGCAAAGGGCTGGTTGCCTTCTTTTATCAAGAGCTCTGACCAAAATGTCAGATAGCATGAGAGAGGTGGGAAAGGTTACAAACAGACGTGGCGTGGAGTTGCATAGAAACATGTTAGACTTTGAGCTCACCAGAGACATGCCTGCTAGGACTGCACCAGGCGGCTGCATATCATGCAGTGGAAGTTTGGGCTGCAAGTTATACCTACTATGGGGAGAAATATTCGGCAGTTCCTAACAACACCTTAAGTGTGCATACCCTTTGGTCATTCCAAATAACTTTTCCTGCAGATAATCTCCATTTGTGTGTCGGGACGTCAGAAATGGATAGGAATTGCTGTTTTGCTGGTGATAGCTAATGCATGGACAGTACCTAAGTCCACTACTGGGGATGAACAGTCCATGATGCGCTCACACCAAGTCACTCCTTGGGCTGGTGGGAAGCGCCCTGGCTGTGCACAGTCAGGTGAAAGGGAAGCATGCTGCAGCTGGTGGGTTTCTCAGGCTATCCATGAAAATGCACGTGCGCACACATGTGGTTACACCCCGCACTTCAGAGAAGGAGAAGAGAACCAGCAAGTGGGGTCCCCTTTGTTGGTGGCATCTGGAGTCCAGAGAACAGGAACGGGAAGAAAATGTCCTTTTCTACTGTGAACATTTCCTACCATTGGCATGATGACCATCTCTCGGAGAACAAGCCTCAGATAAGCATGGGGACCGCGCTTTTGCAAAGATACTATGTGTATCCCCATCCTGCCAAGAGACCATCAGGAGAGAAACCAGAATGCCCACAGTCTTTCTCTGTGTGCTGGGCACGTAGTGAACTTTTTTCTTGGATTTTTCTGTGTTGTAAATCAGAACTATACATTGATTATTCTTTCATTCAGAAAAAAAATGCAATATTAAAAAAAGAAATGCATGTCCTTCTCTTCCCTCTCCTGTCTCAAGGTGGGCTGGATTTAAAAACCTCCGCATAATCCTTAGCTCTTTTCCTCTTCACCTATGCATCACCCGCAAAGCACCTGCTGCCTGCCAGGCCTCGTGCTGGTCTAGGAGACCAGATGGCAGCAGATGCACATGGTCCCTGCTTGCCCCATAGAAAGGCAGAACCACTTCCATGAGTGGGGCATGTCAGGGCCACCTCACTGGGGGTCAGGGAAGGTTTCCTAGAGGAGACGAGGTACCAAACTGAGGCTTGCAGTGTCAATCAGGGATGGGCAGGAGAAGGAAAGGGAGGGCGCCCCAGGCAGATGGAACAGCAGCAGCGAAGGCTGGGTGGGGTCCTCTGTCTCCCGGCCTGCTGTGGTGGTGGCTGCACAGCAGTGGAGATGCCTGCCAGCTAGGCTGATCCCTAGCTGGATCCCAGCCCTCTCCACCCGGGCAGCAACATGGGCCTTGGTGCTCGTGGGAGAGCACTGTTCTAGAGGGTTCTTCCTCATCCAGCAGAGAGGAACCTGTCCATGCCAGCAATCAGCATGAGCAGGATGGAGGAGGATAAGGGGGTACGAGGAGGCTGGAGAGCAGAGGCCAAGAAGCTTCGGGGGACAGAGACTGAGCCGAGGGAGGGAGGCGGGGGCCTGGAGCCTGCAGGACCTGTCGCCTCAGCAAGAAGGTCTCTCCAGTAAGGGCAGCTGGGAGTCCCAGAAGGCGCGGGCAGAGGAGTGTCAGCTGGCTGCAGTTTGGATGGTCTGGGGCACTGAGGGGCCTCTGCTTTTTACATCAAGTGACCACCTACTTCCAGCCTCCTTCCTTCTGACCAAAGCATGCAAGGCCCAGAGGACTGCCTGGGTAAGCTAAGCGCACAGCAGCCTGTGCCTGGGAGCCGCCCCATGAGCAGGGTGGACAGACATGCTCCGTGCTGCACAGGTCCCCGGCCACCTGGAGGGACTCAGGTCTCACCACCACTGGGGCCAGCTCACCCGGGGCTGGCTCTCAGTACTCAGAGGCCGTGAGGACAGTGGCCCAGGAAGAACAGCTGGCAACCTGTGAGCTGCTCCCACGCAGTCATGTGCACACTGCTGGTCAGCAATAGTGACACTAACCATAGCAACAGGAGGGCCATTACCAGTTTAGCCAGGGCCAGCCTCCATGCCCAGCATCTTACAGGAACTCCCAATCCCTAGTGGTTACCAGCTGAGCT
Organism: Homo sapiens; assembly: GCF_000001405.40. Lineage (NCBI taxonomy): Eukaryota > Metazoa > Chordata > Mammalia > Primates > Hominidae > Homo > Homo sapiens. The sequence continues at coordinate 132,155,632 of NC_000010.11, read as the reverse complement.
GGGCCTCAAACCCAGGTCATCTGCCTCCAAAGCCTCCCATGGCTCACACACTGGCTTCCACAGCAACTGACATGGGCCTTACACCCCCACCCAGGATGCTAGGTGCCTGGTGTGGCTGTTCTTTGCTCTGTAGGCTTCTGCGTTTGAGCCCTGGCCCCTCTGTGTGAGGAACTCACATCCACAAGTGCAGGAAGGAGAGATGCCTAGTGCAGCAGTCATGGCTGTGGGCACAGGAGAAGAATGCTGACATTCGACTCCTGCCTTCATTCTGACTGCGTGTCCTTGGGCAGGTCACCAGCTTCTGTGCCTGGCTGGCCAGACCAGTGCCTGCCACATAGGAAAGGCTCTTGAGTAGGCTGTCATTATAACACTATCATTACCATCCTCATCACCACCACCACCATCATCACCATCATCATTGATCACTATTGTCACCATCATGATCACCATCATCACCACCACTACCACCACTGTCATGATCATCACCACCATATCACCACCATCACCATCATCATGACCATCATCGCCACCATCATCATCACTACCTCCAGCAGCATCACCATTACCACTACTACCACCATGTCATCATGATCATTGCCATCATCATCACCATAACCATTATCATCATCATCATAATCACCATCATCCCCATCATGATCACCATCATGATAACCATTATCACCATCATAATCACCATCATCACCATCCCACTACCACCACCGTCATCATGATCACGATCATCACCATCATCATCACCACCACTATCACCACCATCACCACCACCACCGCCACCACCATCACCATTGCCATTGCCAGCACAATCATCACCACCACCATTGTCATCATCACCATTATCATCACTATCACTCTGAGAGTTCCCAGGCTGAACTTGGCCCCAGGAATGAGCATTTTCATCCCAGCCCACTTTCCCTTGCTTTGAGTAGCCAAGCAGGTCTCCTCACAGGCATGAGGGTCAAGACCCTGCCTGCTGGGCTGGGTCCCGAGGTGAACCTCTTGGTGGTGACACTTGTCTTTCCACAACATGGCCTGATATCCTCCTGGTCGTACCTTCCGTCACGTGATAGGAGTCCAGCAGGGACAGATGATTTTGCTTGTGCAGTCACGGGGGAAGTAGCTCCCAGCGGGGAACCCAGTTCTGAAGCCTAGTTTTCAACCTAGAAACGTCCTATGCTCCTCCCAGCCACACCAGATGAAATAGAACAAGACCACACCTCCCACTAGTGAGCAGGCTGTTGTCCCAGAACAGCCACCAGTTTCTCCAGTTCCTCAGGGGAAGGGTGGGAGGTAGACACCAGCCCACACCAACACCTGGATGGCCTTCAGGAATCCGGGCATGTTTCTGTGCTTGAGTGACCTGCACAAAGGCTGTAGAACATTCTCACTGCACAGTGTGGGTTTAGGCCTCCTCAACTAATCCTGCTCCGTTTATGAAGCTCCAAGTGAAGACCCCATCAGGCAGCTCTGGAGAGCCAGAGCCTGCTGTGCAGGTGTCATTAGGGGCCATTAGGGGCCCTGCGACCTGGCCCACATGGGCACCTGAGGCACTGCTGGGCACCTGAGCCACGTGGCCGTTTCAGCCCAGTGCCCCTCCCCGGGGTTCCAGCAGTCTCGTGCCTCTCACCTTGTTGGCCTGGTCCAAGGCCTGTTTCCGGTAGTCCAGCTCCTCGTCCAGGTAGCCCTTCTGCTTACTGAACAGCTCCTGAAACACAGGAGGGCCATGCCTCGGTCTCGGATGTCCCACCTGCAGCACCGAGCCGCAGAACCTCGGTGAAGGTGCCACCAACCTTCTCGCTCTCCAGATCCACCATCTTCCGCTGCAGCGCCGCCTCTGTCTCCTCAATCTGCTGGAGCCACTGGACACAAACAGAACAAGCAGGACAGTGACCCCTAGGGTCCCCCACCCCGGCTCGTGGAGACAGCTGGGAGAAAAGCCAGGACAGCCTGGGTCTTCCTTCCTCTTCTCCTTAGGGAGGGGAGAGCACAGCCCTCTCCAGGGAGTTGAGGCTGCGCTGGCATCATGGCCCCACCCCTCCCACCCTCCAGGTGTCCAGGAAGTCTACCCCTGACACCTTCTCCAGGAGAGGAGGGACACTAGCTTGGGGCACCGTAGGAGAGACACATCTGCAGAGCTCTGCCAGGACAGGCGGGGAGGGGTGGCCTGTTTCTCCAAACCCCTATGTGCCAGGAGCACCCCTTCTCCTTGCTGTGGGAGGCCCAGCTCACCAGGCAGGTCAGGGCTAGGGGTGGGACTAGGAGCAGGTAGTGGGCTGGGTGGCCCCAGAAGGGGGTCAGGGTAAGTTGAACAGAGAACGCTGCCTGCAGACTCACCATACCTTCCCGCCTTTGGGAGGAAACGCAGACAGGGTTGGTGACAGAGCAAAGTGGAGCCGAATCTGTCCTTTGCAAAGATGCACAGTGGGTGCTGTCTGACCTGAGTGTGTCAGATCTCCCAGGGCAGACGGGGCTTAGTGGACCCCCCAAACCCGGCCCTGCAGGCCCTCCTCCCGAGATCACCACCTCTGAGCTGAGCAGGGCAGGAGACCCCAGGAGCCCGGCCCTCTCCCGACTGTCCACACAGCTGCTGTTACCTTTTCGGCCAAGGTCAGGACTGTCCTGGCTTGTATGACAACCACCTGCTCCTCATTGGTCAGGTTCTGCACCCAAAAGCAGAACACAGGTGCGGTCAGAAGCAGTGCCTTTGGGGGTGAGGGTGAGTGATGGATGCATGGGGAAGCTGACTGGGGAGGCTGACTGGGGACGCCTGGGTGGGGGCCAGAGCTAAAAAGTGCTTTGACTGACATCTCCCTCCCAGCATCTCTGACACCCTTGACTTGAGCTTGTTCCCTCCGGGTGCTGCCGATTTTGTTTTCTCTCATTCTCCCTCTGCTGGTAATCACCAGGTCTAGGTAACCAGCTGAGGCAGATGCGTATGCGCTGCTCAATGCAGGCAGGCCACCAATACATCCCCAGCAGTGGCTGCTGCTCTGCCCAGCCTCTGTCCCCTTCTGTGTTTAAAGCCAGCCTCTGCATATGCACCTGTGGTTATTAAAACACCACTTGGGAACAGTGGAGGAGAGACCACATGTTCATGGCTGTGAAATGGCTGAATCCCTGGAAGGTTTTGTCTCTTTTATGCATGTTTTATTCATGCTTCCTCCCCAACCGAGGGGCCCCTGGGTGGCCCTTCTGGGTAGAGTGATTATGGCTTTCGATGTGGGCACCTCACACTCTCAGACTCTGCTGCAGCCTGCATCCAGACCAGGGCTGCCTGACTCCAGCTCGTGGGGCCTCTCTGATTCTTGCCAGCTCACTCCAAAAGCCCTGTCCATGCCATTCTCTCCCTAGAGTGCAAGCTCCCTAACAGCAGGCATCTCTTGCTGTCCCCCAACCCCAAAGTCTGCACAGGGTCTCCCACAGGGGGGAGTCAGGCTCAGTCTGTAGTCCATGGTGGGGGCCAGCTGCACTCCTGACTCAGGCAAGAACCTCATCCTGCATGGCTGGGGCCAGGTGCCCTCATCTCTCCTGCCCTGCTCCCTTCTCCCATGGCAGGGCTGGGCAGGCCACAGACCTCTCCCAACACTTTAAGTTGGGGAGGCTGAGCAGGTGGCTTCAGGGTGACTGAGGGAATCTACCCAGATGTGATTAAACCACAAGTTGCATGTGAAGTCAACACTGATTGCACAGCCAGGCTTGAAGGGCCACTGTCAGCCCACTGTCAAGAGCTCCCCAGCATCTCCACAGGTCCCCTGAGCTTAAGCCTGGCCATGAGCCCTCCAGTATCCAACCTCCTCTGTCCCTGGGCTCTGTGACAATGGCCTCAGAGGCTGCATGATGACTGCAGGGCTGTCACACTCAGTGGCACTCTTGGTGGACAGCTATGGGGCTGGGCAGGAACCCTGAAATAGGCCTGGGTGGGGCTGGGTACCCCCAACTCTGCCACTACATCAGCTCTGTGACCCTGGGCAGTGCCTTTGGGGACTCAGCTTCTCCAACTGTGAATCAGAGTTGCCCAATACAGTTCCCAAGACCTCATGATGGGGCTGATACCCAGGACTGGACCCCAGAGATGTCAGGTCCACGGCCACCCTGCTGTGGCTCTTCGGCCACCTATGACCACAGTGGAGCCCCCAGCTCTGAGAGAAGCAGACCCACACCCAGAGCCTCCCTGCTGAAAGTACCCCTGCCCTGTGCCTCACTGCTCCCCAGGGGCTGGGCAGGCAAGGGGAGAAGGGAGTCCTCGGATGCAGAGCACTGGATGGAGGAAGTGGAAGGTCAATGAAGGTAGGATGAGGGATGGATAGATGGATGGATGGAGGGAGGGGATGTGGATAGGTGGAAGGATAAAGGATGAAGGATGGAAAGATGGATAAATAGCTTATGGAGGATGGATGAATGAATGAATGATGGAGGATGCATAGATAAATTATGGAGGGTGGATGGATTGATGGATTTTGGAGAATGGATGAATGAATGGAGGATGAAGGAAGGATGGATGGAGAATGAATAGATGGATTATGGAGGATGAATGGGAGATGGATGGATGGGTGAAAGGTTAATGGGTAGAGGATGGTAGATGGAGAAGGAATGGATGGAGGATGGTGGATAGAGGACAGATGGAGGATGGAGAATGAATGGATTAGGGATGATGGATGATAGATAGATGGAGGATGGATGGACAGATTGTGGATGATGGATAAATGGATGGATTAAGGATGATGGATGAAGGATAGATGAAGGATGAAGGATGGATAGATGGATTATGGAGGACGGATAAATGAATTGTGGAGGACAGATAGATGGATTATGGAGGATGGATAAATGAATTGTGGAGGACGGATACATGGATTATGGAGGACGGATACATGGATTATGGAGGACGGATAGATGGATTATGGAGGACGGATAGATGGATTATGGAGGACGGATAAATGAATTGTGGAGGATGGATACATGGATTATGGAGGATGGATGGATGGATTACACAGGATAGATAGATGGATGGATATAAGACAGAGCATGAATGAAGGGCTAGGTAGATGGTGCATTGATGGGGAATAAATGGATGGAGAGCAGAGGATTAGTAATGGGCGGATGAAAATTGGGATGAAGAGGTGCATTATTTTGCCCACTCAGTAATTAACATTCTTTCAAGGAGTTTGCTATAGAAATTGGAACTCTGCCCCAAATGAAATTTAGGAGTTATCTATAGAGTCTGCTTTTCCCCCAAGCCAAGGAAGTGGAACCCCTAAGGGTCTTGGTTTGTCTAAGAGCAACAGCCCCCTATCCTCATGGCAAGTATGGAAGGGCTGAGAGATCCCAGAAGCTGGGCAATGTGATGGGAAGTGCCATCAGCTGGAAGAACCAGGTGTGCACAGCAGAGGCCCCAGTGGGCCCTGGAGCAGTGTGAGGAAGGCTCCGATTCTGAGCAGGCTCTGGGCCTAGTGGAGGGTCTCAGGCAGGGTGGCCCATGGCAGGGCTGTGGGAGGCTGGCAGGGCCTCCTGGACCCCAGAGGGGCTGGGCTGGGGGTTGTGGGTGTAAGAGGCATGCACAAGCCAGGAGAGCGACATACACTTACGGCGTTATCGCCCAGGATGTCCAGCTTCTTCATCAGCTCCGCAACCACAATGTCCTAAGGCACAGAGGACAGGTAGGGGTGAGTGGCCACGGGGTGGGCAGAGGGGGTGGGGAAGGACAGGGCAGGGAAGGGCGGAGGGGAGGTGGTGGGGGTGGGGGAGGGGGAGGGGAGGGGCAGGGGTGAGGTAGGGCAGGGTGGGGGCAGGGGTGAGGTAGGGCGGGGTGGGGGCAGGGGTGAGGTAGGGTGGGGTGGGGGCAGGGGTGAGGTAGGGCGGGGTGGGGGCAGGGGTGAGGTGGGGCAGGGGTGAGGTGGGGGGGTAGGGGTAGGGTGGGGGCAGGGAGGGGGTGAGGTGGGGCAGGGAGGGGGTGGGGCGGGGGTGGAGAGGGTGGGGCGGGGGCGGAGGGGGTGGGGCGGGGGCGGAGGGGGGTGGGGCGGGGGCGGAGGGGGGTGGGGCGGGGGCGGAGAGGGGGTGGGGCGGGGGATGGGTGAGGTGGGGGCGGAGTGGGCAGGAGGGGCGGGACTCACCGTCACACCTTCGGCCTCGCAGTACACCTGGAGGGGGCTCTTCCCGTCCACGAAGGGCGTGTGGTGGAAGCTGATGGCGGGTGACTTCCTCTCCCTCTCCTAGGACAGAGGGACAGAAGGGTGAGCCGCTCCCCTCCCATCCCTTCCCTCTAAGAGGACTGTGCTGGGGCCTGAGGAACACGGGCCAAGACCATGGAACCAGGGATCAACACAGCATTTATGAAAACCAAACCGCAGCGGCAGCAGTGGTGGCAGAATCTGCACTGGACCTGGACCTGCCCACAAGGACTGCCCCTGTATATTCGCTGACCCCAGATGTGCCGGGCAGAGTTCATCACACTCTGGCCACGTGGCCTGGGCAGTCCCACCCTGAGCCCACGGGCACATCCCTCAGTGAATCCCAGGGGCTATGGGGAGGATCAGGGGAGGGGCTGCAGGTTGCATCCCCTTCAGGTCTGACCAGAGGAGCCTCTGGAGAACACAGGCTGGCAGTGCTGCCACTGTCCCCACAGGCAGGCCCACGTGGCCGAGGTCGTCCACACATGGAGTGACCACACAGCTGCCCTGTCCTCCGGCAGTGGACGGGCAGACTCTTAAGAGGCGGCTCCAGCTGGACTGTGAGGCTCCAGGTGCTGGCCTGAGACGGAGGCCTCGGGGCTGTGTGTGGTGCTCGGCAGGGGCGGCCCCTGTGTGGGCCACTTCCTCCCAGCCCCACAGGTGGACCACCCTTGCCGTGAAACAATCACAGCGACGTGGCTGCCCACACCCAGCCTGAGCTGCCCGTGGGATTCCCCTCCTCCCTCCTCCTGTGCAGGTCATGGCAGAGGACACAGGGCCAGGGATGGCAGGGCACAGGCAAAGGGCTCCCAGTCACCGCGTGGCCCCCACTGTCCTCACTCAGGGGCAAGAAACAAACGTCTGCCGACGGCGGAGGCCTGGACAGAGCCCCACACCAGCTGCAGCAGGGCCACGGGGGCGGATGGAGGACGGGCGGATGGAGGACGGACGTGCCGGCTCCTTGGGGGTGGATGGAGGACGGGCGGATGGAGGACGGGCAGATGGAGGACGGACGTGCCAGCTCCTCACCCCACAGGTCTGGAGCAGATGCTGCACTGTCACCCGTCGTGCTTTTGTTTTGTTTTCCCTGCATGACACTGAGCGCCACGGGCCATTTCCCCCATATTTACACGTGCTTTGGGCGGCTGGCCTCATCCTTCGTATGAAGAGGTGGTCCCTGCCTGACACTGAGCTCCATGGCCCATGTTCCCCATTGGATGTTTGGACGGCCGGTATGAAGAGGTGGCGGTTTACGGCCATTTGCCTCTTTCCTCCCTGACGCAGCCTTTTGGGTTCATGTTCATGTTCATGTTCATGTTCAGGGCTTTGTGTGGGTTAGGAAGGCTGAGGACTAGATCCCTGACACAGCCACAGGCCACAGTGCTGGCCATCCACTCAGCTACCTCAAGCTCCAGGATCCTGAACTCCAGCAGCTCGTTTTGGTCTCTGGCGTCCTGCACCTCGTGTCTGAGCCGAGCCTCTTCCGTCTCCATTTGTTTGATCTGCAACATAAAAGATGCATGAGGTGAGGGGTCTGGTTCTCTCTCACCAGAGGTCTTGGGAGGTCAACTCCAGGCTGACGGGACAGCTGCTGGCTGCCGGGGAGGCCGGCTGGCCTGGTACCCAGCCCTGGAAGCGCCTCACAGCCCTCGGTATGTTTGGGTTTGTCCTAGTGAGATAGCCTAGCCATCCGGTGGTGGGTGGGGCTGGGCAGGCAGCACCGCATACCACAAGCCAGGAGCCTGGCGATCATATCGGGGCCCTGAGCTTGGGTGGCCCCTGGACAGGGATGTGGAAGGGAGGCCGTCAAGGATAAACGTCTCCAGCAGGGGCTGTACATCACAAGCCAGGAGCACGGGGGCCTTAGCGGGGCTCTGAGCTAGGATGAGGAAGGGAGGCCGTGGAGGGTAAATGTCCCAGGTGGCTCCCGGGTGCCCCTTGGAGCCCAGGCTGTGCCCAATGGAAGGAGCGGGTACCACGGCTGCCTGGCCACCGGAATTCACTTGGCTAATTAAGGAGCTGTTTAAACGGAACCAGTTACGAGTAAACCGGATGCAGGAGTCCCCCACCCCTTCCAAAGGGTCAAGTGACACGGCCCACGGCATGTGTCCTCAGCAGCCTCATGAGGGCAGGGGCCACCAGGGGCAGACAGCTGTGTCCATCCCCTGAAGCTGAGCTCCAGGGACTGAGGGACCTGCTCTGATGCTCAGGGGACCAAGATAAACTCAGAAGCATTGCATCCTTGGAGTGAGCCGGCTCAGTGGGAGCTGGACCCCCTTGCAGGGCCAGCTGTGTACTGCTGCACAGTGGGCCTGCCGTGGAACACCTGCAGGGCCAGGAATGTGATCTGCACCCAGTGTAGCCAGAAAAAAGCATGGCTCCAAGTGTGCACATGCGCATGTGTGTACGTGCACAAGCATTTCCATGTGCGTGCCAGCATCTCTGTGTGCATGTCTTCAAGTGTACATGCCAGCATTTACGTGTGTGCGTGTTCAAGTGTGCACGCAGGCATTTACGTGTGTGCGTGTTCAAGTGGGTGCCCTTAAGTGCACGTGGATCTCTGCCTGTGCCGGCATTTACGTGGCACACACAGCACTGTGCTGAGCCCTGTGGAAACGCACTTCTAATTTAAGAGATGTTCCGTGTGTCCACGGGAAACATGGGGGTGTCGTTCGCCATTCAAGATGCAAACCAAGCCTAAAGCAGGACCCCCAGAGGGCACGACCAGCCCTGGGCTGGCAGCAGTGCAGAGTCTGCATTGGACGCCTCTGTTTGTCTGAAGCTCTGTCCTGTTGGCACAGATCAGACTCATCAGCCAGGCTACCCTAGCTTCTCCCCAGAGGGCCGCACCTGCCAGCGTGAGACATCGCTGCCTCCTCAGGACACCTGTCCCTGCCCATGGACAAGTGGGGTGGGGGTCACACAGAGCACCCCTCACCTGTGCGTGGTAATGACAGCCCTGCTGGCCTTCCTGCCCCTGGACCCGTAGCCAGCCCCGCCCCTGCCTCATGCCACATCACCTGCTCCCACAGTTGTGAGGTGCACCCCTCTTGGGATGGCCCTGGACTGCCCAGACCTAAGTCTAGGGCCCTCGGTGCTGTGACTCCCTCTTTAACCCAGTGCAGGGAGCAGCTGAGCCAGGTGGGCCTGATGTGGTGGGAGGTGCCGAGAGAAACCTGCACTCCCTTCCCTGCACCTCAGGCAGAAGCTAAGGCCACTGAGAGCAGCCTGGCCACACATCGCATGTTCTGATCTGTTTTACGTCTGATAGTCTTCCAGACCACAAAGCCCGGGCCAGGGTGGGGGTGGGGGTGGGGGTGGGGGCGGGGCAGCACTTCAGGAGCCTCTTGTCATCTGGGACCAAGAGAGCCTGGACCTGGGCCTGCCAGGTGACGCCTTGCCGAAGTCTCAAACACGCACTTGCTCAGCCAGGCTGGTCCATGGGCTCTTCCCCGAGGACTTCAGCTTCCCCACAAGCGTTGCTGGAAGGAGACTTCCCTGACCCAGCCAGGCTTCCCAGGGGGATGATTCTAGTGGTCTCAATAAAGCTCCTCTGTCACGATGCTCTAACCAGCCCACCCACAGAACCATCAGCACAACGGGACACGAATGGAGATGCTGCTGCAGATAGGGGCCTGCCCGGACCCAGGAGAACAGGACCCAGGAGAACAGGCCCCAGCTCCCTCTGTCCAGGCCATCCTCCTCCCCAGGGCTCCTGATGGGGTCCCGCAGGAGGGAGCAGAGCAGAAGGGGCCTGGGACAGCCATTCAGAAGCCTCAGCCCTCGCTCCATCCTTCAGCCCCGCAGGGACCACTGCAACCCCCAGGAGCATAGAGCGAGTCCTGCCAGGGCCTCCAGGGGTTCGGGGCTCACCTTTTCCACAAGCTCTTGATTTCTCCGGTACAGTGCCTGCTTCTCTTCAATCCACTTCATATCCTTGCAAATGGAATTGAAAGAAATAAAGACACTGAGGGAGGAACTCATAAACCAACGTTTAAATCGTGATGTGGCAGAACACCAAAGACCAGTCTGGCCAGCGTGGCAAAGCCCCGTCTCTACAAAAAATACAAAAATTAGCCGGGCGTGGTGGCACATGCCTGTGGTCCCAGCTACTCAGGAGGCTGAGGTGGGAGGATGGCTTGAGCCCAGGAGGTCAAGGCTGTAGAAAGTTATGATCGCACCACTGAAGCTTGTCTTTAGGTACAGCCAAATACCTCCCACCCACGTGTGCCCCCACGCCCGTGCAGATGGCTGCAGGCTCACCTGCCCCTGCTCCGCCAGGGCCTTCTCCAGGTCCTCTATCCGCGCCTGTGCCCTCTGCACTTCGGCTTGTAGCTGCTCACGGGTCTGTAGGACGGGAGGAAAGATACATCAAATTTTCTCTAAAAGCTGGGACAGACAGCACACACACTCGTGGGACGTCAGAAGGGTCTGTCTTTTGGTTCAGTTCATTGAGAAGTGACTGTTCGCCCTTCCTTTGGAAGAGATGCTTTCTAAGAGAGGGAGAACTGTTTTGTTTTTTTTTGAGACAGGGTTTGGCTCTGTCATCCAGACTGGAGCTCAGTGGCACAATCTTGGCTCACTGTAACCTCCGCCTCCCGAGCTCAAGTGATCCTCCCACCTCACCATCCTGAGTAACTGGGACCACAGGTATGCACCACCACACCCCACTAATTTTTGTATTTTTTGTAGAGACGGGGTTTCACCATGTTGCCCAGGCTGGTATCAAACTCCTGAGTTCGAGCAACCCACTTGCCTCAGCCTCCCAAAGTGCTGGGATTACAGGAGTGAGCCACTGCGCCCAGCCCTGGAGGGAGAACTTTAAGGCTTATTTGAAGCAAGAGATCTCACTTAGATTCTAAGGGGAAATCCTGCAGGTTGATTTTGAGAGCCTGTTAGGAGAAATCTTTGTTTACAGGATGACACAGCCAATGAGGATGACTGAGGCCTAGCGTGTGCTCAGCCCTGCCAGGTGCCGGCCAGAGGGCTTTGTTCGAGGGACTCTCCACATGGACCCGCTGGAAGCCCCGGGTGGTGCCGCTGCCTGTACTGGAGCTGCCCCTCTGGAAGCCCCGGGTGGTGTGGCTGCCTGTGCGGGAGCTGCCTCAGCCCAGGGCTCACTGCCTTCCTGAATTCTGTGTTCCTTAACTGACTCCCAGAGCCCGCCCCACATCTACAGGAAAAGCCCTGGCGCTTCCCCCGTCCGCATCCTGGTTTGTGAAGTCCCTCCCGAGTGCCACCGAGGCTTCTAGCCGAGGTCTGAGCCACCTCCCTTAATTCACTTTGCTGTGGTGGCTCCGAACCATGGGGCCACAGTGGCTCCTGCTCTCTCTGGGGATAGCTTCCAAGGGAGAGGTGCGTTTCGGGACAGGACGCAGGGTCAGAGGATCCATCAGCCGGGGTGGGGGGTGGGCGAAGGCGTGACCTGTGGTGCCCGCCCCCGAGTGCTTGGTCCCAGCTCCCTGCCCCCAGGCCGTCCTGGGCTCCTCCCATCACCCCAGCCTCTTCCCTCCCTTAAGGGGTCACAATCGTGGATGTGAGCCCTTGGGTTGGAGAATGCTTAGCAGAGAGGGAATTCCAGTTAGTCCTAACCCTGTTTCCGGACAGGGAAACGGAGCCCACAGAGGGCTGTGGGCCCCCTGCAGCCTCAGGACCGTGGCAGGGATGGGCCCACGTCCATGTCTTCAGACGCCTGTCCTCTCCTGCCCCCTTCCTTATCCTGAGGCTTCCTCGATTTCCACAGTGAGGAGTGACATTTCCAATTATAATACAGAATCAGACTGTGGGATGCCGGCTAGTCTATTTTCTTCATTAATCTTTTCTGTATCTTCTAGTTTTTAAAATAACCATGCAGCACTTCTCGGCATCAGATTTTCCTCTGATTCTAAATGACATTAAACTTTTTTTTACATGCAGTTTGGACATTTTTACTCTCTAAGCAAAGCTTCTGAGTTCTTTGCTTCCATGTGGCCCCCGAGCAAATGTTTCTCTGGCACCCGACAGGAAAAAGGGAAGACAGGATGCTTTCTCCAGCTCCTCCAGCTCCTGGCGAGCTTGGCCAGGAGGATGCGGCTGTTGCCCCGCCCCCGCTGTGAGGGAGAAAGGCTGGGCCCATGAGGCTCTGGGATGTCTCGGGGCTGCTGTGCTTTATGATGCTCTGAACCGAGGCCTTGACTTTTTCCTTTCTCCAAGGGTCATGCAAAAATTAAGTCAAAGTGAAAGAGGCGATATTTAAAGTCCCCAGTTACGGAGACAAATCTCTCCGAGCCTGAGGAGGGGACGCCCCCTCCAAGGCCAGCCCCCCCCACCCCGACTCAGGACAGGAGGAGGGCACAGAGGGGTGGAGCTCTCTCTTAGTTTTCACAACAGACGTCCCCAATGAGGTGCCAGGAAGGCAGGAGGGAAACCAGCCACGTCACCAGGGCGGTCTGGGTGGACAGAGGATGAGGCTGGCGGCTCCCTGGGGCACTAGCGTGGACCACGCTGGGGATGCTCTGTGGACACTCTCCCCTCGCCCCAAGAGGTCCGTCCCCCACCCAGCTCAGCCACCCTAAGTTGCAGAATTGCCAGACACTGGCATCTCTGGCCCTGCAGGGTGGTTTTGGGGTGGGGAGGCCAACGGGAACCCCACACCCCACAGCTGCCTGCTCTGGAGAACCCCTCAGCTCCCCCGGAAAGCAGCCCGTCTCGCTGTGAGGGGTACCAGGTGCAGGTCCTCCAGCGGCTTCCCCTCCGAGCCTCAGTAAGGGAGGGTGGGGCGGCAAGAGGACCCCCGACCCATGGCCCACGCTCTCCCCACGAGGCCTGGTGCCTGCACTGCCCTCCACGGCCCGCAGAGGGCACCCGCCAGCCACACTGAGGCCTTTCCTGGGGGACGACGCTAAGGTGAGCCAGGGAAGTGGGCGGAGGGACACGGCTGCTGGGGTGCTGCCCAGTGGGGAGGCCGGGGGAGAGGGGCCGGGGCCGGGGCCGGGGCAGGCACAGCCTGTGTGAGCTCAGCCTTTGAGGATGAATGACCTCCACAAGTTTCAACACCGAGCTCGATGCTGCCACGGGCCATCGCCATGCTGCCAAGAGTGGAAGAGGTGGTCTGGAAGGAGGCCCACCCTGGGCGCTGTGGGCCCCTGCCACCACTACCACCCCGCCTCCCCCAGGACCCTTACTCACACCTGTGCCTGGCACCGCTCTGGGCCAGTCCCTCCCACCTGGGCCAACTCCCAGCACCGGGATCCCCAATCCCTGGTTTTGATCGGCTTCCATGGGCACCACCAGGACTGCAGGCAAGGGCAGGAGAGGAGGGGCCCGGGCCCAGGAGGGCTAGTGAGGGGGGTGTCCCAGCCCAGGCCACGGGGTCAAGCGGGAAGGCACGAGGGGGGCCGGAACGCGCGGTGGAAGTCACGTAGACCTTAACTTCTCGCTCTGCGTCCAGCGTCCCTCCAACCTGCTCCTGCAACAAAGCGTAGGCACGCTGCAGGGCCTGGTACTCCATGGTCAGCTGCCGGAACCTCAGCTCCGTCTCCTCCTTGGCCATGCCCTGGAGAGACACGGATGCCACACACGCACAGAGACACAGTGTCAGTAGCCAGCACCTCCTCCGATGGCGGGGCCCCGGGGCTTCCCTTCTCCCCAGATATCAAATGGTGTATGGGGGGGTCTCTCTAGCAGCATGAGGGAGGGGACCTGCTCCAGTGTGCAGGGAGGGGCGGCTGCCTGGGGACTCAGTGCTGTTTGGAGAAAGGTTTCCCTGGGGAGGGGAGCACCGAGCCCTGGGGTGGGAGCTGAGTCGGCTGCACGGCTGAGGACAGGGTGAGCCTGCTGGGCTGGTGGCCATGGCCAGGGGCTCAGCTGGGGCTCCTGCTTGCTAGCCAGGCTGCCCTGACCCAGCAGACCCTCTGTTACCAACCAGGCCTGCACACGCTCTGCTCTGCTGAAACACGTCCTGGGAAGAAAGCTGGGCTTTGTGAAGGGGGTAAAGTACCCCAGGCAGCACGTCTCCTCCCAGGTGCACTCTTGCAGGCTCACCCTGCTAGCTGCAGTGCCCCCCGTCACCCCAGGGAGAAGACAGGTGAGCCTGCTGCTGCCTTCAAAGGGTCCCGGTGGACCCCCGGGGCTGGAAGGGTTGGCCACGTCTAGGAGTGACTGAGCCCAGAAGCCTTGGCCTGGCCCAGTTCCCCTGCCCAACCCTGCACCTGAGGCTGTGAGAGGATGTCTTAGATCCCTCAACAGGTCTATGGCCATTGGGCCACCCTCCAGGGTCTGCCACGGGAGGCCCAATCCTTGGCTGTGCCATTGACTGCAGACCCCACTCCTTGTCCCACAGCCACAGGGTCTGGGTCCCACAACACCAAGCCCCGACCTGGTGCTGAAATGGCTGCCTGCGCCTGAGGGTAGCCGTCCTTCTGGAAGAAGGGGCTGGTGGGCAGACACACCTGTGCTGTTATCAGAAAGAAAACTCCTGCTCAACACCCCTCACCCTAATGTGCTCTTGGCACTGAGACCAAACTCCCTGATGAGTGGTTCAGACCCTCCTGGGGAGGCCCCTTAGGAAGGGAGAGCTCACCGTACCCCTATGCAGAAGGGGCGTAGGCTCAGTGGCAGAAGGAGGCATGGTTTGGCCTTCATGGGAGCAAGAGCGGGCCTCAGCCCACACCCCAAGCCATGTCATGGGAGCTTCTCACCGTGCCCGAGTCAGCTATCAGCGGGTCAGTGCCAGTGAGGGCCGCGAAGGGCTTCCCCGTGAAAAGCCGGCAGCCCATGCCCAGCCAAGCCCAGGACCCGGCAGGAGACCCTCGTTACCTCCTCCAAGCCCAGGACCCGGCAGGAGACCCTCGTTACCTCCTCCAAGCCCAGGACCCGGCAGGAGACCCTCGTTACCTCCTCCAAGTCATCGTCCGGGGTGCACGGGGTCTGGTCCGTCCTGTCTGTTTGGTAAGAGACGGAGGAGCCGTCGGATTCCAGGGAAGCCTCTTCGTCGTATCCAAAGAAGGTCTCCACAACCACCGGCTTGTGACCAAAATGCGACGTGTCAGTTCAAACCAGACCCAGGCACAGCCGCCTCCTCCCGCCGCCTCCTCCCGCTGCCCAACGGTGGGGGCCGCAGCCCCACCCTGCGACACACTCCCATCTCTGTCCCTGGCACAGGCCGAGGAGGTGGCCTGGGTGTGAGGGGCGCTCTATGGCAAGGCTGGCAGGGCGGGTGGGGAAGGGGCCTGGAGTCCCGTGGGTGAGCGGGTCCTGGCCCTGCCCTTGGTGGTGGGGAATGAGGCCCTTCGTGGGGCACCGTCCCTGCGGTTCCCTGAGGGTGGTACCCGGGTTAACAGAACCGACGATGGGTGCCTTCCCTGTGTGATCTCATTCCCAGTGATGCATTTCTGTTCCATTTTTTAAAGTTTCAGTCCTTGACTGATTGGAATACAAACAAAAACGGGGTCCTCCGCCAGCTGGTGTGAGAGGCCCTGCCTTTGGGGACCCTCCAGGTTCACCCCGACGTCTGCATCTTTAGGGCCCCCTCACCCCTGCCTTCAAGAATCGAAGAGGGACTCATCTGGGTCCCCTTCAGAAGTGTTACAAAATGGAAAGCCCGCCATCTTCTTCAGTCCCTTCTGCCGTGGCCACAGTGGCCTCCAGGTCTCCTCCCAGTTCTTCTGCCAGAACCTTCCAGCAAAACTCCCTCAGGGACCCCAGGGCCACCCGACTTCCCCTACTCCCCGCCAACCACTGGCCCCTGTCCTGTGTGCCTCCCCACACCCTGTGTCCTCCCTTCACAGGGCCAAGGCGTCTGCTGGACACTTCCAAATCCCAGAGGGGTCCCGAGCGGGGAGAGCCTGGACAGCTCCTCCTCTCCACCTTTCAGAGGGCAAGTGTTTGTGACCGAGGAGCATCTCACAGTCTAACAGCGAGAAAACACTGCTGACAGCTTACAAGCCACACACACACTCACACTCACACATACACACTCACATACTCTCACACACACTCACACATACACACATGCAGACACATATACACTCACATGTACACACAAACACACACACACACTCACACATACACACTCACATACTCATACACTCACATACTCACACACGTACAGACGCATATACACTCACATGTACACACATACAAACACACACACATACACATACACACTCACACACATACACAGATGCATATACACTCACATGTACACACATACACACACACACATACACACACAGATGCATATACACTCACATGTACACACATACACACACACACTCATACACACACATACACAGACACATACACACATGTACATACACACTCATACTCACATACACATGCACACACACACAGATGCATACACACACATGTACACACATACACGCACTCACACACACATACACATACACACACACACACACACACTCAACATAAAGCAGGAGATGAGTTAGGTCCTTTGGCAGCTGCTCCAAAGCCTCCCTTAATAAAAATCATAGGTTTATCACAAAGGATTCTACTGTAGAGAAATGATGACAGGTGTTCACATTTCCTGGGGACGTGGGTCTGCCCTGTGGGGCCTGTGGATGAGGCTGCCACAGCCTGCAAGTGTGGCCGAGGACGGTGAACGGCAGGACAGGCGAGCGTGGGGTGTGTGGCACAGCCAGGATGGGTGAGTGTGAGCAGCCTCAGCCGCCCGTCCTCAGAGCCGTGCATCCCACAGGTCGTGGGGACTCGGACCCTACACAGGCAGTGAGGACACCAGAGCCGGCACCTCTTCATTGCTAGTGTTGCTGGTATGGTTGTTACCAATTCCTATCTTCTCTTGGAAATTTGAAAGAAACAAGTTTATTAAAAATGATAAACAGAATATTTTCTTTGGGTCCTATTTTGGTCATTTCACAGTAACAATTTTTAGAAATAATAAAATTGTTTTTTCATCTCCAAAGACTGATTCCTACTAAGCACACGCCAGCACGCTCTCCACACACACCAGCGCTCTCCACACACGCGGGCGCGGTCCTCGGCACACACACCCAGCGCCCTCCACATACACCGGCGCACCCCTCTCCGCACACACCCGGCGTACTCTCCACACACGCGGGCGCGGTCCTCTCCACACGCACCCGGCATACTCTCCACACACGTGGGCGCGGTCCTCGGCACACACACCCAGCGCCCTCCACGTACACCGGCGCACCCCTCTCCGCACACACCAGCGCTCTCCACACACGCGGGCGTGGTCCTCTCCGCACACACCCGGCGTACTCTCCGCACGTGCCGGTGTGCTGTTCCTTACCTTGGGAAGTTTTGCCATTTTCTTTCTTTGCTTCCGGAATCTTAACAGCTTGTCCCGCTCCTGCGGAAGCCAGTTGAAGAGGTTGTGTAAGTGGTAGAGCAGCTCCACCGGTTTCAGTCCACGGTTTACTGCCCGTGTGCCATCATTTGGATGACAGGGAAGACGGTGTCTGGGCTGGCTTGTCCCCACACCACAGCGGGAGGCCCTGGCTCCAGCTCTGCTCCTCGGGGAGCTCCTGTCTCCAGGGTGACACGGACGGCTCCCCAATTAGGTGGGCTCTGAGCTTGTCTTGCTCAATGGTCTACCAGCTCCCCTTCTAAATGCGTCCAGGGGCCACACGGGGCAGGTGACTTGAGGGGCACACAGTTGTGGGAAGCTGGAAGGGGACTCATGGCCAGGGCCCCTCCGGACCCTGCAGGGGTGGCGTCCACATCTGTGTGGGGACTGGCGCCCTTAAAATACTAAGGAGACCAGGGTCCTGCTGCTCTCCGGGGAACCCATGCTGTGGTTTCATGGCCGTGATGGTGAACCTCTTGGGCTGCGGCTGCCTGTCTGTGCTGGCCAGGGAGAAAGGCATGGTGGGGTGAGCAGCCGGAGAAGGGCAGCCGTCTGACCCTGGCCATTAACTGAGAAACATGATCGTCCCAAGCTGGTGCTGTCTCAACTGGGGCATCAGTGGGTGTCCCTGGCTCCTCTCTGACCCACACTGAAGGGCGTCAGCCACCCGTGCACAGCCTTGGCCAGGTGGCACTGCAACAACAAAATCCACCCGAAAGGCTGCCGCGGCCGCTTCTGTCTGGTCTGTGAGGAGCCCTGGGCACAGAATGGGTCCCACGGGCAACTGCGTGGGGAGCGGAGGCGTGGGGAAGCGGGCGCTGACCATACTTACTAACACGCTCTTCACGTAGCCGGCGGTCTCAAGGGTCTAGGAAAGGAAGACAGCATGTTACGGAATTGCTCAGGGTCCCTGTTAGCCAAGCCCCTTGGGAGCCAGAGGACGGGGCCGCAGCAAACAGCCCGCCGGGTACCTTAGACAGTTCATCTATGAGGTTTTGCTGCTCCACAATCTGAAGCTTCAAGAAATCGACTTCTCTCTCATCCTGACTTTGATCAAGGTCATTCAAGGAACTGGGTCTCCGTATGATTCCAGCTCTCTGTCTCTGAAACGCCAAGCAGCCCACATCACAAGTTGGGGAGTGAAGGGGTCTGGCTGAACACAGTGGGTCGGCGGGGGGGTCTTCTCCCTCAACCCGGGCTGCCACTCTCAGCTGCCCGGCTGGCGGCCTCTGCTCAGGCCTCAGAACAGCCCAGCTGCAGAGTCCCTGGGGAAATGAGGCCTATGTGGGCCCAGTCCTGCAGCAAGGGCAGGTGTGTGCAGCCCGGACAGACACACATGGGCCCTGCGGGTCTCCCAGAAAGCATGGCTGGAGGGGATCGCTCACAGCCCTGAAGCTGACACTGGGTCATCTGTGCCCATTTCCCATGTGGCCTCCTCTCCCAAATCCCTCCTGACTCTAATTCAGTGTGAAAAGAAGGGGGCTTCCATAGAGAGGGGTAAGGAGAGCGCCTCTCCCCCACATCCGGCTGAATTACTCATTGAGTAAACTCTGGCTTCATGGCCTTTGGGGTCCTCAGGGCAGGGGAACGTGGTGACACCGGCTGACGGCCCCCCACTCCTGGCTCATGGCCTTGGCGGAGCAGAGACTCCCTGCCCCCGACTCCTGCTTGGCGCTGTGTGCCAGGCCTCCTCTCCTCCCCAACAGCCGGGACTCCGCAGCCTCTTACTACCCTCGCCCGGGATTTTCCGAGTTGGAGGCCACCTGTTCCAGGCCCTTGAGTGAGACGTGGGCAAACAGGCCTGGGGAGGGGACGCCCCACAGCCGCATCCTTTGCAAGGTCAGGGCCTCCTCCAAGGGTCCCCCTCCCCAGGGCTGGGCTTGGCGGTTGCTCCCCTTCAAACATGCGTGAGGCCAGACTCCAGCAGAAGGCCTGGCCACCCGCCCGGGACCGGCTGTCATGCTAAATCTTGCGTGGAGAAGGGAGGAGATGCTGCCTGGAGCTCGGGTGCGACCGTGGCCCCGTGGAGCCCCCCACCCCCTCACCATTTCTATGTTCTCCTGGGTGACAAATTTTAACTTGTTTTCCATTCGGCGTAAAGCATGAGACAAATCCTCGTTCTTCCGACTGAGGCGCTTGTTTTTATCCAGCAGAGGCTTGTACTGACTCTCAGCTTCTCTTACGCGCTTCAACTGAAAGACAACGCACTATGTGATTGTTCTTTAAGTGACGGAGAACCAGCAGGTCTCCACGCAGAGTCGGCTGACTGACCACAGCTTGGGCTGCAACAACGCAGTCCCCAGCCCTCTACTTGGGAAGTCCACGCCTCCAAGTGGTGCCCACTGGCCCAGCGCCCGGGTGAACCCACTTGCCCAGAGCACTGGTGAACCTGCTCGTCCAGTGCCCAGGTGAACCCGCTCGCCCGGTGCCCTAGTGAACCCAAGCTCAGGGCTGGGCTCGGCGTCCCCGGGGGTGAGTCCCGTCCCATTGACAGATGGGGATGAAGATGAAGACCAGCAGTCTGGGGCCAGCGCTTTGTCTTGCCAAGAAGGGCTGTGGTAAAACCACCCAGCCTACTGGACCCTTGCAGACACGTGACAGCTCACGCACCCTCCGGGATATCGAGTTACCTGGAAATCTCAGTGGCTATAAGGACCAATGGCAACAGCCCCACTGAGAGGCCGCGTCTGCACATCCCAGATCACCTGCAGAACAGAGGCGGCTTCTGCCCCCACTAACGCAGAGCAGGGGTTAGTCAACCAGCCCTTGAGGGGCAAATGTGACCCCTACCTGTTTTTGCTAATAAAGTTCAACTGGAACACAGTCAGGAGACTTCGACGCAAGGCCGGTCCTTGCAACCACCACTCCTTTACGCAAGGAATTTTGAAAGTGGATGCCCCCCAGGTCCCCAGCTCCGCAGTCACAAACCCCCAGGAGCCAGAAGCCCCCGCCCGCGCTCACCAGCTCATTCCTCTCTTCCGACAGCAATGCATTGCGGTCCTCCAGTTTGCGGATAATCGCACTTAACTCCGCGATTTTAAGCTGGAAGCGCCGGGCATCTTTTTCATCCAACTGCTGTTCCTAAAACAAAAATCAACTGCAAATAACGGTTCCTACCCACAAGCCTGGGAAGCCTTTGCAAATCCCAGCACGCTACGGGAACAAAAACGCTGCCGTGGGACGCGCGCCTTTACCTCCACGCGGCTGCCGGGAAGGTTCGGAGCCCCCCGGGGAAAGGCACCCAGCCTGGCACTGTGGTTGCCGCAACCGCGTGAGGCAACAGAACCGACGGGCAGAGCGAGACCCTACCTCACACACAACTATTTTAAAATAACATAAAGTAAAATAATGAAAAGGAGCAGACATGTCTAGAAGTATGCAGATGGAGAGGGCGGGGGCGTGCAAATGCAGAAACCGCGAGTGTGGGTGATGCCAGGAGGACGTCTGCCAGCTCCCAGCCCTCTGCCTGGCCCCTGCCGCTGCCCCTTCAGGAGGGTGCGCGCCCCCTGCCCCACGGGGCGGCATTTCTCTGGTACGATGACATGAGCACGGGAAAGACACTTGTGGGAGACTTCCAAAAGAGGTGACCTGCCTCCAATGGGGCTTCTAAAGAGCCGCTTTTGGGACCCCTGGGACTTCACTCAAAAATTGGTGAAAACATTTGAATCCGGTTTCAGATCTCTCTGGAGTGAATGCTGTAGTCTACCACGCACCAGCAGGAGGGGCTGGATCTCATTCAATGAAGCTGTCTGAATGAGATCTTAAAATAATATTTTCTATTCTTGAAATGTCACTGTCCTAGGACCGGCTCAGCTCACACACAGTTTTATCCTCAAAGCGAACAAGCAGCATCCAGGATGGTCCTGGGCCCGACTCGAGTTCCTCATTCAACAGGTGCAGGAGAGGCTCGGGGTCAAAGACCCAGAAGGACCAGCTGGAGGGTCCCTGGACTTCAGATCCCCCAGCGCATCCCAGAACCACGACAGAGGATATGAGTGCGGAGCGGCAGCAAGGAAGCGGGTGGAGCTCAGCCCGGGGTGGTCGGCAGACCCCACACGACAGAGCGGCCCAGGGAGGAGCGCAGAGTGGCATGATCACATGAGAAGCGGGTGGGAGGGTGACTGGTGATGAGAGTGCCGGAAATCACCCTTGAGGGGCCAGCTGGGCACGCGGTGGGCAGGGAGCCGGTGCACCAGCCTTCCCGGGCCAGAGGCAGAGGCCGTGTGCTTGGAGATGGTGGCAGCGCATACCCAGCACAGCCTCCTCCCACCAACCCAGGGCCGGACTCCGGGCCAGCAAGTGCCATGAACTGCAGCAGAAGGGTGATGAGGCCGGGGCCCACGGGAGGGTGACAGGGCCAGAGCTGATGCTATGTAGACAGAAAGGAAGGAGACGAGTCCACCAGCCCTCTGGACCAGAGCCAGAGGAGCTGAGCACCTAGGGCCAGGCTGGGTGGGGAGGTGCCCAGGCAGGAGGGTGCTGCCTCAACTCGGGCTCTGGTCTCCTGGGGGAGTGGCCCATGCAGGGCCATGCAGCCACATGGCCAGGTCTGTCTGTGACACGGGGTGGGCCGGTGGGCCTGGGAGGTGCTTACAGGGCTTCCCGAGTGGTCTGAAGCGTCTCCTGCACCAGCTGCATGAGGAAGTTCCCGTCTGGGGCTGCCCGGGTGCCGGTCGGCCTCTCGGACCTGGGACAGCTGCTCATCTAGAGCCTCTTTTTGGAGCTGCAGTCTCTGAGCATGCCCGGCTTGAACCCCTAACTCTCTCTCCAGCACGAAGACTGCTCTGTCTTTAAATTTTATCTCCTCCATCTACAAGGAGAACAGAACACAATCACACAGGCGGCAGGACACGGATCTGCAGTTACCATAGAAACGGGCGCAGCCCTGCCAGGCTCTGGGCTCTGAGACCGGAAGCAAAAGCGAAGCATCCTGGACTAAGAGCAGGAGCCCGTGGCCCTGGGCTGAGGCACGACACCCGGGCTCCCAGCAGGCCCTGGCTCAGCCGGCTACGCAGAGCTGCTGCCAGCGGGAGACTCCTTCCTGACGGTCCCCGGGCTCTGTGTGCTCAGCAAGGCACCCCATTCCGTGCTGTCCTGCCGGGGCCCTGGGTGCACACAGGGGTGGTACTTTCTAGCAGGGTCAGCAGAAACCACCTCCAGCTCCTGACTCTGCTGTAGGTTGGACAGAGAGGAGGACACCCAAGTTACCCACACTCTGCCAATAGGAAGGTGCCACGGCCAAGTTTCTTCCCTAAACAGGCAGGGGAGACCATGGGGAACAGAAATTCTGGCCTGAAAGCCAGTGCTACCCCTTCCCCAGCCCAGGCCCACTCCCCAGGGGAGGGCTGTGCAACGTAGGGGCACCACTGTGGTCCTTGGACACCGCCCCTCCATGCTTCTGGGCATGGCTACAAAGCTGGGGCCCCGCACAGCTGTCTTCAGGCAGAGCCACACTGCTCATTAATCTGGCTGCGAGCCAAGGCTTTTGGGGTGAGACGGCAGCCCAGGGGTGTGCAGGATGTCTGCCCCACCAGTGGCTGTGAGAGGTCGGCGGCCCTCCCCACCCTCCCTACAACGTGGCGCTTTGTGCTCAACCTATGAAGGGAAGAAGTCCTTCCTTCCGGGGATATGGCAGCCGCTGCCTGCAAGTACCCCGCCCCGCTTCCGGGCAGGAATGTGCCAGCCAGAACGCGGGCACAGCAGACCCGACAGCCCCCGCTCTTCAGACAGACACGCTCGGCACTTTGGGCATCATTTTCCACGGCACTAGATTTATGAAAAGACAAGGTCTTTGGGGATGAACAACTCAGTTTGAAATATATTTTCAAACAACAGAGCAGAATGGGATATCTTGCTGCTTTACCCATTGTTTGAGGTTTAAACAAGCTAATAAATCTGCTATTGCTGAAATTAGCTTGGAAACAAAGAAATGAGATGTCTAATTAGCCTGGATGGAGCAAGTGATGAGCTGAACAGAAGAAAATAAATCCTTAATTGCTAAATCCCCATTTTCTCTGCACACAGCAATGCTGAAAGAGGCAACACAGTCAGTTAGCAGGAATGGGGCCGGTGAAATAAGAGCGTGTCCATCAGCAGCTGTGCCTGCGGCCTGGCATTTACACTCTCAGACTCAAACAAGATTTTCTTTTATCAGGAGCCCCCACCTTGCTCACGGTGGGCTGTTTCCAGCAGCAGGCAGGGCAGGATTCGGGGGCTTCCCATGCCTGTGCAGGCGCCGCACCCCACCCTGCACTTCTTCCCATGGGGCTGTGGGTGGGGGGCGGCACACCTGTCTCCTGTCCCACCTGCACCCACACAGACACCCGGGGGAAGAGCCCTCCCAGCGGGTTCCGGACTGAGAGGGCTCCCAGGACACGGGACGTTCAAAGCTGAAACAGGCGTCCTGGTGCACCAGGCTGCAAGCATCACCCCACTGCCAGCATCTTCCACTGGGACGAATGCTATGGCTTCCAAACGGCCGCCCTGTGTCCTCTCCTGTGCCTACCCAAGCTGCTCCACTCACAACCCTAGAGTCAGCTCCACAAACAAGAGTCAGAGGCTGTCATAAAACATCCTACCCCGGCACTAAGAACAGGATCCACAACACTTGCTGGAGCCCCCGGGTGCCCCAGAGCTCCCATCTCCCCGGGCCCGACACCCTCACCCCTTAGGTACCCTGTCTCTCAGGCCCCCATACCCTCACCCCATAAGCTCCCATCTCCCCTGGGCCTCACACCTGCACCCCAGAGCTCCCATCTCCCACACCCTCACTCGTTAAGTCCTGTGTCTCTCAAGCCCCCACACACTCACCCCATAAGCTCCTATCTCCCCAGCCCCCCACACCCTTACCTCATAAGCTCCCATCTCCCTGCCCCCCGACTCTTCCCCATACTCTTCATCCCCTGAACTCCCGTCTCCCCACAACGCCCCCATACTCCCTCACCCCATGAGCTCCCTCTGTTGCCTTCCCCACCCACCAGGACCTCCTCACTCCCAGCTGCAGAGGATGCCTGGAAACTGGAGAGAAGCCCCTTGAGACGGTACTCTCCAGGACAGGGGGTGTGCAGGCCGACGCTGAGGCTGGAGGAGAGAAGATGCCCCTCCACTCTGCCCGCCCCCGACTTGCCTGCCCCCAAGCATGCCCCGCACAGTGTCTCTCTGCATGGGGCCCCGACATGCAGCATCACAGCCACCTGTGACGGCTGTCCATAGGCAGAACCCTGAGCCCCCCAAGATGAGCATGTAGAACCTCTAGGGTGGAGCCTGGGAAGCTGCATTTCATAAGCCTCCCTGCTGTGAAGCCCACGGACATGATCTCACCACTGCCCCACAGTGCTGAGGCCCCTGCACACATGCGTCTCGCCACAGCCATGAAGCATGCTCACTACACAGGCCACGTCATCACCCCCAGCATGGTCACTGGCAGCTGTGGCTGCTCCCAACCTGGGCTGACCACGCCTCAGTGCCACAGACAGGTGACTGCCTAAGGTGTTGGCAGAGTACCTGCAACCCCCGAGCAGGTCTCCTGACCCAGGGCCCATGGAGCCAGGATCCTTCCAAACACTGGGCCTGTGCAGGGAGCCCTCACGTCTGGCAGGCGTCACTCACACCACCTCTTCCTCCAGAGGAGTCTGCACCTCAGGGGGGCCCTCCCTCCGCATCAACTCTTGGTTCTGTGGGTGGTGACGTGAGCACACGAATGCGCCTTGTGAGACAGAAAAGGCTGCTGCTCCCAGCGGATGTGCTAGAGATAAGGAGATGTGCTTTGTCCTAGCTGGGGCTTGTTTTCCTAGCACAGAGGGTCTTAATGAGAGAAGGAAGGACCTCCATCACCCAGCTCCCAAGAGCTTAGAATGGGTGGGGGAGATGGGAAAAAAATACACAGATGAGATACAGAGCCTGGTCCTATTATTCCCTGTGAGAAAGCAGAGACCTGGGTGGGGGTGCGTTGGAGGTGCTAGAAGAGGCCGCCAAGCCTCCCTCAGCCTCTGGTGGGGTAGGAGAGCTTGTATGATGAGGGGGAAATGTGACATTTTAGGAGCCCAAGCCCCTTGATGTCCCAGAGACACCAGGACTTACTGCATGTCTGGGAATTAACCCTTGGGAATTTTTCTCTAGACAGAATGTCCAGGTCCCCCTCAATCATGGGATAATCTGCCAATACCATGAGAAGGTGGTTCCCAAGCTTGGTGGTCTCGTGCTGGAATCACCTAAGCAGCTTTCTGAAGGAAAAAAAAAAAAAAAAAGGTACTGATGCCCAGAAACTTCTGGTTCCAGACGTGATGGGGTAGTTGGCATTAGACTTACCCTTCTGCGATGAACAAGTCTAGAAGCTGAACAAGATACACAACGCAGGGGCAGGAGAAGGAGAAAAGGAAAGCAGTGCCTGTCAGCACAGGGCCCCGGACACACAGCGTCACAGCCCCTGCGACCGCTGTCCACAGGCAGATCCCTGAGCCTGTAGATCAGTGCCTCTCATCACGGGGCCCCGCCTCCCCTAACGTTTTCCCTGAGGGCGTTCTTGCAACCTCTCTCCTGGGAAACAGAGCCCGAGCTGCAGAGGCCTCTTCTGTTGCAGGACACTAAGATCAGAATTTGGTTGGGGCTGCCACAGCAGCTGGGATTTGGAGAGCAGAGGAGGGAATGGCAGAAAAGGAATGCCAAAGATCTGACTAAGGATTCCCTCAGGTCCCTGGTCCACTGCTAAGCTGTACGTGTGCAAGGCAGGACTCCCAGAGGCCTTGCAGGAAACAGTTCCTGAGAGTCCGAATGGTAAGTAGAAATGTAAGTGGCTGCACATGGCTGTCGAGACACTGCAATTCAAGCCCAGACAGAATAGAAGATCATAGTGAATTCTCTAGACCCTGGCTACACTCCAGGGGCAGGACAATGTCCTAGGATTTTAAAACTTCATATTAAGAGAAAACTAACAGACCTTCCCTAACAAAGCCTGAAACCACACCTCAAAAGGATCCAGGTAGTCTGCTGGTCAGTACTTGTCTGCTTGAACAAAACTCAACATTCTCTAGACAACAATAACATAATGCGCAGCCTCACAACACATCACCCACAGTGCCAAGAATATAATGAAAATCATTAGACACGTGAAGAAGCAGGGAAAAATAACCAATAACGAAGCTAAGTCTGTGGCAGCACATCAACAGATGACTAGAGTTAGCCAACAAGAACTTAAAAAATAATTGTGATTGATAGAAACAGACCCAGAGATGATGAGGATATTGAAGTAAGCCGATAGGAACTTTTTAAATCATTGTAATTAACTCACTAAAAATAATGTAATTAAAACTTTATATTTTTCTAATAGAGATAGAAAATGAATAAAATGCAGTAATTCAAATGAGAATTAGGATCTATTTTAAAAAAGAAGTAGGCACTCAAATCCTACATACAAGGTCTAAAATTAGAAATTCATTACAAAGGTTTAAAAGCAGACTGGACACAGTAAAATCACAAACCCAAGATAAAATGATAGAAAATATCCAATCAAAGCACAAAAGGAAAAAATAGAAAAATAAAACAGAATAGAGCTCAAGAAAAATGTAAGGTATAGTCAAAGTGTCTAACATACATGTTATTGGAATCCCAGAAAGAGAAAGGAGGAGAAGTAATATTTGACTAAATAATGGTCCAGAATTTTCCATATCTGGTAAAAGACATCCCTTCAGATTCAAGAAGCTCAGCTGTCTCCAAGCAGTATTTTTTTAAAATTACAAAAACACACCTAGACACATCATACTGAAACTGATGAAAACCAGAGTTAAAGAGAATATCTTAAAAGTAGACAGGAAAAAAGACACATTGCCTGAAGGAACAATTCTAAGAGTGATGGCTGGCTTTTCAACGGAAACTAACAAAATCAGAGGACACTGGCAGGACATCTCTTGAGTGTTAAGAAAAACGCCTGACAATGTGAGAGTTCCAGGTTCAATGAATACATCCTTGGAAATGAAGGCAAGTCAAGATGTCCTTAGACAAAAGTAGAGAGCGTCCTTTGTTAATACACCCACAATGCAAATAATTCTAAAGGGAATCTTTCAGGCCGAAGGGAAAAGACTGCAGATAAGAAATTGTAAAGATATAAATATAAAAGACCATTGGCTGCTTATGGGAACAGCAAAAGCCATTTCTTTGGGGGCTTATGATATGTGTCAAAGTAAAATATATGACAATCATAGGAGAAGTGGGTAAATGGAGTTGACCTATTGCCTTATAAGGTACTTGTATTTTGGTTATACGGCAAAATTACTAATTTATGATAGAATGTAGTTAAGGATACATATTAATATTTCTCTGTAACTACTAATGGAATAACACTAAATGTTGACAAAAAAGGAGATAATCCCATACAATGATTGGATAACCCCATGGGATAACCCCATCCAAGGCAAGGAGTAGAGAGAGGCAAGACGAGGGAGGGAGGGAAAAAAAAGGAACAGGGGGATGAGAGTAAAAAACAGCGAGAGAAGAACACAAATTCTCAGCATCAGCAATGAAACAGGAGACAGTGAATGGATAACAAGAAGCTCCGATGAAAAGTCTAGCAAGCAGTGAGGTGCCATGGCTCACGCCTGTAATCCCAGCACTTTGGAAGGCTGAGGCGGGTGGATCAACTGAGGTCAGGAGTTCGAGACCAGCCTGGCCAACATGGTGAAACCCCGTCTCTACTAAAACACACACACACGCACACACACACACACACACACACACAAAATTAGCCAGGCATGGTGGCGCACACCTGTAATCCCAGCTACTTGGGAGGCTGAGGCAGGAGAATCGCTTGAACCCAGGAGGCAGAGTTGCAGTGAACCAAGATGGCACCATTGCACTCTAGCCTGGGCAACAGAGTGAGAAACCATCTCGAAAAAAAAAAAAAAAAGAAAAGTCTAATGTCAATAAGTGGGAAGATGTGTATTAACTGAATATACTCCTTGAAGAATCTATTTTACCAAACTTAACATAAAAATAAACATAAAATCTGAACTTTATATTTATTAAATACATTTAATTCATAATTTAAAAATATATCACAAAACTCCTGACCCAAATAGCTTCACTGGTGAATTTTCCAAACACTTAAGGAAGAAATATACTTACGTTGAACAAACTCATTGAGAGAATAGAAAAAGGAGAATAGTTCCAAAATCATTTTATGAGGCCAGCCAAATCTAGATACCATAACTTGGCAAGGACATTATAAAAAGTGGGAAAAAATCCTAAATCCAGTGTATACTTATATATAAAATAGACAATATATCATGGCCCAGTAAAATTTATTCCAAAAATACAATGCTTATTTTATACTTAAAAGCCAATTAACGTGTCATCTCATCAACAGAATAAAGAAAAAAACACATGATCATTTTGATTTATGCATAAAAAGCATTTGACAGAATTCCATAACCATTCATGAAAAAAATGCTTAGCAAAGTAGGAATACGAGGGAATTTTCTTAATCTGATGAAGAGTATTGCTGGCTGGACACAGTGGCTCACACCTGTAATCACAGTACTTTAGGAGAGTGCAATGGCTCACACCTGTAATCACAGTACTTTGGGAGGATCAGTTGAGCCAGGAGTTCACGACCAGCCTGGGCAACAAAGCGAGACCCTGTCTCTACAACAAATTTAAAACTTAGCCAGGTACGGCAGCATGTGCCTGTAGTCCCAGCTACTCAGGAGGCTGAGGTAGGAGGATCACTTGAGCCTGGGAGGTCAAGGCTGCAGTTAGCTGTGATCTTACCACTGCACTCCAGCCTGGGTGACAGAGCGAGACCGTGTCCAGGAAAAAAAAAAAAAAAAGTATTGCCAAAAAACCCACCAAAAACAAAACCAAAACCAACCAACCAACCTGCAGCTAACATCACAGTCGGTGAAATGAATATTTGATACTTTCACCTGCAGCTGGGAATTAGGACAGGAGGTGGTCACTCTCAACACTTCTCTGTTCAAAGTTACACTGCAGGCCTTCACAGTGCATTAAGGCAAAGGAGAAAACAAAAGGTATGAGCTTGGAAAGGAAGACTTAAACTGTCTTCGGGATGAGGTATGGTGGCTCACTCCTGTCATCCCAGCACTTTGGGACGTGAGGCGGGAGGACTGCGTGAGCCCATGAGTTTACGGCTGCAGTGAGATACGATCATGAGAACTTATCTCTCAAAAAACAACCCCCAAAACTGTCTTTGTTCACATACAACATTATGTACATGGAAAATATTTTTGAAATATACAAACAAGCTGTTAGAATTAATAAGTGAATTTAGCAAGGCTGCAGGTTAGAAGATCGATATAAAAATCAATTGTATTTCTGTATAGCAGCGAAAAATAATTGGAAAGTAATATTTTAAAATGTGAAAAGCAGACCATTTATAATAGCATGAAACGTTAAATATTTAGGAATAATTATAATAATGATATGTAAGACCTCTACACTGAAATTTACAAAACATGGCTGAGAGAAGAGAAAAATCTAACAGTAAATACACCAGGTTCATTAAGGTTCAAGGTGCCAGTTTTTCTGTGGAAACTGACAAGCTGATTTAAGTTTCATACAGAAAAGCGGTAACAATCTTGAAGAAGGGAAAGAAGGAAGTTGTAGAACTTAGACGACGAGATGTCAGGATGTGCTTTAGAGTGTCGGAACTAAGACGTGGTACTAACGCCGCAAGGCGGAGCACCAGACCAGCAGAACGTAACGGGGCCTGGAAAGAGACCCGCGTCTGTGGGCTCACTTGATGCACGACCAAAGTGCTATCGCAGTTCAGGGGGAAAGGACGGTCATTTCAAAAAACAGTCCTGAAATAGTTGGATATCCACACAGCAAGCAGGGATATCCAACTCAATCCATCCCAAACCACTCACAAAAACCGAACTCGGACGAATTATAGAATTAAATGTTAAGAGAAAAACAATAAGGCATCTGAGCGACACAGAGGGGGCAACTTCACGCCCTCGGAGGGGCAGAGGATGTCCAAACCGGACACACACAGCACACAAAAGAAACCGACAAATCGGGCTTCCTTAAAATGCCAAACTTCTTTCATCTAAAGCCAGCATGAGGAAGACAACTGGGTCAGCCACAAACTGAGAGAAGCCATCAACGGGGAGAAGGTGAATACTCTGGCTTAATGGCAGGGAAGACATGAGCAGGTGTTTTATGAAAGGTGACATGCAGATGGGCAGTGGAACGGCCAGCCTCTTTCTTGCCGCTGTCCTAAAGAAATGGCAATACTGTCACTGATGAGGATGTAGAACGAGAGGGGGCTCTGCCCACCAGCCGAATGGCTCTTCTGTCTTGAGGTGAAGCAGCTGCCCGACCTACCACACTGCGATTCCCCTCGTCGCCCCATGAACGCACAAGAGAAAGGCATGCACGCGGCCACCCAGGATGTGATAGGTGCTCGTATGATGGCCAAGTGTGGGACATGACTCAAATGCCTCTCACAGAAGGACGGGTGACCGCGTGGCAATGGACATGTGTAGCACAGCTGGCTGGCTCGGCTGTGATGTGCCGGGGTGGGACAGGTGACCATGTGGCAACGGACGTGTGCGATGCGGCTGGCCAGCTCAGCTGTGATGTGCCGGGGTGGGATGGGTGACCGCGTGGCAATGGATGTGTGTGGCAATGGACGTGTATGGCGCGGCCCACCGGCTCGGCGGTGATGTGCCAGGGTGGGACAGGTGACTGCATGGCAATGGATGTGTGCGGTGTGGCCGGCCGACTCAGTTGTGATGTGCCGGGGTGGGACGTGTGATCACGTGGCAATGGACGTGTATGGCGCGGCCGGCTGGTTCAGCTGTGATGTGCCAGGGTGGGACGGGCGACCGCGTGGCAATGGATGTAGGTGATGTGGCCGGCTCGGCTGTGACGCACCGGGGCGGGCAAAGCAGCAGCAGAAGGACGGGTGCTGCCGGGAGGGGCAATCCTGCTGGGCCCCCACCCCAGTGCTGGGTCATGGTGGACACACAGCCTCAGATCATCACACATTTCTTCCGGATTTGAGCCCATTCTCTGTAGACGTTTCCTCAACATCCACAAAATGGAAAGAAAAGCGAACCCTGATGCCAGGCGTTACCCTCTGGAAATTCTGGGTTAGTTCGGCTGTGGGCACAGCCACGCCCTGGGACTCTAAAGGCTCTCAATATTCCCAAACTCGTCCCCAGCAGGTGTCTCTGGACATCCACAGCCAGGACCGTGGGCAGCTACTCAAGGGTGGGCCTTACCTCAGGGACCCCCTCATCATTTGCAAGGCAAGCACCTGTACGGTGAGGCTTTGGCCCCAGAAGCCGATGCTGCATCTGGCTGTGGGTGGCTGGAAGTCACAATTCAGGGTCTTCAGCAAAACCAAAGCATCATGTGGGAGCCAGGCTTGGGGTGCAAAGGAAGCTGCTGCTGCTGCACTCAGCAATGCCATTTTTGAAGACACACTCATGCCCAGACTCTGAGCGACGCCATCAGAGAGCAAGGGCCTGGCACAAGCTCTCGGTCACTTACCTGACACCCGTCTCCAGGCAAAAAGCAAGGACAGGCTACTCCTCCTACCCCTACCCCCAAAATAGCACTTGGGGAGAAACTGACCTCATTTTTATAGCCATATTTGAATGGGGTTTTAATTACTGCTGTATATTAGCATTCCACTTTAACTAGCTGTCTAGACAACTGGGGGAGGAGGAACCAATATTAGAAATCACAGATCTTTACGGGAAGGAGAAACTGGCTTTTGCGTCTAATTCTTTGGATTTAGAGAGTCTTTAACAACGTCTGAACTTGTATTTTAGCAAACGCGCTGAGCGTGCATGCAGTAGCTGCGTGCACCCAGACGGCTCTCTCAGGCTCTGTGATGACATGGCACAGATCTGCCACGCAGCTGCTTCTGGGGCCCCAGCTCGGCCCTGTCCTCAGAGCCTGTCACCATCCAGATGCACGGACAGGATGGGGCACTGGTCATCGCACCTGTGGGTGGAAAGTGCCTCGCCCCTTCCACGTCTGACTTTAGCAGAAATTTGGCCAAGAAAGCCGCTGGGAGCCCAGCTTCTCCAGGAGCACAGAGTGGGCCATGCGCAGACGAGGATTTGGCTCCGGAGCCTTCCGAGGCTCCAGGTTCCTCTGCTGTAAAATCAAGGGGTCTGCACAGTGGAATCACTGGGGCCTGAAGATGATGGGCCCTGGGCCAGTGGGTGATTCCTGAGTTCCCTAGCCAAGGCATTCTGACACGTACAGGGCAAAGCAGCAGCTCTAACCCCAGTGCCACCCACCACAACCTTCTGGGCAGGGAGAGGGCGTCCCTGACCCACTGGATAACCCAGCTTCTCCAGCAGCCCAGCCCTGAGTGCAGCCTTGCAGCCCTGCTGTGCCCAGCCCTGCCCTGGCAGCAGCGACCGTGCTTGTCTGGGGTGTCTGTTGGCTCCCACATCCCCACCCTGCAGGCCTCTCCTGTCTTCCCTCCATCTGGCTTCCTCTCTGAGACCCTGAGCCCTCACCAGGTGCCACACTTCCAGGCCTGCACTTAGGGTCCCAGGACAAGACAGAGGGCTTGCCTGTTAAAGCCTCCATGCTCTGAGAGCAGGTGTGGCCCTGCCCGGCTGGGCTTCTGCCCCTGCCCAGTCCCTGCCCTGCTGTGTGGCCCCTCCAGTCTCTCCCCATCCAGGGCTAACTGAGGTGCCCAGTGGGCTCCTGAGATGGCAACAGCCTCCCGTTGGCACCCAGGAGCCTCGGCCCAGAAGACCCACAGTCAGGCTGGTGTCTGGGCCAAGGCTGGGGTGCTGGGGCAGGTGGCAGTCAGGGCCCCGACAGCCGGGGAGCCGACCGGGGGGCAGTCAGGGCCCCAACAGCCGGGGAGCCGACCGGGGGGCAGTCAGGGCCCCAACAGCCGGGGAGCCGACCGGGGGGCAGTCAGGGCCCCGACAGCCGGGGAGCCGACCAGGGGGGCTGGGGAGGCCTCTGACTCTGGGCCTTTGCGGGGACAGGGGTGCTGTGCTCTTTACCAATGGGCCACCTCTTGTTGAAATCCATTCAACAAAAATTTATTGAACACCTACCGTAGGTGCTGGGGACTGAGTAGTGAACAAAACAGACCCAAAGTAAAGACAGGAGGCTTTGCTGGCCAGAGTTAGGGAGGCAGAACCTTGAATCACGGGGTCCATTTTGGGAAGAGAAGATGATGGTTCTGAGTGTGTGCTGAACACCCAGGACTCCCTCAGACCCTCCCCCTCCTTCACCAGCCCTGCCAGACGCGACTGTCCTCAGGGTGGACCTTGGTGGGACAGGTTCCACCCCATAGAAGCAGCGCCCTCAGAGAGCACATCCTTGCTGGGGTTGTGGCCATGCGTGTGGCGCTAAGTAGCAAGGGAGGCACGGAAACCCCCAGCTCCCACAGTGTCCCAGTCAGGCCAGCCTCGTCCACAGTGCTCTATCCCCAGGCCTGCCCGTCCCCAGACTCAGATACCACCCTCCCAGGGCCACGGCAATGTGCCCACACCTGGGGGTGGAGGCCATCATGGGACAGCTCTCGAGGGAGCAATGTCTGACCGTGAGCAAAGATCGATTCCTCCCAGAGGCTGGCGCTCCCTGCAGCAGAGACCCATCCCTGACCCGCTACGTCCTCACCCAGGGCCCGGTGAGGCCGAGCGTCCCACACCAGAATGTTCTAGGACTCAGGTGCCGGCCCGTGCTATGGCCACAGAAACAGCAAAATGTTTGCCTGATGTAAGGAACCAAGGTTATGTGATATTTTCAGCTGTAATAGTAGCTGTCTCTCGTTGGGAGAACCCGAGGCCTCCGTCGCCCACCTAGCCTTGCTGGAGCCCCATGAGCTGGGTTGGCGGCTGTCCTGGAACCTGGGAATGATGTTCCTCCCGCCTGCAGCTCCTGCCAGGCCCGGGAGGCCACTGTCCTGCCCTGGGCTTAAAGGTCCAGCAGCACCCCCAGCTCTACTGACTCTGCTGACACTTGGGGCAGGGCCCTGCCTCTGGACCCCACCCTCACCCCAGCCTGCCTCTTCTCTGACTGCCCCCAGTCCCCTGTCCCCAGTCCACCTTCCTCCCACTTTTCTGTCCCAGCCCTGTTCCGAGTCCCTCTCTGAGCAGCTTCCATCCCAGACTTCCCCATCCTCATGAAGCTGCCTCTCATGCCCAGGCTGGACACCACGCTGTGCCGCTGCCCCCGCAGCTCGAGCGGCCACACACCTGCCTGGCTCTCCCAGCCCCTCCACCTCACGCGTAGATTTAACTCCAGACACTCCCTCACAGCTGGGCCTGGGGAGCAGCCCTGTCCGTCACCACGGGATTTTAGAGGCCGGGGTGTTCTCTCATAAATGACGGCCTTAAAAGAGAAGATCTGAGGTCCTGGGACCCTTGTCAGTTAGGCAAGGGGGCCCCATTGGGACAGGGTCCCCAGGAAGAAAGGGTCCCGGTGGCTGGATTCCTGATGCCACCAGAAGCTCCATCACCACAGCTGACACCCTCAGGGCACCTCTCACCACAGCTGATGCCCTCAGGGCACCTCTTGTGATATGGGCATGGAGCCAAGTACTCCCTGGGTTTTTCATTATTTTATTTAAATTGCACAAAACCAGGATATAGACAGATAGATAGCTGGGCTCTGGGAATGGGGCTGAGGGTGAACTGATGGGAGCTGTGTCCCTGATGAGGCCTGGGCAGCTGTGGTCAGGGGTGGAGGAAGGAAGTGCATCCCAGCAGCTGTGCGGACTGAGCTGGGCTCCAGCAGCCACCCCTGGGGGAAGGGGCGAGTCACACCGCGGATGGGATGTGAGCCCCCAGCCAATCCCTCCCCCGCAGGACCCAAGCAGACCCAGAGTTCCTGGATGTTGGTGGTGGGGCAGGGGCTCTCACGGGCAACACTGGTCTTCCCACTGACAGGGGTTTAAGCATCGAAACAGTAAATAAAGGAGATGTCCCAAATCTATGGATTCTGTAGGAAAAGATCATGTAAGACTTTGAAATAGGCAAGAGAAGATTTCTGACTGTCCTTGTATTGGAATGCCAGAGGCCCTGGGGACGACCTGACCCTGGGAGGCCTGTGCCTTTGTCTCTGACTAGGCTATTCTACGACTCCATGGAAAGAAAAGTTAAACTTGGAGAAGAGCGTGAGCAAAGTGTGCATTTCCTGGGCACAGGTGGACATGATTCCTGCTCACGGGAATGCAAATGGGTTTTGTCAGGCAGGAAACGTGAATCTCTGTGGGCCAAATCCTCATTTGAATTGGTTGTAACATCTTGTTTCCTCATCAATTAATGAGTTAATAAAATCTTTGACGTGTTCATTGTAGAGTTTGTATGACAGTCATGATTATACCCTCTGCTAAAATTTACCCTTGAACAGTTTGGTTAAAAACCCAAAATTCCAACAGTTCTTTTTAATTTACAGCAAAGATGATTCTGAAATGTATATGGAATTCTAGAGGGCCAAGAAGAGGCAGGTTACTCTTTAAGGTGAACAAAGCAGGAGAACGTGCTACTCCAGAAATGAAGCCTTTTTATAAAGCTAGAATAATTACTACAAAGTAGGGCGGAGGAGGGACTGACAATGAGACACCAGAAAGTCCACTCTTGTAAGAACAGGTGCAATCTGGCAGAGAGGAGCTGTGAGAAAGGGGGAGACGGTTTTTGAAGTAAGGGCTGCTACAGACATAAGTATGCAAGACGAAACTATAACATTTTTAAAAGATGAAGATTCCTGACTCTGGGATCGAAAGATTTCCTAAACAAGACAAAGTGAGTACCAATCCTAAAGGGAAAGATAAGCAAATTAGACTGTTTTACTTTGAAATTTAAGACCTTAGATCATAACACGATGCTGTTGAGCACAGGAAAAGATAACCCACAGAACGGGGAACACACCTGCACTTCGGTGTAAGTTTTAGGACCAGCTTGCCCGTAGCTGCAAAAAAAAAGCCTGTACGGAGGGGAGAGATCTGGCGAGGATGGAGAGTGAAGACACAGGTTGGAGCATGCTTTTGAAAATTTGAAATAAAATCCAGAAGAATCAGCCAGAGGAACTGTGAATAGCTGCCTCTGGGGGTTCAGATCGGGGGTGAGAGGGGATGGCAGGGAACTGCTGGTTTCTGTTACGAGCCTTTACTTAAGAAAAAAGCTGCCTTCCTCTACTGAGAGCATCGAATCCAACCAAGACAAATGAAAGGGTCGTGTGGCACTGGGCAGAGGCAGCCACCTGTCCCTCCCACCTTCCCGGGACAGTGGCAACGCTTCCTTCCTTCCCCGCACAGAAAAGCAAGCATCGTGTCACGCGAAGAAAGCACCCGGTTCTTATGAGTGCTGGTTTGGGCCGGGTCCTTGGGTTGCTAAGGTGACATCGATATGTGGCTTGGGACAGGGCGAAGAGGTGTAGGGGAGGTTGGAACAGGGACCACTTTGGAAAGGAAGGGAATCACCCGGGTTAGGCACGTTTGGGGGCACCCACGTGTACACTGTGGCGAGGTCATATTTACTCCACAATGGCTGGTTCTCCCTTCCTGGCTGTGGGTGTGGAGAGCGGCTGCCCCTCTCTGGGAGTTCCACATGCTGGCCCAGCCTGGAGGCCATCCCTGGAGACCGGAGGCCCCGGGAAGCAGGCAGAGGGAGGCTGCCCCAGGTGCACAGCCACGCCCCGTGGAAAGACCACTGCATCCCACCCAAGGTGCCCGGGGCTCCGGGTCCTGAAGAGGCACAGGGCTGGGGCACGCACCTCTAAGACAGAGCTCCATTTCCCCCAAAATCACAGGACAGTCTCCTCTCCAAAGGACAAGGGGCATCGGGTGGAATCAGTCCCTTGCAATCCCTGGACATTCTCGTCAGCTGAACCCTGGGCCTTTGAGAACATCGACTCTCCTGGTGCCTGCCATGGGTGCCCAGGTCTCTGGAGCTATTAGGCTGCACCAGATGCCAACGTTAGACCTCATTGATCCACAAAACCGGCAGCTCATCTGGTCCAGCCCAAGTGCAACGGTTCTGCAGAGACAGGGACCTCAGGGCAGCTGGGGGCCATCCCACCCCCCGGGGCCTCCTGATCTCGCCTCTCTGGATCCTGTGAGTTCAACTGGAGAATCACTGGAGAATTCCCTCTGAGTCCCCCCGTGAGGATGTGTGGGACTCCTGCTGCGAAACACTGAGCCCTGCCTGGTGTCAGGTGTGACCCGGGACACTAAGAAGAGATGTCCGTGAACCCTGCGGTGTGGATGGGCAGTGCCGATTTCTAGGTTTCTTGCTGTGGCCCAAGTTAAGAAAGGAAGTAGAGCTGGTGTTTGTGGAAAAGGGGAGGTGAGAGTCTGGCCTGCCCCGTGCGGGCCTGACTGTGGGTCTGAACCTTTTCTAGTGGTCTCGTGACTCTAGGGTCCTCAAAACCAACAGGGGTGGCATGAGGAGCCTGTGCTAAGAATGTCATGGGGGGTGAAGCCGGTGCTGCCCGCGTGCTCCCCGAGCCCACGCCTGCACCCTCGCCCACGCCCGCCCCTGCACCCTCGCCCACGCCCGCCCCTGCACCCTCGCCCACGCCCGCCCCTGCCTGCCCACGTACCAGCCTGCGGATCTCCCGCTCGCACTCCTTCTTGATGCGGGTGATCTCCTCCTGGTGCAGGTGGTACACGCTGCGGATCTCTGCGGCCTTGATCTTGTCCGCTTGGATCACCAGCGTCAGCGCCTCCTCCACCTGCCTTTTGGCGCCCTTGAGCTCGGAGATCTCCTGCTGCATCTTGACCTTCTCCACCTCGAACCCCTTCTTGGCCTCCTCCTTGGCCTCGGACAGCAGCACGGTCTTGACCTTTTCGGGGCCGCCATCACGCAGGGCACTGAGCAGTGCCTGCAGCCGCTGGTTCTCGTTGTCCTTGATCTTGATGACCCTGAGCAGCTCAGCCTCATGCTGCCGCAGCAGCGTCTCACGCACAGCCTGTAGCTCCTTCATCTTCTCCTCGTGCAGCTTTGTCTTGAGCTCCGTGAGCAAGACCGCGGTCTTATGCTGCTCATGCTCGCGCACCTGCCGCAGCTCCTGGTTCTTCTCGCGTTCCACTTTGCTGACCTGAAAGACAACAGCGAGACTGAGTGTGGCAGGAGCTCCAGCCATGCACACACTCACACCTGAATGTGCATTTGGGGGAGCTTCCACGTTGCACACACTCACACCTGAATGTGTATTCAAGGGGAGCTTCCACGTTGCACACACTCACACCTGAATGTGCATTTGGGGGAGCTTCCACGTTGCACACACTCACACCTGAATGTGTATTCGGGGGGAGCGTCCATGATGCACACACTCACACCTGAATGTGTATTCGGGGGGAGCGTCCATGATGCACACACTCACACCTGAATGTGTATTCGGGGGGAGCGTCCATGATGCACACACTCACACATCTGAATGTGTATTCGGGGGGAGCGTCCATGATGCACACACTCACACATCTGAATGTGTATTCGGGGGGAGCGTCCATGATGCACACACTCACACATCTGAATGTGTATTCGGGGGGAGCGTCCATGATGCACACACTCACACATCTGAATGTGTATTCGGGGGGAGCGTCCATGATGCACACACTCACACATCTGAATGTGTATTCGGGGGGAGCGTCCATGATGCACACACTCACACCTGAATGTGCATTTGGGGGAGCTTCCACGTTGCACACACACACTTGAATGTGCATTTGGGGGGAGCTTCCACGTTGCACACACTCACACCTGAATGTGTATTCGGGGGGAGTGTCCATGATGCACACACTCACACCTGAATGTGTATTCGGGGGGAGCGTCCATGATGCACACACTCACACATCTGAATGTGCACTTGGGGAAGATTTTTTTGAAAATCACTGAACACCTGAGGAGCAGGTACTGTTCAGGCAAACCTGAGGTCACCCACCGGAATCTGTAACGCGCTGAAAGGTTTTATCAGTTGTTATTCATGAGAATTGTTGGTATCTGAATCAAAAATACGTTCCAGAAGTTGAGATTGTGTTGTTACTGTTTGAAACCGCGGAGAAAAGGCACTTCTTCTAAGAAGCAAAATAGCCCAGCAAGGGCCTGTCTGGGGTTAAGGGAGGACACGCTGTGGGGGTCCTATATTCAGACCACAGTGCCGGGACCGCTGCCTGCCGTGGGCCAGGCTCTGCTGCCAAGGGCTTTGCTCTCCCGCTCCGAGGAGTTTCCAGCACATCCGGCCCAATGCCCGCTTATGGCTGGACACGGCCATACTTCATTGATGACGTCGCCAAATATTCACGGCTCCAGTGGGAGCTGGAGGACAGCTGAGCCCTCAGGGCTGCTCCAAGGTTGACAGAATCTTAAATGAAATGGACAAAGGTCCTTTCATTTTTTTTTCACGAGTTAACTTTTAGTCAAGCCACATTTCTACTAGAAACGACATTTTTCTTTACATCTTATTTCCAGAGAAATTATCTTCTGCTAACCTCCAACAATTGCTCTAGAATTTGGGGTCCTCTTTGGAGACAACTATTTAAGCACTATTTCCTTTACGTGAATGACACGCTGAAGAGGAACACACCAACCTCCTCTGCCAGTCCTGTCCTGCTGGCACCGAGTCACAGGTCAACATCTCCATTTCAAACCAGCCGTAATTTCCCCTGAGAGGACTCCAGGATGATGCAGAAAACTAGAGTGCAAGATCAGGGCTGTGGCGCCTAGAAGGGCCCAGATGAGTGCAGCCAGGCTGACAAGCGGCTGTGCGGAGGCCTCCTCTGGGCCGCTGGTGGGATCCCAGCCCATCGGTAGCAGGGGCCCAGAGTCCCCCTCTGATCACAGAAGTGTACCACTGGCATGACCCCAACCATGATCAGTGCCCCGCCAGGGTGACCCCTAGCCGCGATCGCGGTGACCCACCAGGGTGACCCCTAGCCGCGATCGCGGTGACCCGGCAGGGTGACCCCTAGCCGCGATCGCGGTGACCTGCCAGTGCTGGAGCTGATTGCAGAGCTGTGTAGTATGAACAGTGCTCAGCGCTAATTTGAACAGATAGGCATTTGGCAGCTTGGGGAAGTGTCTATGGAATCGGAGCCACAGCAGCTAACACTTCATGCGTAATTCACCCTCGCCCGATCACAGCAGCCACTCACCATGCTTTTCCCATATCCTGGAAAAATATGTATTCATTACATTGGTTGAATGAAGAAATGAATTCATTGAGGAACGCTCAATTCAAATATTTTTTAAATCACTGGATTTCTATATATCATCAGCAAATAATTAGGAATGAAAATACCAAATGTACCATTTATAATGGTATCAAAAAAACCAACACTTTTGATGACGTGTTAGAAAACACGCCCAAGACCTCGGTGCTGAAAACTACTAGGTGTTACTGACAGAAATTTAAAAGCGTTTAAATAAATGGAAGAATATATCATACTCATGAACCCAAAGACTCAATATTATAAACATGTTTATTTTCCCCAAATTGATCTATAGATTCAATGCAATTCAATGTATAGAAGCTTTTATAAAAATGCAAATCTCCAAATGGATTCTAAAATGTAGATGGAAATGCAAAGAACCAAGACAGAACAGAATCCAAAACAGACTGTCTCAGGGAGCTACCATGACTAACAGCCAACTTCTGCTGTCCCAGCACAGTGGCACATCCTGTAATCCCAGCACTGTGGGAGGCAGAGGCAGGAGGATGGCTTGAGGAGTTCAAGACCAGCCTGGGCAACACAGTGAGACCCCATCTGTACAAAAAAAATAAATTAATTAAAAAATTAGCCAGGTGCAGTGATGCACGCCTGTAGTCCCAGCTACTTGGGAAGATGAAGTGGGAGGATTGCTTGAGCCGGGGGGTAGAGGCTGCAGTGAGCTGTGATCGCACCACTGCACTATAGCCTGGGTGACAGAATGAGACCCTGTCTCAGAAATAATAAGTAAACTTGTGCCATGCTGCACAGAAGCAACAACCATTCCTTGTTTCTCATCAGTCGGGTAGTCAGCTGGAGTCAGGTGGCCTAGGCTGGACTCAGTGGGTACCACGTGGCAATTTTCCTGGGACTGGCCACTAGTCTAGACACAGTCTCCTCACAGAGAGGACAGAGGTAAAGGAGTAAGCAAGGGACACAGAGGGTTGGGCTTGGGCCTGGCCCAGATCACTGCTACACTGGCCAGAACAAAGCAAAGCTCTACAAAGTCGCACGGCACAGGCATCCTCCCGGGAGAGGCGAAGGACGGGACAGTAACGCTGTCTATGACACAGGCTCACACACGTGGCCATGGATTTATTGTAAAAGTGAAACTGCAGTGCAGCGGGTAAAGCCTTTTTTACGTGAATGGTGCCAGGTCCATCTCACATCCACAGTCATACCCTGCTTACTTCATGTGCCAAAATCAATCCCTGGTAGGTTTCCGA
The DNA here is from genome assembly GCF_000001405.40 of Homo sapiens. Lineage (NCBI taxonomy): Eukaryota > Metazoa > Chordata > Mammalia > Primates > Hominidae > Homo > Homo sapiens. The sequence goes on along the minus strand of NC_000010.11, from coordinate 132,113,743 downwards.
TATAAAATTGAAAGGTAAAACAACACAGCTTCTAGAAGAAAACATAGGAAAGTGTCTCCATGACCTGGTACAGGCAAAGATTTCCTCAAAAGGAAAACTCCACAAAGCCCCGCTATCTCTTTCCCAGGCTTTTCTTAGCCCTATGATGAGGAATTCCTCTATTAGCAAACATTCTTCCTCAACAAGATTCTAATGGCTGCAGGGCAGTCTGCTGCGTAAATACAACCTAACGTCCTTAGCAGTTTCCTCAGGCTGGGACAGCCAGGTGGCCGCTTTGTTCCTTATCATTAGCAGAGCTAAAACCAACACCCTGTGTATCTGCTGGATTCCGCTTTTTCTAACAGTGGAGTCACTGTCACAGAAGCCTGGCAGCATCTCAGGGCTGTGCACTGGTGGCCAAGGCACCTGCAGAGAGGCTTCCAGCGGCTTCTGAGGGCATCACTTCTCCACCCAATCAGCAACCCCGGGGATCTGCCATGTATAAAAGTGACTGGGTGCATTCAACTTTGTTTTGATTTGCATGTCCTTAAATAATACTGCTAATGCTTTCGGCCATTCACAGATCATCTACCTCCTGAGCTTTATCACAGAATCCTGGGAGGTGCAAATTGAATCCCCTAAAGCAGGCCAAGAGTGGCTAGTGAGCCCTGAACTGAGGTGACAACTGCTTTCAGACCAGGGATATACAGCATCCTGGTCACTAGGTAGGTGTGTTTCTTGTATATTTCAGTAAGTCACGCTTTAGAAAGTGGGACGGTCACAGTCTTTCAAACCCTAGCTGTGCATGCTCTCTGATGAGAACTGTCTATTTTTTTCTAAGGAGTAGGAAAGAATGGAGCAGCCAAAGGGGGCAGAAGGGAAAGACAGAGGGAGCGAGAGAGGGGATTCGCAGCCAGGCAGAGGCAGGCTGACCAAGAAGCGGCGGCTGGAGAGTCAGATGCGTCCACCATGTGAGCCGGTGTCCAAGGGGAGGTGGAGAGCTGCCCTGTCCAAGGAGACACGTGGCTGTGGACAAGGAGAATCCGAATCCCAGACCCTTCATGGGAACTATTTCCCCACTCCTATAGGCTCAGAACATTCAGGTACCCACAGTAATAAGCAGACAGTCCCCAGGGGAAGGCAGGAGACTTCTTTAAAATGCAAGACATTCACATAAATCTCTGTGAACACAGAGCCAAGCGGGACTTTGTAGACAAAAACACTGAAGAAAAGAATACAATTGAACAAAATAAGGAACCAGGAAAAGAGACCCTTCTTAAAACCTAACAGCCCGAAAGAACAGAGGCGGGATGGAATGTTCTGGAAGCAGGCATGAGGTGGGTGAAGTCCAAGAGTATGGCCTCCTCGCTGCCCTCTCTGGGCTTCCCAGCTGACGAGCCGAGTGCCCAGGGCAGGTCCCAGCCCCGTCTCCCCTCGCACTGTTCTCTGGGCAGCATCTCCCACCACCCGGAGACCCCGCTCCCACACCTGAGGCCCGTGTGCCCCGCGGGACAGCAGGCACCTGTGCTCACCACCCAAATGTCAGCCCCCGCCTGGATGTTGGTGTGAGGCTCCACGGTGTCCTGTCTCACGCAGAGTCCTTGATGTCCTCCGGCCCCCAGTGCCCATCATCCTCGCCCAGATGCCACCTCAGCAAAGGGCAGCCCGGCCACTGCTGCTCAGACCCAAGCCTGGAGCATCCCATGCACCGTCCACCCGCACGCTCTACCCCCGCCTGCCAACACCTCCTGGCTCCTCTCCCCCGTGTCCCAGAGCAGTTCCACACACCATCCACCCACAGATTCTACCCCTGCCTGCCCACATATCCTGGTGCCTCTGCCCCATGCCCCTCCACGGCTGCCACCCTCAGCCATGGCACGGACCTCTGAGCAGCTGCCTCCCACTGCTCTCTGCTCCCCTCAGCCCCTCCCACAGCAGCCAGAGGGTATGTTTAACACGTCAAAATATTTTAAATATATAAACATATTTATAATATATAATATGCAAATAGAAGTCAGGTCATGTCCAGCTTTAAGGCTCCCAGAGGCTGCTGGCTGTGCCTGGAGCATGGCCCAAGCTCCTTGCCTCGCCATGGTGGGATGCCCAGCGGTCCAGGGAGGCCGGCTTTCCTTGTTGTTCCAGCATAGTGATCAGTAACCCCCTTTCTCCCTCCAAAGTGTCCCCAGGCAGACTATAGGTTACTAGGCCCCCTCCTGCCCCACACCCGCATGGCCCCCGGGGCCCATGGCCACCTCTGCTGACCTCTTCTGCACCCTCCCCATGAGGGCTGCACCTGCCCTGGACTTCCCGGCGCTCGAGGTCACACCCATGCCCATTCACCCCATGTCTACCTGGGCTCTAGCCCCACCTGGAGCCACCCCCGACCCTGGGACCTTGCTGTGCTCATGGGGGGGGTCTCTGCTCCAAGGCCACTTCCTCAGCAGTAACCCCAGCACTACTCACTGCGTCTGCTGGCTCTGCCACCCCTTGCCTCGGCCCCTGTCCCCGTCATTGCTGCCTCCCTCCACAGGTCTGCAGGGGCACAGCTGCCTGGGACATGTTTCCTGTGGGGGCAGGAGGCCGGAGCTTCCATGGCGTCTCCCACCTCTAGGCAGGCCCCTCCATTAGAGCTGGGATCTTGTAGGACTTTCCGGGCACCTCCGAAAGGTGTGATAGCCGTGAATTTTCTCTGCTCCCTGCACTTCCTCATCCAGGGTACAGTTCCAAGAGTTGGGGCTCAGCCTGCAGGAGGGCGGGCAGTGGCCAAACCCCAGAACAGGCATCAGGGGCCCTGCTGTGCCCAGACCAGAGCTGGAGCCTTCGTGTCCACGACAAAAACACGGTGACTTACATCCTCATGACACGTATGGCTCTTCCCTGCTTTAAAGGAGCCCACGCTGCACCTTCCTCAAGACAAGGCCGAGTTCACGCCCCTGCGGTTCCCTCGAGAGCCCTCCCTGTGAGCCCCTCCCCTTCTTCACTGGGAACGGTCCCATCTCTCTCCCGACAGAGGGCTGGCACCTGGAGGAGTCAGCTTTTATTTAAATCATTTTATTCTTGAGTTGTCAGATCTCAGTCTGCTCAAGTCTTCCTCAGTGATCGATTAACCATCGGACTGAAATCCAAGACGCTTTTTCCAGAACTCACAGGGACCTTCTTTACCCTGAAAATCACAGTCTGCAAAATGTGATGAAGCAGTTGCAGAATTCTGATGATTTTTGATAAAGAGATGAGCTCCCCACTGCACGGCAGTCCAGTACCGCAGCAGAGAAACAAGCAGCTCCCCTCCCTCGGCTGTTCAATGTAAACGGATTTAACCACCACGTGACAGCACATCTTCACATAACCACAGGCAAAAACTGCACAGAAGGCTGAGCCCATCTATCGTGGGCCCCACGTTGGGATCCGGCCTTGGGAGCTGCAAAGGCTGAGACCCTGCTGGAGGCACCAGCAGCCCGGGAGCACCTGCCCGTGCCTGAGCTGGTGGAGGCCACCAGATGCCGCCTAGGCCACCAGTGGGCTGTGGGAGCTTCCAGAGCACGGCTGGATTCCAGAATGGCTTGGGGGCTGCCTGTCCCCTCCAGGCTACAGGAGGCCGGTGGGGCAGGGTCGGTCTGTTCTGGGAAGGGCTCCTCTGGCTGGCCATTGATTTCCCTCTTGAGGTCCAGAACTGGATTCTCCCCCACGGGTGCTTCTGAGACACCTGGATCTGCTGGAAATTAGATAGGAGGCTCCAGTTCCACAGCTGCAGGCCTAGTTACAGAATCCTGTCCTGGGGTTGTAATGACGATATTACTTTTGGCACGGACACAGTAAAGACTTCAGAAGCATTGATGCTGCCAATTGTAATGACTGAATTCCTATTTTCTGTTCCCTGCTTGGCCAAGACTTATGCAAGTGTTTGGCAAATCAAGGATCCCCACATTTTGTGGTAGAGGCCAAGATGCTGTGTGAGCTGCGGAGCTGCAAGAGCCCAGGGGCCCCGAAGGCTTCCCATAGTCCTGTTTCTGACCACACAGAAGCTACAGCCTCAAGCCCTTCCCCACTCAGGAAGACTCGAAGGTCAACTCAGATGGGATATTCCATTTATGGAATGGAGTAGGGAGAGGAGAAAGCCCAGGTGGGAGCTGGAAGAAAAGCGGCCGGAGGCTCCAGGGTCCTCAGGATCCTCAGGGCCCTCAGGTGCAATGAGCTGAGGTCTCACTACCGTCTGTGAGACCCTCACTGTCGTTCTCAGGACAGAAGACGCCCGGGCGCAGGGGGACCCACACCTCTCTGCGGGCGCGCAGGAACAAGGGCAGGCAGCCGGGCGGAGAGCTTCTAGTTTGCTTATATTTGAACCCAAATGAGGTCATTCGTTAATTGTGGGGGGTGCCTAGCTGCCTGTCTGCCATATTCTTTTCTGTGTGCACACAATCTTTTTTTAACCTCAAATGTTTTTAATTAAAAAAATTTTTGTTTTTTGAGACAGTCTTGCTCTGTCACCCAGGCTGGAGTGCAGTGGCACAATCATGGCTCACTGCAGCCTTGACCTCCTGGGCTCAAGCCATCCTCCCACGTAGCTGAGACTACAGGTGAGTGCCACCATGCCCAGTTTTTTTTAATATATGTGTGTGTATATATATATATATGTGTGTGTGTATATATATATGTGTGTGTGTATATATATATGTGTGTGTATATATATGTGTATGTGTGTATATGTGCATGTATGTGTGTGTATATATATACATATATAATTTGTATACATATATACATTTGCGTGTATATGTATATATACATTTGCGTATATAATTTATATATACATTTGCGTATATAATTTATATATACATTTGCGTATATAATTTATATATACATTTGCGTATATAATTTATATATACATTTGTGTATATAATTTATATACATATATATAATTTTTTTTTTTGGTGGAGACCAGGTTTTGCTATGTTGCCCAGGCTGGTCTCGAATTCCTGGGCTGAAGCGATTCTCCCGCCTCAGCCTTCCAAAGTGCTGGGACTACAGGTATGAACCACTGCACCTGGCATTGAATGTTTTAAATGACACTTGGCTGGGAAGGTCCAGGTTTGGCTTGGAGGCACCAGTGGGAGACAGGACCAGGTAGGAGAAGAGCAGGTGAATGAGGCAGGGGAGGGGTGGGGCAAGGAGGCAGGGGAGGGACGAGTTAATGAGGTAGGAGCAGGGTCAGAGAGCGCTCTGGGGTCTTGGTGGCCCAGGGGCCCTCTCTTGTCTGAGGCTCCACCTGTGTCCCACCCGTCCTTTTTCCCCTCCAGCCCCTGCTTCCAGTAGCTGCACACCCTGGAAGCTGAGGAGATGAAGAATAATTATTTTCTGCATCTCCTGGAAACTCCTTTAATGTTGGAAATCCACTGTCCCCCGGGACTGGCAGGATGAAAGGGCTGGGAGAGGGAGAGAGCTGGCCAGAGGAGCTGGTGTGGGAGGGCAAGTCCACGATGCAGATGCTGAGCGGCCCTGGGCAGGTTCAATGCCTCCCCGTGCCTCTCAGCAGCTTCTGCTCCAGCAGGACCAAGGTCCAGGCTCTGCTGCACAGTGAGGTGTGAAAACCCCAACCTAGAAAGAACCCCCTGGCAGAGATGAGAATATTTCAGAGTCCTTGGCTAAGCCAGGATAACTAGGTCTGCAGGAAGGAGCAACGCCGAGCCATGATCTTGAACCCCACTGGTCCCAGAGCAGCCAGCACCTTCCCACCAGTGTAAGCCAGCAGTGAGGACTCTGCCCGGACCCAACTCCTGGAGCTGCCCTTGGGAGCCAGCTGGATCTCCCTGAAGGGCCCTCTCTGTTCTCCATGGGCCCTGGGGACGTCACCGTCAAACTGCAAACATAGACACGCTCTGGCCCAGCAATTTGGCTTGCAAGAACGTCTCCTGCAGGAGTTCTTTTGCATGTAGTCCAAGACCCAGGTACAGGGCTGCAGTATCAGCCGAGAATCGAATCAGCCTGGATGCCGTCGACAGGCCCACCACGGTGGGGCATGTGAATAACATGGACGAGCTTGTGCCAGCTGCACTGTTCCACGTGGAACTGACTCCAAGAGGCGCTGTGATCACTTGGCAAAAGGGAGTTGCTGCCTGTGCATCCAGCATGCTGTCAGTTACGCTTGAGGAGGCAGGGCTCAGATCGCTTATGCAGGAAACCATAACATGAACCCTCTGGCGAGGGCGTCCAGGATGAGGAGCTCTGAGGCAAACAGGCTTCTTCTCCATTCCTTTCCTCCGGTGCCTTCTGCACGTTGTGCCAAGAGAGCACATCCTCTCCTCCAGGTACAACTAAACATGCCCCGCAGGGTGCCCAGCGGGTCTGGGTTGCAGCCCTCAGACGCCGGCCCTGGAACCTTGCCGGCACCTGGGGAGCCCGCAAGCCTGGCCTGTTGACCATCAAGGAGCGTGTGTCCCTCGGGGCGTCACAGATGGATGTGTTTTGGCAAAACTGCACAAAAAATCACATGATGCTGTTGTAATTAGGTGGACAGAGAACTGGGGACTAAACCTGGGGATGTCCACATGTGGTGTTTTTGTTAAGAAGATAATTATTGGCTGGGGGCAATGGCTTAGCCCTGTAATCCCAGCATGTTGGGAGGCTGAGGCAGGAAGATTGCTTGAGTCCAGGAGTTTGAGACCAGCCCGGGCAAAATGGCGAGACCCAGTCTCTACAAAAAAGTTAAAAAAAAAAAAAAAAATAGCCGGACATGGTGGTGCACACCTGTGGTCTCAGTTATTTGAGGGGCTGAGGTGAGAGGATTGCTTGAGCCCAGGAGGTCGAGGCTGTAGTGAGCTGAGATCACACCACTGCACTCCAGACAGGGTGACAGAGTAAGACTTTGTTTTTTTAAAAAAAGATAATTGTTATATTTTTACTCAATAAAACAAAGGGTTTCATTCTCACTGGGCTCTTGACAAGTCATCTCTTCTTCCACCAGCAAAATGCAGAGAGGGAAGACGACAGCCATGTCTGAGGCTCACCGTGCAGCCTGGTCTCTCCATTTGGGGCAACTCCCCATTTTTTGACGGGGGGCATTAGCACCCTGACCTTGTGCTCCTGCAGCGAGTCGGGGCCTCTGGGCCTTGTTGTTTGGGATTTATGGGCGCCTGGCACAGAGCAGGTGCTAGACGCACATTTACTGATCGTGTCCCCATGCCATCGGCCTTCTGGTATCCGAGAAGCGAGACTCCCCGAGCTGTGCCCCGAAGCCTCAGCAACACTCCCCCCTCCAGGCCACAGGCTGTGTTCATCCCCATTCTACAGAGGAGGGACTCATGGCAGGAGGGGGAGGAACGGGGGCGGGGCCAGATGGTAAATATTTTAGGTTTTGTGGGTCAACTCCAAGGACAATATGTAAATGAGCAGGTGCAGCTGTGGGTTTTTTTTTTTAAATCATTTTTATTTCTTTAGAGACAGGGTCTCGCTCTGTCATGCAGGCTAGAGTACAGTGGCACAATCACAGCTTACTGTAGCCTCAACCTCCTAGACTCAAGTAATTGTCTTGCCTCAGCCTCCCGAGCAGCTGAGCCCACAGGAGCATACCACCGCACCTGCGTAATGTGTCCATTTTTTTTTGTAGAGATGAGGTCTCCCTATGTTGCCCAGGTTGGTCTCGAACTCCTGGGCTCAAGCTATCCTCCCACCTTGGCCTCCTAATGTGCTGGGATGACTCATGTTCTAATACAACTTTCCTTGTGGTGTGGGCACCAAAATCTGAACTACACATGATGATCACGTGTCACGAAACATTCTTCTTCTTTTGATATGACAAGGAGGTGAAATCACAGGAGGGTCAATAAGTCAGAGGTTAAGCAACCACCCCCAAATAACCCGACTCCCCTCCACCGCCAGACCATGCAGGTCCCAAGAGAGATGCCTTTGATGGGCAAGAAACAGGGAGGGAGAGAACTAGGGCCTGGAGTGGGGACACCATCCACGCGTGACCCAGGCCCTTCCAAGCCCACGGCAGGCACCTGCCTTCGTTCCCAGCCCCTTCCTGGAGCTGCCTTCTCTCCAGATGCTCTCTCCCTCGCCTTCTCCTTCCAGGAACCTGGGCACACTTCTTAATGGCTCCTGGGGACCAGGAGATGGAAAGGAGAGGGCAAAGGTCATGCTAGAGGTGGAAAGAGGTTCAGGCGTGGGTAGCCCACCCCAGGGCTTGTCTTGTCTTCTGGTCAGCCCCTCCCCCTGCTTCAGACCCCCACCCCCTTGGCTGCCAGCACAGCTCAGCACAGCCCAATCTTTCCCGAGGCTTCAAAAGCCCCAAAGTGCTGGGCATCCAGCCAGAGGCCATCGTGGGCCTCCCCATCCCCCGGGCTTGCCCCTGCATCTCCACATTCGCTAACGGGTGCTGTTCCTCCAAATCTGGAAGCTCTAAACCGATGGCCCATCCTTTTCCTTTATTCCCATGTGAGAGCCATACCTGCCCACTCTGTTTCAGGTCAGTTCCACCATGGACACTGCAGTGGGAAAGTCAGCGTCCTTTCCAGGTATGGCACCACTGGACACAGACCCCAAGGCCCTGCGGCCTCAGATGGGAGGGCTGTCCCCATGCAGCAGAGGATAATTTCTGTGAGCTCAGCGTGGTTTGCGGTCACCACCACGGCACCTGTGCCTACAGGCCCTCAAGTCTCCCACTGCCTGCCGCCCCACCCCCCACCAAGTGGTCTGTCCCAAGCAGCCTTTAGGACTGGGTGGGGGTTTCCACAGGGATCTGGCCAAACCCACTCCAGGAAGAGCCTCTGGGCCCCAGGGGAGGCAGGAGGGAGGGACATTCAAGGGTGGAGGTCTGGGGAGCGCCCACCTTGCTCTTCTCCTGCTGCAGCTCGATCTGGATGTCTGTGAGCTTGGCTCGAAGATCCTCGTTGGCCGCCTGCAGCGCCGCGAGGGCCTCTGCCTTGTCCCCCTTGGCCCGGCTGCTCATGCCCCTCTTGGACATGGTGAGGCTGGATGGCCAGGGGGATGCCCAGGGGTAGGGTGCTCCGGCTGGGCTGGGCTGGGGGTGGCTGGGGTGTCCACGCCAAGCTCCCAGCAGGTGTCACCCGGGCTGCTGTCACACTACATCTTCTCATTCACCTGGAGGGGAAAGCACACCGCGGTGAGCAGCTCCCTCCGGAGCCGTGGCCTGGAGCTCAGGGGCTTGTGTGCCGGGGCAGGGGCACGTGGACCCCCCACCTCATTGCAGTGCTGAGGATGCTACCTGGACGACGCAGGCCAGGGAACCAGCCCCAGACCTCAGAGCCCATCTGCCCGCCATATGGTGCCCCCAGACAGGGACCCCACATCTAAGAGGACATCCCCACGCCCAGCATGGGATGAACACTCAGCACGGGTGAATTCTTTTCCCTCTTAGGAATCAGAGAGTGAGGGAGTGGGCACCCAACTTCGAACTCAGAATTCTGTACATGGCTGTGAGGCCACATGGCGGCAATGGCACATATAAACCACGAGCTCTCAGACGGCAGAGGGACCCCGTGACCGGGCTCCTCCACAGAGACCCACAAGCTGCACCCAGGAAATGCCCAGAAGTGCGGAAAGCAGGGACTGGAACAGAAGCGCACGCCCAGCTCACAGCAGCACAATCCAGGTAGCTGCCAGTGGAGGCAACCTGCATCCATCGATGGATGAGTGGCTACACAAAATGCAGAATATCCACGTAGCAGAATATTATCCAGCTGTAACCAGGAGGGAGATTCGGACACACGCTATGACAGGAGGATCCCTGAAGACATTAGGCTGGGTGAAATGAGCCGGTCACAGAAGGACAAATGCCGCATGATTTCACGTATATATTCAGGATCTACAGTCGGCAAACCCAGGAACTAAGTAGAATGGTGGGTGCCAGGGGCTGGCAGGAGAGGCAATGGGAGCTACTGTTTAATGGAGATGGATTTTCTTTCTTTTTTTGGAGATAGGGTCTGGCTCTGTGTCCCTCAAGGGGAGTGGCCGTAAATACACAGGAAGCTTCCCTCCCTCGCCCACTGCTTGCCTCCTGCTGTATGGCCCAGCTTCTAACAGGCCACGGACAGGCACCAATCCATGGTCAGGCACTAGGGACCTGGTGTAGGCAATCAGTGATCTCCACTGGTCACAGCAAGTCCTCCAGGTTCAACCCCAGGGAAGCTGCTCATTGTCTAAGAAGAGGTGATTAGACGAGGCTGGTGAGATCCTCACACTTTCCTTCTGTGCTGCCAGGCACCTCCCCTAGCTGTTCCTTTCCCTCAGAGGCTCCCCCCACCAAGCTACTCCTCTCCCCCAGGTGCTCTTCCCCTCCAGCTGCTCCTCCCCCCCCCAGCTGCTCCTCTCCCCCAGGTGCTCCTCCCCTCCAGCTGCTCCTCTCCCCCAGGTGCTCCTCCCCGTCTCTGATGTTCCTCTCTCCCCCTGATGTTCCTCTCCAGCAGCTGCTTCTCTACCCCAGCTCCTATGTCAGATGCTCCTCTTGGCTGCCCAGAGGGTCAAGGACCCCCGGTGCTCCTAACAGGTCCATTGGGCTCCTCTGTGGCCCTCCTGCTCCTGGGGCCTCCTTCCATCCCCACCATGACCAGCTTTCCCCGACAGAGGGAAAAAAGCACCTTTCCCTCTTGTCCTTGTTTACCTTCTGCTCCTGTCACCTGTTACAGGGCAGTGAAGGCAGCCAGGATAGAAGGGACAAGCAGGCAGATCACACATGGGAACTTTCCCGGTGAACACAGCCCCCACCCCCACAACTCCTGCTCCCATTTCCTGATGAACACAGGCCCACCCCACGCCCCCATCTCCTCTCCCGGTGAACACTTCCCCCCACCCCATGCCCGCGTCTCCTCTCCTGGTGAACACAGGCCCCCATCACTCCTGCATCTCCTCTCCGGCCTGGTGAACACAGCCCTCCCCCCCTACTCCTGCATCTGTCTCCAGCCCCCTATTTATCAGTCCACAGGACCATGGGAGGGAGACTTGGACATGGGCCCTGCAGTTTGATGAAGGCCAAGCTGTGTGGGTGTGGGGCTCAGAGACCAGCGGAGGTGGCAGGACGGGCAGGTGGGAGGGCCACAGGGCAGCCAAGTAGACTTCCACGGGTGAGTGAAGATGGCCTCACAGAGGGAGGGTGAAAGGAGGGTCGGAGGTGACCCGTCACCTGGGAGGCGATGCAGACACCCAGGAACCACGAGGAGCCTGCGGGGCTGACAGGTGAACTGGGAAGAGGCTGGGCACGTCTCACCCTGCAGGGCCGCCGGCCTCCACCTGGATGGGGAGAAGGGCCCGGCAGGGTGGATGTCAGCTCTGCACGTGTGAGACGGGGACTGGAGGGACCAGGCTCGGGCAGATGGCAAAGCTGGGAGCTGTCATGGGGTACAGAGGGAGGAAGGTGCCCTCAGGATGCCACTGCAGACGGAGGGGCTGGACCCATGGACGGGGCTGAGGCTGCACCCAGGTTGTCCCGCGGACGTCATCAGAGGCATCTTCATTTACAAAGGAGAGGGTGCTCGCCGGGCCCGGCGCACTGCCTGTCTCCCCTTTCCAGCTCCATCCTGAGGACAAAACCCTAGGCAGCTTGGGAAAGGCCTGAGAAGTATGCAAGAAGAAGGGCCTGAGGAGGAAAGGGGGCTCGGCTGGCCTTGCTGCTGGAGAATGAGAGGACATTGGGTGGGCACAGACTCCTAGAGATGGGACAGGAGGTTCTGCAGGTGCTTTGCTGTCTCTTGATAACAAGCTGCTCTAAGGGGAGACACCAGCTGACACTTGAGCGACTTTTAGTGACTCCTGGTCCCAACCACATGAGCGTCGGGTGGGCTCCTGCGGGCTCCAGAACTGTGGGCCCACCTCCCACAGTCCTCCCTGGGGACCCATGAAGGGGACTCTCCAGGGGGATGAAGAACCCACTGGGGAAGGGCCAGGTCCTGTCCTGTGCCCTCGGGTTCTCTACCACCACAGGTGACTGCTCTGGTAAACTTCCCACCTCCACACAAGGGTGTTCTTTCCCACTTCCAATAACACGTTCCCACCTCCATTCAAGTCCTCATAGACAGCCCCCGAGACACAGGGCTCCAGCTTCCTTCCAGCGGCACCCCAGGACCGAGCCCCGGGCCACCACTGCCCTCTCCTGGCTGCCGCACCACTCTCTGTGCAGTGCTCACTGATGGCGGCAGAAACTCATTCCCATCTGGCTGTCATAGGGCATTGAGCATTTGAGGAAAAGGGAAAATAAAATCTGGCTGCCGAGACAGTTGTCGTTCCCATAGTTTTGCTATTTAAAATAGATGAAGCAGTTTTTTGAAAGAGAATCTGTTTTAAAGGGTCATGGTTGCTAATACACAATGGTCAACATTTAGACCCATCCCAGGAGCTAATTTCTAATTAACCCACTGTTCGTAGCATTTAGTTAATTTTGTTTCGGGGAGACTTCAGTGGTGGGGTTGGGGGGTCGGTCCTTGCTCTGTCGCCCAGGCTGGAGAGCAGCGGGGCAATCACAGCTCACTGTAGCCTCGACTTCCTGGGCTCAAGCAATCCTCCCACCTCAGCCTCCCATGTATGGATTTCCACTTTGGAGGAGGGAAAGTATAGAAAGCTAAAACCTTGTCTACATTGCAGAAAAAGCTCCCCAGACTGGCCTCCCTCCTCCCGTCCCAGGCCTGGGAGTGCCCAGCTCCTCCGAACAGATTCAAGTCCACTCTGGGTCCCGCACTGGCCACCCTGGTCTGAGAGCTTTCACTGGCATCTCCCTAGAGGCAGAGTTGATATTTTTCTCCAGCACCAATCTGGGAACTGATACGGTAACTATATTGAGTTTATTCCTTATGAAAACGAGCAGGGATGGTGTGAATCTCCCCCAAGTGGCAAGGCTCAGGCACCCAGCTGGGGTCTGCGGCAAGCTCTTCCTTCCCGCCCAGGAGCACAGCTGGGGTTCCTCATGCAGAGAGAACGGGGAGCGCGGCAGGGGTTCCTCATGCAGAGAGAATGGGGAGCGCGGCCGGGGTTCCTCATGCCGAGAGAAAGGGGCTTTCAAGTCTCGCCTCGCATCCTAAAATGAAATGATGTTGGGGCGGCTGGGAGGCTCCGCACCTCGGATGATCACAGCTTTGGTAAATGGAGGCATCTCCTTTCCCCACAAGGACACTGCTGCTGTTGGCAGGTGACGGAGCTCATAGCTGCTGGGGGGGCGTGGCCTGCGCTCCGGCCCTGGGGGTGGCTGCTAGGTTTCATGAGCTTTTCTGCTCACCCCCCAACCCTCGTAAGGAACCAGGGTGCAGAGAATCATCCAGTCTCAAGGGTGTGTGAGGCTGTTCTGGTCAATACGTCTTCTCGTGGCCTTCCTGACACCCTCCTGGGAGGCAGACGGGGCGACTGGAGAGAGACCCAAAGGCTGCGGGAGTGGGAGATCTCAGCTGGTGGTGGCCCAGACACCCCCACCTTGGGTGTGGCATGGGCTTCAGCCATGCGGGAGGTCCAGCCGGCTCATGCCAAGGGCTCGGCCCCACGTGGCACACTCTGCACTGAGTCCCAGACCATGGCGTTCCTGGCTCGAGGAGACCCACAGTTCTCCAACGGGGTGGGAGCGGGTCTGAGGGACCTGTGTGGGGGTCTGTGCGGGGGGTCCGTGTGGGGGCCTGTGAGGGCAGCACACTGTGGGACACCCACTGGGCAGAGTCTGGTCACAGCTGCATCTGCCCTGGGGAGCCTGGATCAGCCCGGGGGCAGGAGCCAGGGTGGGTGCAAGCTCAGAGCAGACACCCCCTACAGCACTGTGCCAGCCCCTCACCACGATAGGATCACAGGAGGGCTGGGACCGGGGCTGTCCCTTCACCGGGAATCACAGCAACGCAGCGTGAATCTCAGATGCAGACGAGCCCTCCAGACACTGTGGACTCTGCTCAAGACCACCATCACCAGGGTGAGCACGGGAGCTGCAGACGGACAGCGTGGCAGTGCGAGGGGTTTGGGGTGCCGAGGAACGTGCCGTCCGTGACACGCACCTGAGCCACAAGGCACAGGGCAGGCGGTGCCCAGGGGACTGGCCTGATGAGGACTTGTGAATGTACCCATGAGTTGATTCATTGACACAATCAGGACATGCATTAAAGCACTTGGCGTCTTACACACATGCTGAGTTGCATTTGACCAGGAAAAATAAGGGTCCTGAGCCTGTTAGTCGGGGAAAACCCACAGCATATGCAAGAGAGGTTGAGTTTGCACCAGGGCCTCCCCAAACCCCCGTAGACAGAGTGCTTCCTCTGCTGCACAGGGTTCCCCAGTGGGCTTCGCGGTCAGTTTCAGACCGGGACTGCACCTTCATACTTTCCTTAGGGAAGTCGTTAAATTAACAGTGCAGATTGCCTATCTTTTATTTCGGGGTCTCTGAGGAGGTAATAAAACAACTTATTTCCCAGTCATCATCTGAAGGCTGAAGAAGTGCTTTGGGTTGACCTCTGGTAAAGTCGTTTTATGGCAGGAGGTTTCTGTGTGGAAGACAAAGCTTTACAGCTGATGGATGTCTTTCCACCGCCGGTGAATCACCACAGTGAACCTCAGTGTCGCTGACGAGGAGGCTGGCCCCCTTAGAGCTTTGCTCCACTCTGTCCCTGTCGGGCTGTTTACTCAGTGTTGAGCCTCTGGATTTGGGCTTCAATACCACCACGCGATGCAGAGGACACCGAGAAGTCAATCAGACCTGTCCACACCCGAGCAGCCTTCAGAGCCACCTCCTGTGATTCGGGGGCATCCTGGGGTGGGACGGTCCATGTCTCTGCAGCTCCTGTGACCTCACCAGGCTGTAAACATTTGACTTGCATTCTTTCTGGGCTAAATTGTTTACCTACAGAGAAGTCCAAGGTTCGGGTCCCAAACCCAGGTGAGTGTAAGAACACCCTGAGGAGGCTTACTGAGTATGGCCTGTCTCTCCAGGAGGAAGGAGGACCCAGGACTTCACCCCCGGCTCCTGATCACGAGACCAGTGTCGTAAATCCAGCTCTGAGAGAGGAGCGCTGTGGTAAAGAGCCCCCTCCTCACTGCAAATGCCCCTGGTGTGGCCAGAGGTCACGGTAAAGACCAGGCCCAGGATGGGAGAAGCCCGGTGGAGGTGCTGGGGGCTCTGGCAGCCACTCAGCACCCAGGAGAAGAGCAACGCCACTAAGCTGGCCTCACAGTGATACCTAGAAGGGCTCTTAAGGGACGTCCGCACTCTGATCTGCAGTGGCCACTGCGATGGACGCTAAAGATGCTTCAAGATGGACAAGAGACCATTTCATCCCACAACAACCCACACAGCCCTCAGGAAGTGCCATGAGTGACTTTCTGAAAAGCAGCTTGGGATCATCCACAAAATCTCTGCACTGACTTCAACACATTCACATTTTGATCGATAAATGTTAAGACGGTGACAGTGAGCCATCAGTCCTCATCTCCAGAACTGAATCTAGCACATTTCACTTTGTACTGAAAGGCGATCTTGGCTGGGCACAGTGGCTGAGGCCTGTAATCCCAGCACCTTAAGAGGCTAAGGTGGGAGGATCACTTGAACCCAGGAGTCTGAGACCAGCCTGGGCAACAGAGGGAGACCCCATCTCTGCAACAAATAAATTAACCAGGTGGGCACCTGTGGTCCCAGCTCCCTGGGAGGCTGAGGCGGGAGGATCGCTTGGGGCTGGGAGGTCAAGGCCACAGTGAGCTGTGATCATGTCACTGCACTCCCACCTGGACAACAGAGGAAGACCTTGTCTCAAAAAAAGAAAGAGAAAAGAAAAAGAAGAAAGAAAAAAAAAAGGAAGGAGGGGAAGGGGAAGGGGAAGGGGAAGGGGAGAAAAGGAAGGAAAGGGAAAGGGGATGGGAAAGGGAAAGGGGAAGGGGAAGGAAAGGGGAAGGGGAAGGGGAAGGGGAAGGGGAAGGGAAGAAAATAAAAGGAAGGAAGGAAGGAAGGGCAATCTCTGTGATAGGAAGCTTAGGTTCTGAATCACCTGCAAATGCATTAAAATTCTAAATTTTCACTGAAGTGCCATGACTTTTTCTTAAAAAAAAAAAAAAAACTTTTAGTTTGAGATAATTGTAGACCCACATGCAGTTGTAAGACAGAATATACAGATGCCGCACATCCCCTTTCCCTATTTCCCCCAATGAGAACATCTTGGAAAACAGCGGGACAGTATCACAGCCAGGGGACAAAGGTTGGGAACACTCCTGTCCCTACAAGGGTCCCTGTTATTGTCACATTCACTTCCCTCCTACCCTGCCCCCTCTGTAACCATGGGAAGCCACGATCTGCTCCCCAACTACATAATTTTGCCATTTCAGAAATGTTATAGAAATGAAGTCATACAGTAGGCGACCTCCCGAGAGTCCGTGTGATGCTTGGAGGGCCACGCAGGTTACCATGGGCACCCACAGCTCAACCTTCTCACTGCTGGGTGGTGACCCACAGTTCACCCCTTCTCACCGCGGAGTGGCCCACGGTTCACCCTTCTCGCCGCAGAGTGACCCACGGTGTGGCTGCACCACTGTATCTTTCGCCACTCGCCCACTGGAGGATACCTGGCGCTGAACCATTTCCGGGCTCTACAGCAGCTGGATGTTTATTGCCCAGCTGGTCTCCAGAGGGGCCTTGCCTCCCACCAGCCGTGTATGAGGGACCCAGGTTCCCGACACCTTTGCCTGTATTTGGTGGTGGTGCCATTTCTAACGTTGCCGTTCTCCTAGGTGAGCTCACAGGCCCTATGGCTTCTGTCTGCATTTCCCTAGCACCTCGCCGTGGCGTCTCTCCTGTGTGCCTTGGCCATCTGCACATCCATGTCGGGAAATGTCTGCTGTGAGGCTGCTGCCTAACTGGTTCTGTGGCTGGAGGAAGCAGGCTCTTCTTGGGGATGGTTTGTCTGAGCCAGTTGGCTCTGGGTTGCTGGATTCTTCAGCTCTGTGTCTGGGACATCCCAGGCAAAAAGAAAACCCAGGGACCCTGCCATGGCGTCATTCCTGGGGTCTGAGGTCCCTGGCCGGCCGCTTTCTCCAGCCTGCCTTTCAGAGTCTTCTTACACTGGTTTCTTATTTCATGTCCAGGGTTTTGATTGTACTAATGGGGGAGCAGGGAAAAGTATGTCCCCTCCATCTATCCAGAGGCAGAAGGCTGGCCACAACTTAAAAAAGAAAAAAAAAATCACGGCCAGGTCCAAAGCCACAACTTTTTCATCAAGGAAAAAAATCTTGCACCTGTATTTACCATTATCATTTCAGTTACACAACAAGTGTGATTTAAAATTTGCGAGTGCACTTCCTGGGGTGGAAGTCAGATATTACACTAACCAAGTACAGTAACCACCACCCCGTGTTAAGGAAACAGCCGTCGGCTCCAGGGCTCAAGGGCATGGCCATCTTCAAAGGAGACACATGTTGTATGAGTCACTCTCCGGTGGTTTTCAGTCTGCCTGGGTTACTACTGGCAGGAAGGCTTAGGTCACATTAATAACTAGAAGTCCCTTTTGAGATATAAGAATTGGCAGCAACGATCACTCTATAAAATAAACCACTGAGCATGTTATGTTTTCCAAGTGGTAGTACCAGTGTTTTAAAAATATCAGAACTAAAAACAAAATTGTGCATGATTTACACACAGCTTAGCTTCTGCCCAGACCAATTGTCTACTGCTCCCAATGTAAAAAGGGAGGTTTCTGGCACAGGAAGAAATGTCAGGATCACCTGGCCAGATCCCCCAGCTCTTCAGGTGAGGAAACCAGGATCCAGAGGAAGACCCCCCCAAGACCACAGCACCTGCTTCCCAAGAGAGCTGGATCCCTCCTGCTCTCCCTAACAGCAGCATGGGACAGTATGCCGGCGGATTCTACCATGGGTGGAAGCCTGAGCTGTAATACTCAGGGCATTGGGCAGAGCACCCAGACAGGCACTGTCTCTGTGGTGGGCCACTCCTGCCCCAATCTTGAAGGCAAGCCTCACAGAGAATGCTCTTCCCAAACAACTCAGCAGTGTCCCAGAACAAAGCTCAAAAACACCTATCAGGAATAGTAAACACCCAGGAGGAGGATCATGGTGGATGGGACTAGATTGCAGGCAGAACCAGATTGCAGTTCCCACTCAGATGGAGAAAAAGTGTGTGGAGTCTCGTGTCGTGAACTTCTGCATCCAGAACGACTGCAGGAATAAATCGGGAAAGCCGAGAGAACCCCCAGACCCTCTGAAGGTAGCAGATTGCTCCTGCAGGACCTGGGAGACACCCCAAATACTGTGAGTGCCCAAGCTATGGAAGTGGGAAAGGAGGACCGTTCACCCCCAAACACACACCCCCACTGCAGAACCTGAAGGTCTAGATCACGGGAGAAGATTCTGAGCTCACCTGGAGCTGAGTCGAGCGAAATACAGGGGCGGAGGAAGCAGTGGGAAAAGCCCTGTGGGCTCTCTTGGTTCCCTAGGAAGCCATCTCTGCCTTACCTCAGAGGGGTCCTTTGGAAGGGCAGCCAGAGGCACTGGGGAAAGGCCACAGGGAGAAGGAAACCTCCAGCTGAACTTTGTAACAATTCCAACCTAAGGAGAAGCCTCCTGGCCAGAACTTGGGGGAGGGTGTGAATCCAGTGACAGACTCCACAGGTAGAGGAAGAATGAAAGCCCCATTTTCACAGCTGGGAGGCAGGTAGCCTGGGGCACGTTCTCAACCCTGCTGGCCCACTGCCTGGAAGCAGACTCAAGGCTGCTGTGGGGGACACAGTGGGAGTGAGACCAGCCCTTCAATTTGTGTGGGAGCTGGGTGAGGCCTGTGCTGCTGGCTTTTCCCCACTTCCTTGACAACCTGCATGA
Source organism: Homo sapiens (assembly GCF_000001405.40). Taxonomy (NCBI): domain Eukaryota; kingdom Metazoa; phylum Chordata; class Mammalia; order Primates; family Hominidae; genus Homo; species Homo sapiens. Next base: position 132,094,984 of record NC_000010.11, on the reverse strand, counting down.
CTCAGCAGAGGCAGCCATAATTCTCGTAGGTACACAACTCCATTAACCTGCGAATCTCACCCCCATGCCCCACAGCAGCCACAGCAAGACCCGCCCAAGAGAGTCTGAGCTCAGACACTGGCCCCGCCCCCACCTGATGGTCCTTCCCCATCCAGCCTGGTAGCTGAAGACAAAAGGCATATACTCTTAGGAGTTCCAGGGCCCCACTCACCGCGGGTTCCTCTCTATGCTCCCACAGCAGATGCTCTCTGGAAAGCTCCACCTCCCAGCAGGAGGCCAACCGGCACAAAAATACAGCATTAGACCACCAAAGCTAAGTGCATTGCACCCCCTGCCACCTCCACCGGAACAGGTGCTGGTGTCCATGTCCAAGAGGCCCACAGACAGCTCTCTGGGCAGACAACCCCCAGTACCAGCCCAGAGCCTGGTAGACTTGCTGGGTGGCTGGACCCAGAAGAGAGATAACAATCACTACAGCCCACCTCTCTGGAAGCCACATCCATAGGAAAAGGAGCAGAGCCCTACATCAAGGGAACACCCCATGGGACAAAAGAATCTGAGCAACAGCCCTCAGCCCTAAACTTTCCCTCTGACAGAGCCTACCCAAATGAGAGGGAACCAGAAAACCAACTCTGGTAATATGACAAAACAAGGCTCTTTAACACCCCAAAAAAATCACACTAGCTCACCAACGATGGATCCAAACCAAGCAGAAATCCCTGACTTACCTAAAAAAGAATTCAGAAGGTCAGTTATTAAGTTAACCAAGGAGGCACCAGAGAAAGGCAAAGCCCAATTTAAGGAAATAAAAAAAAGTGATACAAGTCAGGAGTTCAAGACCAGCCTGGGCAACATGGTGAACCTACTAAAAATATAAAAATTAGCCGGGCATGGTGGTGTGAGCCTGTAGTCCCAGCAACTTGGGAGGCTGAGGCAAGAGAATTGCTTGAACCTGGGAGGCAGAGGTTGCAGTGAGCTGAGATCACACCACTGCACTCCAGCAGCCTGGGTGACAGAGTAAGACTCCATCTCAAAAAAAAAAAAAAAAAAAAATAGATACAAGAAATGAAGGGAGAAATACTCAGTGAAATCAAATAAAAAACAATCAAGAAGATGCTGAATAGGAACAGCTCCAGTCTACAGCTCCCAGGGTGAGTGACATAGAAGATGGGGGTGATTTCTGCATTTCCAACTGAGGTACTGGGTTCATCTCACTGGGGCTTGTCGGACAGTGGGGGCAGGACAGTGGGTGCAGCCCACCGAACGTGAGCCGAAGCAGGGCGAGGCATCACCTCACCCAGGAAGTGCAAGGGGTCAGGAATTCCCTTTCCTAGCCAAGGGAAGCGGTGATGGACAGCACCTGGAAAATTGGGTCACTCCTACCCTAATATTGTGCTCTTCCAACGGTCTTAGCAAATGGCACAATAGGAGATTATATCCCGTGCCTGGCTCAGAGGGTCCCACGCCCACGGAGCCTCGCTCATTGCTAGCACAGCAGTCTGAGATCTAACTGCAAGGTGGCAGCGAGGCTGGTGGAGGGGGCGCCCGCCATTGCTGAGGCTTGAGTAGGTAAACAAAGCTGCCAGGAAGAAGGCCTGCCTGCCTGCCTCTGTAGACTCCACCTCTGGGGGTAGGGCACAGCCGAACAAAAGGCAGCAGAAACCTCTGCAGACTTAAACGTCCCTGACAGCTTTGAAGTTAGTAGTGGTTCTCCCAGCATGGAGTTTGAAATCTGAGAATGGACAGACTGCCCCCTCAAGTGGGTCCCTGACCCCCGAGTAGCCTAACTGGGAGGCACCCCCCAGTAAGGGCAGACTGACACCTCACACGGCCGGGCACCCCTCTGAGATGAAGCTTCCAGAGGAATGATCAGGCAGCAATATTTGCTGTTCAGCAATATTAGCTGTTCTGCAGCCTCCACTGCTGACACCCAGGCAAACAGGGTCTGGAGTGGACCTCCAGAAAACTCCAACAGACCTGCAGCTGAGGGTCCTGACTGTTAGAAGGAAAACTAACAAACAGAAAGGACATCCACACCAAAAACCCCATCTGTACGTCACCATCAAAAAAGATCAAAGGTAGATAAAACCACAAAGATGGGGAAAAAACAGAGCAGAAAAGCTGGAAATTCTAAAAATCAGAGCGCCTCTCCCCCTCCAAAGGAATGCAGCTCCTCGCCAGCAATGGAACAAAGCTGGATAGAGAATGACTTTGATGAGTTGACAGAAGTAGGCTTCCGATGATCAAACTTCTCCGAGCTAAATGAGGAAGTTCAAACCCATCACAGAGAAGCTAAAAACCTTGAAAAAAAGATTAGACAAATGGCTAACTAGAATAACCAATGTAGAGAAGTCCTTAAATGACCTGATGGAGCTGAAAAACATGGCACGAGAACTACGTGACAAATGCACAAGCTTCAGTAGCCGATTCGATCAACTGGAAGAAAGGGTATCAGTGATTGAAGACCAAATGAATGAAATGAAGCAAGAAGAGAAGTTTAGAGAAAAAAGAGTAAAAAGAAATGAACGAAGCCTCCAAGAAATATGGGACTATGTGAAAAGACCAAATCAATGTCTGACTGATGTACCTGAAAGTGATGGGGAGAATGGAACCAAGTTGGAAAACACTCTGCAGGATATTATCCAGGAGAACTTCCCCAACCTAGCAAGGCAGGCCAACATTCAAATTCAGGAAATACAGAGAACACCACAAAGATACTCCTCAAGAAGAGCAACTCCAAGACACATAATTGTCAGATTCACCAAAGTTGAAATGAAGGAAAAAATGTTAAGGGCAGCCAGAGAGAAAGGTCGGGTTACCCACAAAGGGAAGCCCATCAGACTAACAGTGGATCTCTCGGCAGAAACTCTACAAGCCAGAAGAGAGTGGGGGCCAGTATTCAACATTCTTAAATAATTTTCAACCCAGAATTTCATATCCAGCCAAACTAAGCTTCATAAGTGAAGGAGAAATAAAATCCTTCACAGACAAGCAAATGCTGAGAGATTTTGTCACCACCAGGCCTGCCCTACAAGAGCTCCTGAAGGAAACACTAAACATGGAAAGGAACAACCAGTACCAGCCACTGCAGAAACATGCCAAATTGTAAAGACCATCGATGCTAGGAAGAAACTACATCAACTAACGAGCAAAATAACCAACTAACATCATAATGACAGGATCAAATTCACACATAACAATATTAATTTTAAATGTAAATGGGCTAAATGCTCCAATGAAAAGACACAGACTGGTAAATTGGATAAAGAGTCAAGACCCATCAGTGTGCTGTATTCAGGAAACCCATCTCACGTGCAGAGACACACATAGGCTCAAAATAAAGGGATGGAGGAAGATCTACCAAGCAAATGGAAAACAAAAAAAGCAGGGGTTGCAATCCTAGTCTCTGATAAAACAGACTTTAAACCAACAAAGATCAAAAGAGACAAAGAAGACCATTACATAATGGTAAAGGGATCAATTCAACAAGAAGAGCTAACTATCCTAAACATATATGCACCCAATACAGGAGCACCCAGATTCATAAAGCAACTCCTTAGAGACCTACAAAGAGACTTAGACTCCCACACAATAATAATGTTGACACCCCACTGTCAACATTAAACAGATCAACAAGACAGAAAGTTAACAAGGATACCCAGGAATTGAACTCAGCTCTGCACCAAGCAGACCTAATAGACATCTACAGAACTCTCCACCCCAAATCAACAGAATATACATTCTTCTCAGCACCACATCACACTTATTCCAAAACTGACCACATAGTTGGAAGTAAAGCACTCCTCAGCAAATACAAAAGAACAGAAATTATAACAAACTGTCTCTCAGACCACAGTGCAATCAAACTGGAACTCAGGATTAAGAAACTCACTCAAAACCACTCAACTACATGGAAACTGAACAACCCGCTCCTGAATGACTACTGGGTACATAACAAAATCAAGGCAGAAATAAAGATGTTCTTTGAAACCAATGAGAACAAAGACACAACATACCAGAATCTCTGGGACACATTTAAAGCAGTGTGTAGAGGGAAATTTATGGCACTAAATGCCCACAAGAAAAAGCAGGAAAGATCTAAAATTGCCACCCTAACATCACAATTAAAAGAACTATGGCACTAAATGCCCACAAGAAAAAGCAGGAAAGATCTAAAATTGCCACCCTAACATCACAATTAAAAGAACTAGAGAAGCAAGGGCAAACACATTCAAAAGCTATCAGAAGGCAAGAAATAACTAAGATCAGAGCAGAATTGAAGGAGATAGAGACAAAAACCCTTCAAAAACTCAATGAATCCAGGAGCTGGTTTTTTGAAAAGATCAACAAAATTGGTAGACTGCTAGCAAGACTGATAAAGAAGAAAAGAGAGAATCAAATAGATGCAATAAAAAATGATAAAGGGGTTATCACCACTGATCCCACAGAAATACAAACTACCATCAGAGAATACTATAAACACCTCTACGCAAATAAACTAGAAAATCTAGAAGAAACGGATGAATTCCTGGACACATACACCCTCCCAAGACTAAACCAGGAAGAAGTTGAATCTCTGAATAGACCAATAACAGGCTCTGAAATTGAGGCAATAATTAATAGCTTACCAACCAAAAAAAGTCCAAGACCAGATGGATTCACAGCCAAATTCTACCAGATGCAAAAGGAGGAGCTGGTACCATTCTTTCCGAAACTATTCCAATCAACAGAAAAAGAGGGAATCCTCCCTAACTCATTTTATGAGGCCAGCATCATCCTGATAACCAAAGCCTGGCAGAGACACAACCAAAAAAGAGAATTTTAGACCAATATCCCTGACGAACATTGATGCAAAAATCCTCAATCAAATACTGGCAAACTGAATCCAGCAGCACATCAAAAAGCTTATCCACCATGATCAAGTGGGCTTCATCCTTGGGATGCAAGGCTGGTTCAACACACACAAATCAATAAACGTAATCCAGCATATAAACAGAACCAAAGACAAAAACCACGTGGTTATCTCAATAGATGCAGAAAAGGCCTTTGACAAAATTCAACAGCCCTTCATGCTAAAAACTCTCAATAAATTAATTATTGATGGGACATATCTCAAAATAATAAGAGCTATTTATGACAAACCCACAGACAATATCATACTGAATGGGCAAAATCTGGAAGCATTCCCTTTGGAAACTGGCACAAGACAGGGATGCCCTCTCTCACCACTCCTATTCAACATAGTGTTGGAAGTTCTGGCCAGGGCAATCAGGCAGGAGAAAGAAATAAAGGGTATTCAATTAGGAAAAGAGGAAGTCAAATTGTCCCTGTTTGCAGATGACATCGTTGTATATTTAGAAAACCCCACTGTCTCAGCCCCAAATCTCCTTAAGCTGATAAGCAACTTCAGCAAAGTCTCAGGATAGAAAATCAATGTGCAAAAATCACAAGCATTCCTACACACCAATAACAGACAAACAGAGAGCCAAATCATGAGTGAACTCTCATTCACAATTGCTTCAAAGAGAATAAAATACCTAGGAATCCAACTTACAAGGGATGTGAAGGACCTCTTCAAGGAGAACTACAAACCACTGCTCAACAAAATAAAAGAGGACACATACAAATGGAAAAACATTCCATGCTCATGGATAGGAAGTATCAATATCGTGAAAATGGCCATACTGCCCAAGGTAATTTATAGATTCAATGCCATCCCCATCAAGCTACCAATGACTTTCTTCACAGAATTGGAAAAAACTACTTTAGAGTTCATATGGAACCAAAAAAGGGCCCGCATTGCCAAGACAACCCTAAACCAAAAGAACAAAGCTGGAGGCATCACACTACTTGACTTCAAACTATACTACAAGGCTAGAGTAACCAAAACAGCATGGTACTGGTACCAAAACAGAGATATAGACCAATGGAACAGAACAGAGCCCTCAGAAATAATACCACACATCTACAACCATCTGATCTTTGACAAACCTGACAAAAACAAGCAGTGGGGAAAGGATTCCCTATTTAATAAATGGTGCTGGGAGAACTGGCTAGCCATATGTGGAAAGCTGAAACTGGATCCCTTTCTTACACCTTATACAAAAATTAATTCAAGATGGATTAAAGACTTAAATGTTAGACCTAAACCCACAAAAACCCTAGAAGAAAACCTAGGCAATACCATTCAGGACATAGGCATGGGCAAGGACTTCATGTCTAAAACACCAAAAGCAATGGGAACAAAAGCCAAAATTGACAAATGGGATCTAATTAAACTAAAGAGCTTCTGCACAGCAAAAGAAACTACCATCAGAGTGAACTGGCAACCCACAGAATGGGAGAAAATTTTTGCAATCTACTCATCTGACAAAGGGCTAATATTCAGAATCTACAAAGAACTCAAACAAATTTACAAGAAAAAAACAAACAACCCCATCACAAAGTGGGTGAAGGATATGAACAGACACTTCTCAAAAGAAGACATTTATCAGCCAACAGACACATGAAAAAATGCTCATCATCACTGGCCATCAGAGAAATGCAAATCAAAACCACAGTGAGATACCATCTCACACCAGTTAGAATGGCAATCATTAAAAAGTCAGGAAACAACAGGTGCTGGAGAGGATGTGGAGAAATAGGAACAGTTTTACACTGTTGGTGGGACTGTAAAGTAGTTCAACCACTGTGGAAATCAGAGTGGCGATTCCTCAGGGATCTAGAACTAGAAATACCATTTGACCCAGCCATCCCATTACTGGGTATATACCCAAAGGATTATAAATCATGCTGCTATAAAGACACATGCACACATATGTTTACTGCGGCACTATTCACAATAGCAAAGACTTGGAACCAACCCAAATGTCCATCAATGATAGACTGGATTAAGAAAATGTGGCACATATACACCATGGAATACTATGCAGCCATAAAAAAGGATGAGTTCATGTCCTTCGTAGGGACATGGATGAAGCTGGAAACCATCATTCTCAGCAAATTATCACAAGGACAAAAAACTAAACACTGCATGTTCTCACTCATAGGTGGGAATTGAACAATGAGAACACATGGACACAGGAAGGGGAACATCACACACCGGGGCCTGTCATGGGGTGCGGGGAGTGGGGAGGGATAGCATTAGGAGATATACCTAATGTAAATGACGAGTTAATGGGTGCAGCACACCAACATGGTGCATGTATACATATGTAACTAACCTGCACGTTGTGCACATGAACCCTAGAACTTAAAGTATAAAAAAAAAAAAATCAAGACTTCAGGAAACAATGGACACACTTATGGAAATGCAAAACGCTCTGGAAAGTCTCAGCAATAGAATCAAACAAGCAGAAGAAAGAACTTCAGAGCCTGAAGATAAGGTTTTCGAGTTAACCCAATCCAACAAAGAAAGAAAAAAGAACAAGAAAATATGAACAAAGCCTCCAAGAAGTCTGGGATTATGTTAAATGACCAAACCTAAGAATAATTGGCATTTTTGAAGAAGAGAAATCTAAAAGTCTGTAAAACATATTTGGGGGAACAATCAAGAAAAACTTCCCCAGCCTTGCTAGAGACCTAGACATCCAGATACAAGAAGCTCAAAGAACACCTGGGAAATTCATCCCCAAAAGATCATCGCCTAGGCACATTGTCATCAGGTTATCTAAAGTTAAGACAGAGAAAAGAATCTTAAGAGCTATGAGGCAAAAGCACCAGGTAACCTATAAAGGAAAACCTATCAGATTAACAGCAGATTTCTCAGCAGAAACCGTACAAGCTAGAATGGATTGGTGCCCTATCTTCAGCCTCCTTAAGCAAAATGATTACAAGCCAACTCTTTTGTATCCAGTAAAACTAAGCTTCATAAATGAAAGAAACATACAGTCTTTTCCAGACAAATGCTGAGAGAATTTGCCACTACCAAGCCAGCACTACAAGAACTGCTAAAGGGAGCTCTAAATCTTGAAACAAATCCTGGAAAGACATCAAAACAGAACCTCTTAAAAGCATAATCTCACAGGACCTATAAAACAAAAATACAATTAAACAAAAAGCCAAGCTATACAGGCAACAAATAGGATGATGAATGAAACAGCACCTCGCATCTCAATACTAATGTTGAATGTAAATGGCCTAAAGCCTCCACTTAAAAGATACAGAATTGCAGAATGGGTAAGAATTCACCAACCAAGTATCTGCTGCTTTCAAGAGATCCACCTAACACATAAGGACTCACATAAACTTAAGGTAAAGGGGTGGAAAAAGACATTTCATGGAAATGGACACCAAAAGGGAGCAGGAGTAGCTATTCTTATATCAGACAAAACAAACTTTAAAGCAATAGCAATTAAAAAGGCAAAGAGGGACATTATATAATGATAAAAGGCCTTGTCCAACAGGAAAATATCACAACCCTAATTATATATGCACCTAACACTGGAGCTCTCAAATTTATAAGACAATTACTACTAGACCTAAAAAAAGAAATAGACAGCAACACAATAATAGTGGGGAACTTCAGTACTCCACTGACGGCACTAGACAGGTCATCAAGACAGAAAGTCAACAAAGAAACAATGGATTTAAACTATACCCTGGAACAAATGGACTTAATGGATATTTACAGAACATTCTACCCAACGACTGCAGAATATATTCTATTTAACAGCATATGGAACTTTCTCCAAGATAGACCATATGATAGGCCACAAAACAAGCCTCAATAAATTTAAGAAAACTGAAATTATACTAAGCACTCTCTCAGACCACAGTGAAATAAAACTGGAAATCAACTCCAAAAGGAATCTTCAAAACCACACAAATACATGGAAATTAAATAACCTGCTCCTGAATGATCACCGGGTCAACAATGAAATCAAGATGAAAATTTAAAAATTCTTCGAACTGAACAACAGTGATCTATAAAAACCTCTGGGATACAGCAAAGGCAGTGCTAAGAGGAAAGTTCATAGCCCTAAACACCTACATCAAAAAATCTGCAAGAGCACAAACAATCTAAGGTCACACCTCAAGAAGCTAGCAAAACAAGAACAAACCAAACCCAAACCCAGCAGAAGAAAGGAAATAACCAAGATCAGTGCAGAACTAAATGAAATTGAAACAAAAAATATATACAAAAGATAAATGAAACGAAAAGCTGGTTCTTTGAAAAAGAAATAAGGCCAGGTGCAGTGGCTCACGCCTGTAATCCCAGCACTTTGGGAGGCCGAGGTGGGTGGATCACGAGGTCAGGAGTTCGAGACCAGCCTGGCCAATATGGTGAAACCCCATCTCTACTAAAAATACAAAAATTAGCCAGGCATGGTGGCATGCGCTGGTAGTCCCAGCTACTCGGGAGGCTGAGGCAGAAGAATCGCTTGAACCCAGGAAGCGGAGGTTGCAGTGAGCCAAGATCGCACCACTGCACTCCAGCCTGGGTGACAGAGCAAGACTTCCTCTCACAAAAAAAAAAAAAGAGAGAGAAAATTGATAGACCATTAGTAAGATTAACCAAGAAAAGAAGAGAGGAAATCCAAATAAGCTCAATTAAAAATGAAATGGAAGATATTACAATTGACATCACAGAAATACAAAAGATCATTCAAGGCTACTAAAAACATCCTTACACGTATAAACTAGAAAACCTAGCGGAGATGGATAAATTCCTGGAAAGATACAACCCTCCTTCTTAAATCAGGAAGAACCAGATACTCTGAACAGACCAATAACAGGCAGCGAGACTGAAATGGTAATAAAAGAATTACCAACCAAAAAAATCCAGGACCAGATGGATTCACAGCTGAATTCTACCAGACATTCAAAGAATTGGTACCAATCCTATTGACACTATTCCACAAAATAGAGAAAGAGAGAATCCTCTCTAAATCATTCTATGAAGCCAGTATCACCCTAACACCAAAACAAGGAAAGGACATAACTAAAAAAGAAAACTAGACCAATATCCTTGATGAACATAGATGCTAAAATCCTTAACAAAATACTAGCTAACCGAATCCAACAACATATCGAAAAGATAGTCCACCATGATCAAGTAAGTTTCAAACCAGGAATGCAGGGGTGGTTTAACATATGCAGGTCAATAAATGTGATACAATACATAAACAGAATTAAAAACAAAAATCACATGATCATCTTAATAGATGCAGAAAAAGCATTAGACAAAATCTAGCATCCCTTTATAATTAAAACTCTCAGCAAGATTGGCATACAAGGGACATAACTCAATGTATTAAAAGCCATCTATGACAAACCCATAGCCAACATCAGACTGAATGGGAAAAAGCTGAAAGCATTCCCTCTGAGAACTGGAACAAGACAAGGATACCCACTGTCACCACTTCTCTTCAACATAGTACTGGAAGTCCCAGCCAGAGCACTTCTCAACATAGTACTGGAAGTCCCAGCCAGAGCAATCAGACAAGGGAAAGAAATAAAGGGCATACAAATCCATAAAGAGGAAGTCGAATTGTCACTGTTTGCTGATGATATGATTGTATACCTAGAGAACCCTAAAGACTCCTCCAAAAAGCTCCTAGAACTGATAAAATAATTCAACAAAGTTTCCGGATACAAAATTAATGTACACAAATCAGTAGCTCTCCTATACACCAACAGCAACTAAGCTGAGAATCAAATCAAGAACCCAACCCCTTTTACAATAGCTGCAAAAGAAATAAAATACTTAGGAATACACCTAACCAAGGAGGTGAAAGACCTCTACAAGGAAAACTATAAAACACTGCTGAAAGAAATCATAGATAACACAAACGAGTGGAAACACAAACATTCTACCCATGGATGGGTAGAATCAATATTGTAAACATGCCCATACTGCCAAAAGCAATCTACAAATTCAATGCAATTCCCATCAAAATACCACCATCATTCTTCACAGAACTAGAAAAAACAATCCTAAAATTCACATGGAATCAAAAAAGAGCCCACATAGCCAAAAGCAAAACTAAGCAAAAAGAACAAATCTGGAAGAATCACATTACCTGATTTCAAACTATACTATAAGGCCATAGTCACCAAAACAGCGTGGTACTGGCATAAAAACAGGCACATAGACCAATGGAACAGAATAGAGAACTTTGGGTTCAAATAAACCCAAATACTCACAGCCAACTGATCTTTGACAAAACAAACAAAAACAAAGTGGAGAAAGGACACCCTTTTAACAAATGGTGCTGGGATACCTGGCTAACCACATATAGGAGAATGAAACTAGATCCTCATCTCTTACCCTATACAAAGATCAACTCAAGATGGATTAAGGACTTAAATCTAAGACCTGAAACTATAAAAATTCTAGAAGATAACATCAGAAAAACTCTTCTAGACGTTGGCTTAGGCAAGAATTTCATGACCAAGAACCCAAAAGCAAATGCAATGAAAACAAAGATAAATAGCTGTGACTTAATTAAACTAAAGAGCTTTTGCATAGCAAAAGGAACAGTCAGTAGAGTGAAGAGACAACCCAGAGAATGGGAGAAAAATCTTCAGTATCTATACATCTGACAAAGGACTAATATTAAGAATCTACAATGAGCTCAAACAAATTAGCAAGAAAAAAACGAACCCATCAAAGAGTGGGCTAAGAACATGAATAGACAATTCTCGAAAGAAGATATACAAATGGCCAACAAACATATGAAAAATGCTCAACATCACTAATGATCAGGGAAATGCAAATCAAAACCACAATGCAATACCACCTCACTTCTGCAAGAATAGCCATAATCAAAAAATCAAAAAAAAGAATAGATGTTGGCATGGATACAGTAAACAGGGAACACTTCTGCATTGCTGGTGGGAATGTAAACTAGTACAGCCACTATGGAAAACAGTGTGAAGATTCCTTAAAGAACTAGATCTACCATTTGATCCGGCAATCCCACTACTGGGTATCTACCCAGAGGAAAAGAAGTCATTATAGGAAAAAGATACTTGCACATGCACGTTTATAGCAGCACAATTCACAATTGCAAAAATGTGGAACCAACCCAAATGCCCATCAATCAACAAGTGAATAAAGAAACTGTGGTATAGGCCGGGCGCGGTGGTTCACGCCTGTATTCCCGCACTTTGGGCGGCCAAGGCGGGCGGATCACGAGGTCAAGAGATCGAGACCATCCTGGCCAACATGGTGAAACTCTGTCTCTATTAAAAATATAAAAATTAGCCGGGCATGGTGGCAGGCGCCTGTAGTCCCAGCTACTCGGGAGGCTGAGGCAGGAGAATCGCTTGAACCTGGGAGGCGGAGGTTGCAGTGAGCCTAGATTGCACCATTGCACTCCAGCCTGGGCGACAGAGTGAGACACTGTCTCAAAAAAAAAAAGAAAGAAACTGTGGTGTATATATACACAATGGAATACTACTCAGCCATAAAAAGGAATGAATTAATGGCATTCGCAGCAACCTGGAGGAGACTGTAGATTATTATTCCAAATGAAGTAACTTGGGAATGGAAAACCAAACATCATATGCTCTCACTCGTAGGTGGGAGCTAAGCTACAAGGAGGCAAAGGCATAAGAATGACACAATGGACTTTGGGGACTCGGGGAAAGGGTGGGAAGAGGGTGAGGGATAAAAGACTACAAATTGGGTGCAGTGTATACTGCTTGAGTGACGGGTGCACCAAAATCTCACAAATCACCGCTAAACAATTTACCCATGTAACCGAACACCACCTGTTCCCCAATAACCTATGGAAATAAAAAATTTAAAAAATAATAATTTGAAAATTATTAAAAGGGAAGCAAAAAAAAATTCAGCCCCCCCCCCCAAACAAACAATGCCCAATGTCTGGCATCTAATCAAGAATTACCAGGTTGGGTTTGGTCAATGGGAAGCAAAATAATAAAAATTAAATTTAAAAAATTGCCAAGCATGCAATGAGCAGAGACCTGGGACTCACAATGAGGAGGGTAAAGCCGACCCACAGAGACAAACGCAGACATGACACAGATGACAGAATTCGTAGGCAGGGACAGGAAAACAGTCAGCATAAATAAAATCCCTATGTGCACGAAAGCAGAGGAAGACAGTGGCCGGTTAAGAAGAGACATGGAGATTTAAAAAGACCCAAATCAATGAGGCCGATGAGGGCTGCTCTGTAGGGAAGCGACGTGTGGTTCTCTGTGCACTGCTGCTCCCGTGCCTCAGGAAAGGATCACGTCTCCCCCCAAGACTCCTCGGAAAGGCCAGTTGGCTCAGCAGAACCACAAACCCAAGCAGAGGGGCTGGCTCATCTCTGCAGCTTGACCTGTGCTGTACATAAAAGAACAGGAGGACAAGAATAACGGAGGCAACCGTGACGATGAAGGCAGAACCGGAGGCCTCGCACTACCCATCTCCAGACCTCTCCAAGGGCACCTTAGTAAAGATGCGGGCACTGGGATAAGAACAGACAAGACTCAGGATTCACTCCAGAGCTCAGGAGCCGACCAGCATGTGAGCAGTCGCTGGTCTGTGATGCAGGCAACACTGTGAGGCACTGGGCAAAGGCAGTCTTTTTTCTCAATAGTGCTGAGTTAACTGGACATTCACACAGAAAAATATAGCTTGCTCCTACCATAGACAAAAAATCATTTTCCAATGGATTGCAGATAACAATGTGAAAGGTAAAACAATAATCTTATAGAAGCAAACATAGGAGAAATAAATCCTGGGTTTACAAATAAGTGTGAGTTCACATATAAAATGATCTTTGACAAGGGTACTAAGTAAGACTACTCAATGGGGAAATGATAGTCTTTCAATAAATGATGCTGGGAAAACTGGATGTCCACATGCAAAAGAATGAAGTTGGACCCTTACCTTACACCCTATGCAAAAGTTAACCTAAAATGGATCAAAGACCTAAACATAAGACCTTAAAGTACAAAACTCTAGAAAAAAAATTAAGGCAAAAGTTTCATGACACTTAGGGGATGATCTCTTGAATATGACATCAGTGCAGAGGCAATAAGAGTAAAAATAGATAAACTGGACTATGGCAAAATTAAAAACTTTTGTGCATCACAGGGCATAATCAACAGGCTGAAAGGACAAACTGTGGGATGAGAGAAAATATTTGCAAATCCTATCTCATAAGGGGTTCATGTCCAGGATATATAAAGAATTCCTATAACTTGGCCGGGCATGGTGGCTCTCGCCTGTAATCCCAGCACTTTGGGAGGCTGAGGTGGGCAGACTGCTTGAGGTTGGGAGTTCGAGACCAGCCCGGTCAACATGGTGAAACCTTGTCACTACTAGAAAAAAAAATTAGCTGGGCATGGTGGCACATGCCTGTAGTCCTAGCTACTCAGAAGGCTGAGACAGGAGAATCGCTTGAACCTGGGAAGCAGAGGTTGCAGTGAGCTGACATTGCACCACTGCACTCCAGCCTGGGTGACAGAGAGAGACTCCATCTTAAAAAAAAAAAAAAAAAAAAAAAAAAAAAAAAAAAATCCTATAACTTGACAGCAAGAAAATAAATAATCTGATCTTAAAATTAGGAAGGATTTGAATACACATTTCTCCAGAGAAGATATACAAATGGCCAATAAGCACATAAAAAGGTGTTCAACATCACAAATTGTCAGGAAAGTGCAAATCGAAACCACTATGCAACGCCACCTCACACCCATTAGGATGGCTATGATCAAAAACCAAAAAATAACAAGTATTAGTAAGGGTGTACAGAAATTGGAAGCCTGGTACACTGTCGGCAGAAATGTCAAATGGTGCAGCCACTGTGGAAAACAGCATGATGGATCCTCAAAAGAAATCTTTTTGAGTGGGGTCTCACACTGTTGCCCAGGCTGGAGCGCAGTGATGACTGTAGCTCACTGCAGCCTCCAACTTCTGGGCTCAAGCAATTATCCTGCGTCAGCCTCCTGAGTAGCTGGGATTACAGGTGTGAGCCACCATGCCACCTCAAAATATTAAAAACAGAATTGAAAGCGGGGTCTGGAAGACACATTTGTCCACCTGTGTTCACAGCAGCAGTATCCACCATGGCCTAGAGGCAGACGCCACCCACCCAAATGTCCCTTGACAGATGAATGGATAAGCAAGATGTGGTCTACACACAAGATGGAACACGATTCAGCCTTAAGAAGGAAGAAAATTCTGATACGTGCCGCAACACGGAGGCATGAGGTCTTTGGAACAAACTCATAGAAACAGAAAATGGAAGGTGGCTGCCAGGGCCTGGACGAGGGGAAGTGAGGAGCTGTTCAATGGGGACAGAGTTTCAGTTTTACAAGATGAGAAAGTTCTGGATATTGGTTTCACAATAATGTGAATATACTTCACACTACTGAAGTGCACACTTAAAAATGGCTAAGATGGTAAAACTTATGTCTATTTTACCACAGTTAAAATTTAAAAACTGGTGGCATATTCGTGTTCCATGTACGAATCTTGATTCTTTTATATGTAAATAGTGTCAACCCTCCTGGCTTGTTTCCATGTTGGTATCTCTGCAGCCAACTGCTGGCATGTGTGTGTAAATAAACAACTTTCAATCCTCAAAACAACAAAAACGAAAATGCATGCCCTCCAGTGCTACCGCTGAAATCTGCTAACAACCAGAAGTACAAGAGATGAGACCCAGGAAAGGCAGTGGGGCCAGAGCCTGGAATGAGCCCCAGCCCAGACTTCAGGGAAAACAGCAAGAGGCAGCAAATGGACCCATCTAATATGGGGAACTCTATGTGAATTTGTCATGGCAGCAAGAGAAAACAAATGCAGATCCCACCACCAGAAGCGAGGCTACCGGGGTCCACAGACCCCAGCGCTGTGGGGCTGGGCCGTCCGCTCCCAGGCCAGGTGCCCACGTTGCGGGGGCCACTGTAAGCCGGGCCCAGGCCTCGGCAGCTGGCTGTGGGGGTCTCCTGGAAGCCGCAGGTGCCAGGAGAGAGGGTGACGGGGCAGGAGTGGGCATTTGGGTCACTCCCATGCGCCGCTTGTCTGAGCCTTCAGGGCCACCCACCAGCCCTGCGCTGCGCCTGACGGCCTGTGCAGTCAGACAACACCGGCTCGTGACGGGCAGCTCAGGGCGCACGGCGGCCACGGCCAATCATCCGGCCCCCTAGGCCTGGCAGCCAGCACAGTGGCAGCACGACAGAAGAGGAACACGCTCGGGGGAGGTTCTGGCGGCCGGGCCAAGGGAGCAGCTTCAAACGGGCCTGGGGGGAAAGCTGCAAACTTTGTTTCAAACAGAAAAACAATTCTCTAGTCCAAATAATGCAGTTTTACCCAACTGGAAAAGAAACCCCAAAACCTCAGGAGTAGCTACATGATTGAACAGGAGCACATGGCCAGAAACGGGACCCCCCCCCCCCCCCGCCCCCAGAGAAGGTCCCTGGGCTCAGTGGGAAAGGGGGCGTGTTATGCGCAGGGAATGGGATGCTGGGCTGCTGACTTGAGGAGAAATGAATCTATGGATCATTGCCTTTCTACCTTAAAATTCTAAATGGATTAAAGGGAATTAAAGGTGAAAAAAGTCAAAGCATTAAAACCACTGGGAAAAAGCAAAAGCGAGCATTTTTCAAATCTCTGGAGAGGAGAGGCCTTTCTAGGCTTAAAAAAGATAAAAGGAATATACAAAAGGAAAAAAAAATGTCCCAGCAAATGAAATCCTTCCACATCTTTATTATAAATGTGTGATGCAACTGAGAGGCTAGAAACCAGTCGAAATAATCTTTGCAGTAAATACAACAAAAAGCATCTTTACTATATCAGGAGGTTGTGAAATGTAATAACAAACCAATAAGTTCTCACTAGATAAACTGGTAACTATCAAAAGAGGTAATTTACAAACAAGGTAACAAAAGTCTTTTTAAAAACACAAGAGGCTGGGTGAGGTGGCTCACACCTGTAATCCCAGCACTTTGGGAGGCCAAGACGTGCGGATCACCTGAGCCCAGGAGTTCGAGACCAGCCTGGCCAACATAGTGAAACCCCGTCTCTACTAAAAATACAAAAATTAGCCAGGTGTGGTGGCACATGCCTGTAGTCTCAGCTACTCAGGAGGCTGAGGCGGGAGAATCTCCTGAACCTGGGAGGTGGAGGTTGTAGTGAGCCGAGACCATGCCATTGCGCTCCAGCCTGGGTGACAGAGTGAGACTCCATCTCAAAAATAAAAAATTAGCTGGGCATGGTAGCGGGCACCTGTAATCCCAGCTACTCTGGAGGCTGAGGCAGGAGAATCACTTGAACCCAGGAGGTGGAGGTTGCAGTGA
Source organism: Homo sapiens (assembly GCF_000001405.40). NCBI lineage: Eukaryota > Metazoa > Chordata > Mammalia > Primates > Hominidae > Homo > Homo sapiens. The sequence continues at coordinate 132,077,722 of NC_000010.11, read as the reverse complement.
GCTGAGATCGTGCCATTGCACTCCAGCCAGGGCAACAAGAGTGAAACTCTGTCTCAAAAAAACACAAGAAAACCACCTCCGCTTAAGATGTAGAAAATCACAAGAGAATGTCACTCCCATCCTGGAAACAAATAAAGCCACCTCATCTACATAATCATGTCTTTCCTGGAGTCCATTGATGAGCTCCAGGCCCCCGAGGGGCTGAATTCCAAATGGTGACAAACCCTCAAATGGCCCAGGTTCCCCACAGTCAGCTGAACACAGGAGACAGTGGGCGAGGACTCTTCGGGCCCCCTGTGGCCCAGTGTGCCCTTCAGAAGAGCTGGGACCAAGTTCTCAGATAGGGGAGGGCACCAGGCACTCACAGGAAGGGCTGAGAGAGAGCAGAAGACGGGAAGTGGCCCCAGGTGCAGGTACCGGACACCCCCTGCCCAGAACCCTCTTTCGGACAAAGCCACTGGGGGAAGCACAGCAAACCCTCTCCCCAGGTCACCGGGAGAGGGGGAAGCAGAGGCCCTCTTCTTCCTGGATCTACCCCTTCTAGGCTAAGCGTGGAAGCAAAACCCTTTTGCTCACGAGCAAGGAGAGGAAGCCGTGTGGGCAGAAGTTGGCTGCCACTTGGGGAAGAGCAGAAAACTCTCACACGCTGGGGTGGAGGCTGCCTGAAGACAGTGTGGCCACCACAGACCTGGGGCCACCACAGACCAGCCCTCACGCGGTAAGACCCAGGGCCACCACAGGCCAGCCCTCAATCAGTCAGACCCGGGGCCACCGCAGGCCAGCCCTCACACTGCTGTCAGATCCGGGGCCACCACAGTCCGGCCCTTAATCAGTCAGACCCGGGGACACCGCAGGCCAGCCCTCACGCAGTAAGATCCGGGGCCACTGCAGGCCAGTCCTCATGCCATCATACCTGGGGCCACCGCAGGCCAGCCCTCAGTCAGACCCGGGGCCACCTCAGGCCAGTCTTCAGTCAGTCAGACCAGGGGACACTGCAGGCCAGTCCTCACACGGTAAGACCCGGGGCCACCGCAGGCCAGTCCTCATGCCATCAGACCCGGGGCCACCACAGGCCAGCCCTCAATCAGTCAGACCCAGGGTCACCGCAGGCCAGTCCCATGCCGTCAGACCTGGGGCCCCACAGGCCAGCCCTCACACCATTGGAACTGGGGCCACCATAGGCCAGCCATCCACCCCTAGGTGTAAACCCAAGAGAACGGAAACACAAGTCCACACAAAAACACACACAGGTATGTTCACGGCAACGTGACTCACAATTGCCAAAAAGCGGAAATGACCCAAACGTCAGTCAACTCGTGAACAGATAAACAAAAACGGTCTATCCACGTGATAGGATATTATTCCAGCAATGAAAAGGAATGAAATCCTAACGCATATGACAACACAGATGAACTCGGAAAACCCCACGCTAAGTGAAAGCAGCCAGACACAAAAGGCCACAGAGTGTATGATTCCATTTATGTGAAAGGTGCAGAAGAGGCGAATTTACAGAGGAAGAAGGGAGATGCGTGGCTGTCAGGGACTGGGGGCAGGGAGGGGTGGGGAGTGACTGCTCAAGGGTTCAGAGTTCCTTCTGGGGGCGATGGAAATGTTCTGAATTTGTGGTGGTGGTTGTGCAACTCTGTAAATGCACTACGATCCCGTGAATGCACACTTGAGTGGACAAACTGTGTGGTATGTGAGTTACATTTTATTAAAGCTGTTACCAAAAAAACAAAAAACGAGAAGTAAACATTTCCAGACAGATACAAGTTGAAAGGAGTTGTGGCCCACAGACCTACACTACAAAAACTGCTAAGGAAGTTCCTCAGGGGAGGAGGTGTTGTCAAATGGAAACTGAATTTACACAAAGAAACGAAGCATTCTCAAAACAGCAAAAAATGGGGGTATATAAAAAGACTTTTTTATTTTTATTCATTTGGAAGGATAAGAGATTATGAACAGAAAAACCAGCAACAAGGCACTGGAGGCTTCCTAACATATATAGAAGTATCTGAGGCAGGGCGTGGTGTATTACAGGCATGAGCACTTTGGGAGGCCAAGGCGGGCAGATCACCTGAGGTCAGTAGTTTGAGACCAGCCTGGCCAATGTGGCAAAACCCTGCCTCTACTAAAAATATATAAATTAGCCCAGTGTGGTGGTGCATGCCTGTAATCCCAGCTACTCGGGAGGCTGAGATTGAAGGATCACCTGAACCTGGGAGGCAGAGTTTGCAGTGAGCCAAGATCACACCACTGCAGCACTCCAGCCTGGGTGACAGAGTGAGACTGTCTTTAAAAAAAAAAAAAAAAAAGAGGTGAAGTATATGAAAGCAATAGCAAAAAAAAAAAATGGAAAAATTTAAAGGGAGCATTATTTCTTCAAGAAGGACTGTGAAAAGCTGTAAATTTGAAAACCCTAAAGCAAACACTAAAAATTCAGTTAAAAGAGAAGTATAATCCATACTGCCCAAAGCAATCTACAGATTCAATGCCCTCTATCAAATTACCAACATCATTTTTCACAGAATTAGAAAAAACAACCTTAAAATTAATATGGAGTTCAAATGGCCAAGAGAATCCTAAGGAAAAAGAACAAAGCTGGAGGCATCATATTACCTGATTTCAAATTATACTACAAAGTTATAGTAACCAAAACAGCATGGTGCTGGTATAAAATAGACACATAGATCAATGGAACAGAATGGAGAATCTAGAAATAAAGCCACTTACCTACAACCAGCTGATCTTCAACAAAGTCAACAAAAACATGCACTGGGGAAATGACACCCTTTTCAATAAATGGTGCTGGGAAAAATGGATAGCCATAATTCAGAAGAATGAAACTGGACCCATACCTCTCATCATATGCAAAAATTAACTCAAGATGGATTAAAGACCTAAAAGTAAGACTGAAAACTATAAAAATCCTAGAAGAAAACCTAGGAAAACTCTTCTGGACATTGGCCTAGGCAAAGAATTCATGACTGAGTCCGCAAAAACAAACTCAACTAAAACAAAAATAGACAAATGGGACTTAAACTAAAATGTTTCTGCACAGCAAAAGAAACGATTGACAGAGTAGACAGACAATCTAAAGGATGGGAGAAAATATCTGCAAACTATGCATACGACAAAGAGCTAATATCCAGAATCTACAAGGAACCCCAAGAACTCAACCAGAAAAAAACCCATTAAAAAGTGGGCAAAGGATAGATATAAACACATTATTCAAAAGACAGACAAACTGCCAATAAATATATGAAAAAATGTTCAATGTCAGTAATCACCAGAGAAATGCAAATCAAAACCACAATGAGATACCATCTCACACCAGTCAGAATAGCTATTATTAAAAAGTCAAAAAATGGGGCCAGGTGCCATGGCCCACACCTGTAATCCCAGCACTTTGGGAGGCCAAGGTGGGTGGATCACTTGAGGCCAGGAGTTCGAGACCAGCCTGACCAACATAGTAAAACCCCATCTCTACTAAAAATATAAAAATTAGCTGGGCATGGTGGCACATGCCTGTAATCCTAGCTATTCAGGAGTCTGAGGCAGCAGAATCCCTTGAACCCAGGAGGCAGAGGTTGCAATGAGCCGAGATTGTGCCACTGCACTCCAGCCTGAGTGGCAGAGCCAGACTCTGTCTCAAAAAAACAAAACAAAACAAAAGTCAAAAAATAGCAGATGTTGGTGAGGATGCAGACAAAAGGGAACTCTTGTACGCTGCTGGTGGGAATGTAAATTAGTACAACCTCTATGGAAAACCGTATGGAGATTTCTCAAAGAACTAAAAGTAGAACTGCCATTTGATCCAGCAATCTCAACATTGGGTATCTACCCAACAGGAAAGAAATAATTATATAAGAAAGATATCAGCACCCATATGTTTCTTGCAGCACTATTCACAATAGTAAAGATAGGCCAGGTGTGGTGGCTCACACCTGTAATCCTAGCACTTTGGAAGGCCAAGGCAAGTGGACTGCTTGAGCCCAGGAGTTCAAGACCAGCCTGGGCAATGGGGTAAAACCGAGTCTTTACAGAAAAGACAAAAAAATAGCCAGTTATGGTGGTGTACACCTATAGTCCAAGCTACTTAGAAGGCTGAGGTAGGAGAATCGCTTGAGCCCGGGAGGTCAAGGCTGAAGTGAGCTGAGATCGCATCACTGCACTTCTGCCTGGGCAACAGAGCAAGATCCTGTCTCAAAAAAAAAAAAAAAAAAAAAGTAAAGATAGGCCGGGCGCAGTGGCTCACGCCTGTAATCCCAGCACTTTGGGAGGCTGAGGTGGGTGGATCACAAGGTCAGGAGATTGAGACCATCCTGGCTAACATGGTGAAACCCCGTCTCTACTGAAAATACAAAAAATTAGCCAGGCCCGGTGGCAGGCGCCTGTAGTCCCAGCTACTCAGGAGGCTGAGGCAGGAGAATGGCATGAACCTGGGAGGCAGAGCTTGTAGTGAGCCGAGATAGCGCCACTGCAGTCTGGCCTGGGCGAAAGAGCAAGACACCATCTCAGAAAAAAGGAAAAGAAAAGAAAAGAAGATCAAAGTGTCCATCAGTGGAGGATTGGATAAAAATTTGTGTTCTACATACACACACACAACATGGAATACTACTCAACCACAAAAAAGAATGAAATCATGTCTTTTGCAGAAACATGAATAGAACTAGAGGCTATTATCCTGAATGAAATAACTCAGAAACAGAAAGTCAAATAAATACACGTTCTCACAAGTGGGAGCTAAATGATGGGAACACACGGACAGACAGAGTGGAACAGATACTGGAGACTATAAAAGGTGGAAGGGTGGGAGGGGTGAGGGTTGAAAAATTAGCTATTGGATACAGTGTTCACTATTCAGGTAATGGGGACACTGATAGCCCAGCCGTCGCCACTGTACAATATACATATGTAAGAAATCTACACGTGTACCCTAAAGAAATAAAAATAAAAATTTTAAAAAGAGAGGTATAATGAATAGAGGCCAAGAATGGAGATAAAATAGGATCATAAAAAATACTTAATACAAAGAAGGCAAGAAGAGATAATATTAACAGAAAATAAATAGCAGAAAGCTAGATCTAAATCCAATCGCATCACTAAATATTAAATGTAAATGGGCTAAACAACATAGTTGAAAGGCAAATATTTTCAGATTAAAGTTTTATTTATTTATTTATTTGAGACAGGCTGTTGATCTGTCCCCCAGGTTGGAGTGCTATGGTACGATCATGGCTCACTGCAGCCTTGAACTCCTGGGATCAAGTGATCCTCCAGCCTCAGCCTCCCAAGTAGCTGGGACTATACCACACTACAGCTAATTTTTTAATTTTTTGTAGAGACTGGGTTTCACTATGTTACCCAGGCTGGTCTCAAATTCCTGAGCTCAAGTGATCCTCCCACCGCAGCCTCCCAAAGTGCTGAGATTACAGGCATGAGCCACAGCACCCAGCCTAAACGTTTTAAAAAGGCGAGAATCTACTTTATGCTTTCTGCAAGAAACCCACTTTAGGCCAGGTGTGGTGGCTCATGCCTGTAATCCCAGCATTTTGGGAGGCTGAGGCCGGCGGAACCCTGTTTCAACTAAAAGTATAAAAATTAGCCGGGCATGGTGGTGCATGCCTGTAATCCCAGCTACTCGAGAGGCTGAGGCAGGAGAATCACTTGAACCTGGGAGGCAGAGGTTGCAGTGAGCCGAGATCGTGCCATTGCACTCCAGACTGGGTGACAGAAGTAAAACTCCATCTCAAAAAAGAAAGGAAAGAAAGAAAGGAAAAAAAGGAAAGAAAGGAAGGAAAGGAAGGAAGGAAGGGAAGAAAGAAAGGAAAGAAAGAAAGGAAGGAAAGAAAGAAAGGAAAGAAAGGAAAGAAAGAAAGGAAAGGGAAGAAAGGAAAGAAAAGAAAGGAAAGGAAAGAAGGAAGGAAGGAAGGAAAGAAAGAAAAAAGAAGAAACCCACTCTAAATATAAAGGCATAGACAGGTTAAAAATAAACAGTTGCAAAACGTTATACAGGGACAACAAGAGCTATACATAATGATACAGGAGTCAATACATTGAGAAGACATGCCAATCCTAAATCTATATGTACCCCAAATACATACAACAAAAATAATAGAAACAGAAGTAGAAACAGGGATATTCACAATCATATTGGAGACATTAACACTCATCCCTCTAAGAGATGAAAGCAGTGCAGAGAAAATTGGTAAGGATATTCACTTCCTAGGACTGAAAAAGCAGCAAGAGAAAATTTGTAAGGACACAGAAGATTTCAACACCACCATTAACCAAGTGGATCTGACTGGCATTTGTGGGATATACCACCCAACCATAGCAGAATATGTAGTATTTTGATGCACACATAAAACATTCATCAAAATAGACTATTTGCTGGGTAATAAAACAAATCTCAACAAAGTTAAAATAACTGAAATTATCCAAAGTACGTTCTCTGGCCAAAAAGAAATTGAACGAGAAATACGTAATAGAAAGATATCAAGAAAAAAGGAAACATCTGGATTAAAACACACACACACACACACACACACACACACACTTTTAAATGACCCATAGGTGAAAGAAGAAATCATAACGAAGTTATAAAAATATTTTGAACTGAATGAAAATACAAGAACAACATACCAGAAGTTGCAGGACACAGCTAAAGTGGTATAAAGAGAAAAAGTTATGGCAATAAAGGCTTATACTGGAACACAGGAAAGGTCTCCAATCATAATCTAATCCTAGTTTATGCTTTCATCTTAAGAACATAGAAAAAAGAAAAGTAAATGCAAAGTAAGCGAAATAGAAATAATAGAGATCCTTCTGCATGGATGGGAGCTGCAAGCCCAGCGCTTGTGTCTGAGCGTGGCTGTCAGCTGGAGAAGAAACCATCTCCTCTCTTCCTGAGTTTGCTCCAGCCAGCACTGCAGCTGCCCCAAAACTATGACATGTGCCACCATGCCCAGATCATAGGGCCTTTGGGGGCTCTTTTAAAAGTCATAAAGACTAAGCTCTTCTTAAAGTACACAAGCATCTGTGAAAACTGAAAAGGAAGGTACCAAGGTCTGTTTCGGAAGCTGGACTCCCCTCCCCTTTGGACTTCAGGAATGAGTAGACAAACGCATCTACATAAAAGGAAGAGGGTCAAAAGGCCTTCTAGGAGCTCCACTGCTTCACACAGCAAAGATCACGCATGGGATTAAGGATCTGAAGACATCAAAAAGCAGCAGAGGGTAAGAAGTGCTGTTAAAGGGAGGACAGAGGACAGGTCGGGCGCGGTGGCTCACGCCTGTAATCCCTGCACTTTGGGAGGCTGAGGCAGGCGGATCACCTGAGATCAGGAGTTCAAGACCAGCCTGACCAACATGGCGAAACCCCATCTCTACTAAAAATACAAAATTTAGCCGGGTGTGGTGGCGGACACCTGTAATTCCAGCTACTCGGGAGGCTGAGGTAGGAGAATTTCTTGAACCAAGGAGGCAGAGGTTGCAGTAAGCCAAGAACGCGCCACTGCACCCCAGCCTGGGCAACAAGAGTGAAACTCTGTCTCAAAAAATAAAAATGCAACTAAAAAAAAAAATGGAAGACAGTGCTGTTTAGACAGAGGTAGATCAGGTGGAGACACTCACTGGGAGTTGGTGCCCGAAGCCCCCACAGGGTGGTACATCAGCAGCCGCACCTCTCACCGCTCCTGATGCCACCGGCCACCTGCCAGCCCCGTGTCACTCTCTAAGGTACAGGGTAGGCTGCAGAACTCCCCATGTGGGTCACACTCTACTGGGGACCGAGCCCCGTCTGTGCTCCCATTGTGCCCTATGCCATCAGTGCCCACACACAGGGTGCTGGTACCAGTGAACATTGGTGGAATGGATAAGCAGCAAGGGCGGGCTCAGGAAGCCCCCACCTTCCCAACCCAACATCACCACCTCACTTTCACACTTTGCTTCTTTTTGCTAAATGTCACTGGAAGGTCCTTCTGTCCATGGTTTCCTCTTCTTCCCACTCTGAGACCAGAGCCATGCTGCAGGCTATCAGGTGCTATGCACCTGCCAATTGCGCTCTTTAATGAAACTCTGAAATGGACATGGCCGCTGGACACAACAGGAGGTTGACCACAGAGACCTGCACGCAGGGGGGGATGCCAGACCTACATGTGAGACAGCTTCAAACAGCAGAGCTTCAGCCCAAGTCCTAACTCCTCCCCATCGGAGCTCATCACCAAAACACCCAGGAGCCCCCTGAGAAGGTTGTCTGGGGGGTCCCTGGTGAAGATGGGATGGATTCCAGGCCCCTTCCTGCTCAGACCCACCCCACCACCATCAGGATAGTACTGGATCTCAGCTTAACACGAAACAGGTCAGTGGGGACCTGGGAAAACGTGTCCTTGGGGGTGTAACACAGACCCAGTGTCCCTTCAGAAGAAAAACCGAGGCCTCCAGACCCCTCCCCTGGCCTCCCACCCCTGGCTGGGTGCTCAGAGTCCTCCTCAGGCAGGAAGACCTGGGGTCCTTCAAAGTCAAAGTAGTCCTGGGTCAACCACCCACCAGGCAGGTGGATGTCTGGGAAGAGCAGCAGCTGGGGAAAGTTTTAATAAGCTCCGTGCCCAGGAAGAATGGCGCCTGGGTAGGATTCCTCCTTACCCAATTAAACACATTGGACCAGTCCAGCTAAAGGCGCTCCCCTCGAACTCAGCCGCAGGCCGAGCACTAAGGCCAGTAAGGTCTGCAAATCCTCCTGATCCAGTCACATCCTTCATCCTGAGCTGGCCGGAGTCACTTTCCCTAGGTTTGAATTCCGGCTTCACTTTGAGGCCCGGTTTTTCTGGAGACCAATTCTCTGTGCCAAGGAGAGGGTTTCCCATGATGCCCCTGCCAGCTGTGCTTGCTTGGAAACTGGCAACCACAGGACATTCCTGATGTCATGTCCTGGGGTCAAAAACCCAAGGCAATCAAGAACTCAGCTCCTGAGAGCCTTCCAGAGGGACCCCAAAGGAAAGTAAGCATGGCCCTTGCCTGCAGCACAGGTTTGATAAATATAAGACGTCTGCAAAGAAAGCAGGCCCAGGCAGCTCCTGGGGCTAAGGTGCAGGACAGGAGACACCTCCAGTCTCCGGCTCCCAAAGCACGTCTACCTCACATCGCTCAAAGCCCAGCTTGGGGTGCCAGACCAACAGGGCTATATTGAGATAAGAAACACCTGCCCAAGAGGTTCATGGATAAGAAACACTTGCCCAAGAGATTCATGGAAGAAGCCTAGGAGGCCAACATAGGCTCTTTCAAAAAGAGTCATCTCAGTGGCTAGTGTCCTGAACTTATTCAATCCCCGTACTAAAGAGGGCCGTTTCAGGGTCCAAATGGAAAATTAACACCACCATCCAGCCACATCCTAGCTTGCCTGTCTGGAAACTCAGGAGTCAAGGAAAAATAAAAAGATATGGCATTGGTCCTGAATGGAATTCAGTTTACAGAAGCCCACAGTCCACACGGAAGCCACAGTGCACACGGAAGCCCACAGTCCACATGGAAGCCCACAGTCCAGACCACGCAGAAACCCACAGTCCACACAGAAACCCACAGTCCAGTCCACACGGAAGCCCACAGTCCAGACCACACAGAAACCCACAGTCCACACAGAAACCCACAGTCCACACGGAAGCCCACAGTCCACACGGAAGCCCACAGTCCACACGGAAGCCCATAGTCCAGTCCACACAGAAGCCCACAGTCCACACGGAAGCTCACAGTCCAGACCACACAGAAACCCAGAGTCCACACGGAAGCCCACAGTCCACACAGAAGCCCAGAGTCCACACAGAAGCCCACAGTCCAGTCCACACGGAAGCCCACAGTCCACACGTAAGCCCACAGTCCACACAGAAGCCCACAGTCCAGTCCACACGGAAGCCCACAGTCCACACGGAAGCCCACAGTCCACACGGAAGCCCAGAGTCCACACGGAAGCCCACAGTCCAGTCCACATGGAAGCCCAGAGTCCACACGGAAGCCCACAGTCCACACGGAAGCCCACAGTCCACATGGAAGCCCACAGTCCAGTCCACACGGAAGCCCAGAGTCCACACGGAAGCCCACAGTACACACGGAAGCCCACAGTCCACACGGAAGTCCACAGTCAAGATCAACCTTCCAAGAACATGTATAGGACACTTACTTCTCTTGGAGGAGCTCGATCCAAAATACGGGGGCAGAGGCACAGCTCTGACTGACAGCTCCCTTGCTGTGGGACCACCACCTGGTCGTTTGGATATTGTTAGTTAGGACCTAAAGTAGTAAGGCCTTCCCAGGGCTGTCGGGAGAGAAGCAGGAGCTCCGTGCATGTTCTCTGCCACAGCGTGCCCTTAGGTTTCACAGGGGTGCCCTCAACTCACAGGAGAGGCAGGGAAACCTCGGGAATAGCAGGAATGCCAATGCCCTCCCCCCACCCTCAGCCTTGGAGAAGGAATGTGAATGTGCCAGGCGTCTTGTCTTCTCCAAGCACATATTGATCATATTGATCTACTCTGTGGGACTCTTAGGGAACCTCATCCAAACGCCAGCCTTTTGCCGGTAATGCTGTGAATGTAAACTGAGGGTCCTTCCTCGGCCCGGCTCACTTTCCTCTTCTGCTGCTCTTCTCGGGAACTGAGGTGGCGTTTTACCACGGACCTGCTCAAAGGCCCGATCCACTGAGAGGACTCTCAAGTCTACTACTCCAGGCTTGGCTTGGAATGAGAAAACCGTTTTGTGACTGGTTCTCCCACACTGTGAACAACAAAATCAACGGCAGCAGCAAGTATTTACATCCCTAGGGTGCCTGCATGGTTTCCCGGCCAGTCTCACTGACATCTCAATAAGCATCAGTACAACAACGTACTGCCAAGTTACCTGTGACACCCTTTCCACCGCAGCCCTGCCAGTCCCAATCAGCAGTGGATTTTCTTTGAACAACTGTAGAAACTGAGGCATGGTGCAATAACCTCAAAGAGTGAATTAGTAAGTTAATAAGCTGTTGTTTCCCAAAAACCTGGAGTTCCTTGCATAAGAAGTTATATCAATGAGTGATGTGTGATTCTTGATTAAGTTTTAAAGAGAAGACACCATCCAATCAATGCGCAGGTAGGTGGTGAGGCCTCAAGCCATAAAGATGACCTATTCTTCAAAAGGAAAACAAGCAGCAAAAAAGTCCAGCCGGTTACCCCACGGAGCCAGGAAGCACCCGGACGCCGCAGGCCTCCCGGGCTGTGCAGACAGCTCTCTGGTGCTATGTCCGTGGGATTCTCACCACAGCCGGCAATACACAGACTCAGCCTGGCTTCCCCAACCCACCCCACCACGGCTGCCGTGCCAACAAGCATCCGCTTTACATATGGGATGGAACACACACCCATGCTTTAAAGGAGAAACCTACTACTGGGAACGCAGGCCCAAGCCTCCTCCAAATGTGTGCATGAGCATGAACGTGAAAACGGATAAATGAAGCATCTTCCTCTGTGATCGTCCCTGCACCCCTCAGAGGACAGACCCCAAACTGTCAACTTTCCAGCCACATACGTGTGCGCACTAAATACAGAAGAGCACCAGGTGGAAAGAGCCTGTGCAGAGACAGCCAAACCGAAACCAACAAAGCCTCTGCAGCAGTCAGAAAATAAACACTCACATTCCAAAGCTCGCTGTCTGCTCCTCTCTCCCATCGCTCTGCTCGACTGTGAGAATCTTTCCCGGCTCGTCCAAGACTCAGTCCGGCTTTTGCGCAAATCAGCTCCGAGCTTCTATGACTCAGCAAAGAGCTCGGCTTTTATTTTTCAGATGGAATTTACCACGCTGTGACTACATCCAGGGGGAGGAACCATTTCCCCGAGCTGTTTCCAAGCAGAGCCCTTGAGCCAGGATCGCCCAAGCTCTCCCTGTGCACCTTAAGGCCAAGCACAGAGGCATCCTCTGAGCCCCCAGCCCAGCTCCCTGCAGGGCGCGAACAGACGCTTCTCGGTGGGGAAGGGGCCCGCAGCTCTGCACGGCCGGGCGGCCGAAGGCACAGCCACGCAGGTGAGATCCTGAAGGCAGCTTGGCTCTATTCAGATGCAGAGGCGGCCTGGGCTCCGGGTTGGCCCGGCGGCAGTCTCACGTGAAAACCAGCGAGCGGCAGAGGCCACGGCTGGGCCATCCCTGCCCTCACCGCCCCCTCGGCTTCCTGGCTGCTCCAGGACCGCGTTCTGGCCGGCTTTCCCTCCTGCTTGGAGAACCCCCTTCAAGATTGCAGAGTGAGCGGGTCAATAATAGGAACGAACTTCCACTCTGAGGGTATCTATTTTAAATGTCAGGTGATAGAAGGGATTTGCACACACTCAACACTGAGGACTGAAAATGCAGACGGGAACCAGACACAGGAGACCAGCAGCATTCCTGTGTGAAGGGCAAGCACGAGAGCTCACCTGGCCCGCCAATCCCACACGCAGTCCATAATCACCGTCCGGAAAAGCCGTGTGACAGCCGCTCTGTAGAAAACGCAGGGTCTGACAGGGTTTCCAAGCAGGAGGCCGCTTAGAGTCCATCTGGGTCCGATTCCATCAAGGCAGCCTTGAGGGCTGCCGGTGCGGGTGGCCTGAAGCTCCTGCCCTGCCCTGTCTCCGGCCACCAGGGCCTGCGCTGAGACTGCATCGGAGCCTGGACCCCAGAGCAGGCCTGCACGCCCAGGTTCTGGGGGTCAGCCTGGGAGGACCCTACATCCCCCCTGCTCCCAGCCCGCTCTGCCTCAGTTCCCTCGCCTGCACCCTGCCTGCCCCCCACAACCTGCCTCTTCTAGTCAAGGCCAAATGTCACTTCACCCCAAAGCTGAGACCGGCAGGCATCACCCCGAGAGGAGCCCACAGAGTGAACGCCGATGATAACATGTCAGAGGATGGCACAGGGCAGGCCAGGACTTCGGGTTACTTCTGCTGTCTGTCTAGATCTGGCCACCCTCATAAGTTAGAGCAAGCAAAAAATTGTCCTGATTAAAACCATGGCCACACGTCTGGCCAAACGTCCAGGGTGATGCAACAACCCTCCAAGGGTCACATGTCCTGACTCGTGTGACGGAGCCGCCCGCTGTCCCTGGTTACCAACCATCGCTGCCTCTATGTCACAGGGGAGGAGGCTGGAGCGCCAAGAGGCCATGCGGCTGCCCCACAATCACATCCCTGTCAGGTCCCGGAGCTGGATTCAGACCCGGAACGGTGGGTCGGAGATCCAGACCCCTCCCGTGTTGCCCTGAAGCAAAGAGGGTTCCCATGCCGGCGGCTCGGGGTCCACGCCCGACCCCGAGGGTGGCTCCTCCTCAGTCGGAGGCAGGCCACGGGGACAACCTTCCTGACGAGGGCAGTGCCCCCTCAGCCCAGCTGTCCTCCTGCTGGAATTGATCCTGGGGAAACAACACAAGGATGGTGTGTGCACAGATTTGACTTTAGTCCAAATACTTTATAGCACCTACCCCGTGCCAGGCGCTGTTGTAAGCCTTTAAATATAACTCACTCAGGGATGCTTACGGCAGTGTTGTCCATAATATAACAGGGAATAATTGGAAACATCCTAGACGTCCAACAGAGGAGTGATTTAACAAGCGATGGGAAACGCACATACGTCCAAATACAATGGGGCCATTTAAAAATGTCCCCAGTCCAAGCTTAACAGAAAGACGTAAACAACCTATTGTTTAAGTTTTTTAAAGTCAGCCATAAAAAAGCTGGTATCGTATGCTCACATTTCTGTTTAAAAAAGTGTGTATAGTATGATCACATTATTTGTTTTTAAAAACGCGTGCCTGTGTGTGTTGCACTCAAGAAAAACAAAGCCTGAAAGCGTAGATACCAAGCTCTAAAGTGGCCATAGCTCCAGGTGATAGGATCTCAGGTGACTTGATATTTTGTTTTGTATCTTTCTGAATTGTATGTATTTTTTTTGTAGAATTGGAAACAATATTTTTAGAATCAGAAAAAACATCTACTTTCATTTCCAAACAGATGCACATGCGTGTATGTGCTTTTGATTCCTGCAGTAAACGTGCCCCTTGCAGACGGTCCGTTCTCTCCCGGAGCCCAGAGGGAGACACTGTCCCTTCCAAATCCCCACGCTGGCTGAGGCGGAGAGCAGGTGGGTGCTGGGCCGGGCTGACACCCGGCGTTCCAGCTTAGGGAGCAGCCTGCTCTTTAAATAGCATCCATTTTTCTAGTTGTAAAAGTGAAATGTGCTCATTGTAGAGAATTTGGAAAACACAGGAATAGATGAATAAGAAAACCATCCTTGCTAGTCCTCAAGAAGCTGAGCTTTGAGCCTCCCAGCCACATTGCCAGCTCCACCCTAATTCTTCCAGATCCCAGAAACCGAGCCCCAGCACCTGGGATGGAGCCAGCACCCCCAGGACGTGTTCTGAGGAAAAGAGGCTTAAACAGCAGGCCTCACTTGTGTCACAGGGTCTGGGAAAACCACGACCTCCAGTGGGTCTCTATGTCTCACGTGGCTGCCTCACCAGGCACCACGAGGCCCAAGTCTGATCCCACAGCCCGTCCCTGGCTTCCCTTTCCCACCCACGGGCAGTTGTCACCTGTCCTTTCTGGGGGAGCTTGGCCACTCCCATGATCACACCCAAATCCAGGGCTCTGCTGCTCCATCGCTGATTCCCAGACCCACCCGTCCTGCTGGCCCGGTGTCTCCATACAATTCCTCGGGGGCCTCTCAGACCCGGCGGGTCCAAAAATAACCTGCCCTGCCCCAAACTTCACTCTTCCTTCTATTATATTGCAGGTCCTGACACAGCCATTCACCAGTTATTATCCAAGCAAAAATATGGCTGCCTTCCTTTTCTCCTCCCTTCCCAGACAGGCCTGCGCCTTCCAGGCCCTGCACACAGCTGTTGGACCCACCACCCCAGCTCCCGTCATGCAAAGGCACCTCCTCCTGGAATCCTGCCAGGACTGCCCCCAGGGGCTCCCATCCTCGGTCCCTCTGTCTCATGACTGAGACCTGTTTTTTTATTCCCATGCATGGCTTCTGTATTTTTACTACATAACTATGAATTCGTCATCATTGCTTTTTGTGTTTTGGAGAAATAGCATAATTGGCATCATACTCTACATATCCTTTTGCAATTTTCTTTTTTCACTCAACGTCATGTCCTCGAGGGCTATCCGCACTGGTGCGTGTAGATCTTCGTCCATCTTCGCTGTATCCCCGCATATGAAATAACCATGCGCTGTGTTGGTTTCCCACCTCCTCCTGGCTGACGGGGAGTTAGGCGGGTTCTGTTTTCGCATCATTGTAAATGGTGCTGCCACGAGCACCCCTGTCTGCATCTCAGGCCCATCTGCTCAGGAGCTTTCAGAGCAGGCGCTTGAATGGGAGGTGGCAGGGCTGAGGGACAGCCATCTTTGACTGTTTCAGCACTGCAAGCTGCTACCCAAAGCAGCGACCAGGATGAACGCCTGTCTCCCGACACCTCCCAAGCCTGATGGGCAGTCTGAGGGGCAGAGAGGATTTCTCCCTGTTGAATTTAATGTGCATTTCCTGAGTACTCATGATCAGCCACTCACTGGCTGCCCAGGTTTCTTCATCTGGGCTCTCCCGGCCCCTCTTCCCCTGTGTCTCTGTGGCGTGCTCATCATCCATGGCTCTCAGGTTTCTTCGTCTGGGCTCACCCGGCCCCCCTTTCCCTCTGTGGCTCATCACCCGTGGCTTTGAAGGAGGCTGTTCTACAATCTGGATAGGAGTCCGGTGTTGGTGAAGCCTCGGCTAGTCTTTGTCTACCATCTGGATAGGAGTCCAGTGTTGGCGAAGCCTCAGCTAGTCTTTGCAGTTTTTATGTTGCCTTCCATTCTCCAGAAACTTTCAATTGAACCATTTTACCCACATGTTTTCCTCTGTTTTATGTTTTTGTTTCTTAAGAAATGTATGTCTCATACATGAAAACATCTCCCCAGGTTTCCTCCTAGAGGTCTGTTTTAGCTTTTCACCCTTGGGTCTTCTCCATGTGGAAAGCCAAGCGTGCACCCTTCCTCGTCGAGAGCCCCGTGCTACCGCTGACCTGGCAATGCCAGCTTGGGTGGCAATTCTGCTCCATTTTTGGGGACCCTAAGTTCTCTACTGTGATGGTCTCTGTCAAGCTCTGCCCCAACGTGCCTCTAGTGATATAATCTTCAAATTTGGCCTTTTTATATCAACTTGCCAAGCTCAATAAAAACTGGTTTCAATTTTGATTGGAATTATAATGAGTTTATAGATTAACCGGGAAAGAAATGACATCTCTTTGACATTGAATCTTGCCTGTGAACGTAGGCTAGTTCTCCATTTATTTAGGACTTCTTTTATGTCTTCAACGAAATTATATAGCTTTTCCCCAAAAGGTTTTGCACAACGTGTGATGCATTTACTCCTTGGTGCCTAACGTGTGTGTGTGTGCCGTCACGGCAGGTGTGTGTGCGCGCCATCACGGCAGGTGTGTGTGTGCGCCGTCACGGCAGGTGTATGTGTGCGCCGTCACGGCAGGTGTGTGTGTGCGCCGTCACGGCAGGTGTGTGTGTGCTATTGATACCTTTCCTCATCACAACTAGCAAGAAGGTGGTGCTCAGGACTGTTACTCACTTCATATTTACCTTATACTAGCAGCTTGCTGAAATCTATTATTCCTAAGAGTTTGTTTCTATATTCTCTTGTATTTTTTTTTCTTGAGATGGAGTCTCACTCTGTTGCCTAGGCTGGAGTGCAGTGGTGCGATCTTGGCCCGCTGCAACCTTCCCCCACCACCCCTGGTTCAAGCGATTCTCCTGCCTCATCCTCCCAAGTAGCTGGGATTACAGGCACCCACCACCATGCTCAGCTAATTTTTGTGTTTTTAGTGGAGACGGAGTTTCACCATGTTGGCCGAGCTGGTCTCAAACTCCTGACCTCAAGTGATCCATCCGCCTCAGCCTCCCAAAGTGCTGGGATTACAGGCGTGAGCCACTGCACCTGGCCATTCTCTTGTATTTTCTATGTAGAAAATCATTTGTGAATGATATTTTTGTTTCTTTCCAATCTTTATACTTTTACATTATTTTCCTACCTTTTTGTGCTAGGTAGGTTTTCCATGACACGAAACATCATTAATCATTCAGGAGAGGCAAATTCATGCGAGATAGCCTGCACCCCTCTCTCATTCCTGCCTTGCAGGAACACGCACCAGGGTCATTGCAGGATTTTGGTAGGTTCCCTTCCTCAGGTTAAAGCCTTCATCTGTATTCCGAATTCGCTAAGTGTCCATTTTTTTAAAATTGTAAATGGGTGCTGCAAGTCATCAAGCGCTTTCTCTGCATCTCCTAGAATAGCCGTATTGTTCTCTCCCTGTCTCTTCAGAGCCTGCCTGTGCCTGCCCCTGTGACTGCCCCGCCCACCAGAACCTGCCTGGCCCCCATCTCATCATCACCTCCCGGCCGGGCAGTTTGCAGTCACAGGATTGCATTATTTACAGCCTCAAACTTGGGGGAGGCAAAGACCTAGCTCTTCAAAGTCCCCCTAAAACATTCCCCTACCCAGAGTTAGTGGAAACAGACACGTTTCTGCCCTCTCTTGGTGCTGAGGTGGGCTTATTTCGTCCAGTGTCACAGGGCTCAGTGCATCGAGGGTCCAAGCTCTATGCCAGGGTCTTCGCAGCAGCCTCCTTCAGCAATGTTTTATCTCCCCTTCCTGTTCCCAAGAGGGCATGAAGATGCAGCCTCTGGCTCCCAGGGACAGCATGGCCTGCCCAACCCAGCAGCTGTGGCTGTGGCTCCAGGGCTCACGGCTCCACTCTCCCCTGTCCTTTCCAGCAACCCAGATTGAAAGCTCCCCATCCTCCCTCCCTCTTTCTCTCTCAGTCCCTCTGGTTCTCCAAGGTAAAGTCAGCTTATATCTGGGAATTTGAACACCTGCAAATTAGCAAGGCCAGTGACAAGGGACAGGTAGGGTGGAGCTGGGATGCCCTGGCACCAGCCCCCTCCCTGGGGACAATTTCTTGCCTACCTCATTCCTGCAGGTGGGTGGGGCCCTCGCCACAACCACCCCACTAAGCGCCTGCTGCGATCCTCCAAGGCCGCTCTGGCATCTCTCTGAAGACTGCTGGAGGCTGCATGCCCTGAGGGGTCGGCCTCGGCACCCCCAGACATCAAGACGGTGGAGGCCCAAGAGCCCCACAAAGGGACAGAGCCTCAGGGCTGAGCCTGGCCTCCTCCTGCACAGGGCGGCTGGGTCATCCTTGCTGTGGTCACCACGCCAGGCTCTGTTAAGTTAGAAATATACAAACTTGGGCGTTTTCACCCTGACTTGAACAAGTCAATCTCTTGCACCTTCATCTCCAATAAAATGGAAAATATTGGCTCATATGAAAGGCTTCAAATGCACAATCCTGTGGCCAGCGCACAGTGTCTCCTGGCAGGCACAGGGTCCAGCCTCCCAAAGCTGCTTCATCACGATGCCCCATGGCGGACATGGCACCAGCAGCAGGTGGGGACGGCACCCAGAGGCTGTCCAAAGGAAGCTCAGCGGGAGGAAAGGCTCCTCTCCATCTGCAGGAAGTTTAGCAAAAGCCCCAGGACGTTCTTTTAGGGACGTGGCAGCTGAAAATGCACAGGAGACAGCATCCTGGGTCGCGTTTGTCGTCCGCGCGAACAGCTGTTCAGAGTCAGACAGACACAAGCCGGGCATCCGACGGCTCCAACCACTGCAGCTGGGGCTTGTGGCCCTGGGACAGTCCTCGGTGGCGTGAAGCCAGGCAGCCAGGCTCACGTGGGCGCGACGCGATGCGAAGGATGACCAAGGAGCCGCACAAGAAGCTCCGTCCGGAATCCTGAACCAGAAGCACAGACGGTGCCAACTTACAAGGCTTCGACCTTATGATGGGATTACCGGGGTACTTTATGCATTTTTGATCGCTTGAACATACGGTGGATTTATCCAGACATATGACTCCCTCGTCTGTCGAGAAGCATCTGGATGCAGCACCCATCAAGACAACCTGTGATTTTCCAACAGCCGGGTGCGTCCCCTCCCCACTGCTTTGGGTAACTGACTTTTTTGATCCTCACACACGTGTAACCAGAATGACACATGAAAATACTAAGAAGCATCTTCACCAGCTGCCCACGGCAAATGAGTCATTGCTGAAGTTCACCACCTGCGTGCCCAGGGGAGCGGCCTCCGGGGAGGAGGGTTCTCTGCTCCGCAGCAGATGGGGTTAGCACACAGGACCCTCCAGAGAAAGGTTGTGGGGAGGACAGGCTCCTCCTCCCACCTGCAGGGAAGTTGAGCAAAAGCCTCGCTACCTCTTCCCGATGGAGGCCGTCACCCTGCGCCCCTGGGGCCTGGATACACCTGTGCCTGGTCTACGGAGCTGATTTGGGCTGCAGCAGGGGCTACTTCCAGAGCCCTGTGAACCACAAACCACATCAGAGATCAGCTCTGAGGCCCTCACTTTGTATTTCCACCCATGGGTGCCAAATGAATCCATCACCAGATGAAAGCAGCCTCGTTCCAAAGTCACTGCCGAATCCATGGGAATAAATTGGGCCCCAAGGTGTTGACCTCAGCCTTGTTCCCATAGGTCGGTGGCTCTCACAGGATCTGAGACTCATTCCCACCACCAAGCAGCCCCAAACACCGGACACCAAGCCAGTCCCTTAATTGAGGGAAGGATGTGGCAGGCAGCACTTGGACTTGAGTCGTCAGGGGCCGAGGATCTGGCCCCGTCCAGCCCCAGGATGCGGCCCTGATTGCAGACTCTCCTGTTTGAGTGTCACCCGAACCCTGTCTCCACTTCGTACGCACCAGTGTGCAGTGTGGTCACAGTGCCATTATGTGCGTTATTAGTGTATCTGATCCAAAACCACTGCAGAGAACACACTGCATTCATGCTGGGTTGAGGGAGGGAGGCGCTGTCCAGGACGGCACTGGAGACAGCGTCCCTCTCACTGGGGTTGACACAGGACCCAGCTGCCTTCGTTTCAGCCCTGAGCACCCAGCACCAAGGGGTCGACACCCCTGCTGTACTCGAAAGAGCAGAGATACCTGCACAGGAAGGAGAAGAAGGCCAAGCGGAGAACACACACGTGCAGGGCTGCTCAGGTGACGACAGGAATCGCCAGCCTCGTGGGGCCTGTGCCACATGCCGGGGCCCTCCTAAATGCACTCTGTGCTGCATCTCATGCAGTTCTGACACTAACCGGCGGGGCAGCGTGTGTCCTGTGAGCATCCCACATTTATCCTTCCTGTGCAACCAGCCTCTGAGGGCGATACAGTGGCAAGGCAGTCGGCGGCGTGCTCCTGCCCACGCTGGGCTCTGGGCTTCCTGGAACCACAGGACATGAGGCCTCTTTCATGCACGCAAAGCCTGGTGTGCAAGGAGCTCACACCCAATGCACGTCCAGCCAGTGGGTCTGAAGCCAGGAAGTCAGCGCACGCCTCTTCCCTCCTGGGGTGGACAACAGTGAGGCCCACTCTCCGGCTCTTTCGAGGGTCCCAGGGGGTTGCGCCCAGATGTTGCCACAGTAGTGGCCAGCAGCCAGCACAGCCTCTGGGGCTGACCTTCCTCCCTCCCTGGTTCACTCTTCCCAGCCCCCATTCCTTTCCCCGGAGTCCTTCCTAAAATACCACATGCTACACACAGGTCCTTGTCTGAGCTCCGCTTGGGATGAGCACTGGTGGGATATAGGCTGAGAGCCACCCCCAGGGTGGAATTCTAGACCCCTGGGTAGGATCTAGAACCCAGGGTAGAATCCGGACCCCAGGGCAGGACCTGGAACCCAGGGCGGGAGCTGGACCTCTGACCCCTGGATGGGATCTGGACCACTGGGTGGGAGCTGGACCCCCGAGTGCCTGGTATTCTGGAAATGGATCAGTCACCATCAGGCCAGGCGAGAGCCCTCCTGCAGTGGGTGTGGGTGGCGATGCCCCTGGCATTCAGCAGCCTCACTGGTGGTGCACCGGGACAAAGTACAGACGGGAGGTGGGGACCACTTGGCTCCCATGGGTCAGTGCAACTGTGAGGACTTCAGAGGGCTTCTGCTGGCAGCTTCGGTGGCCTCACAAAAAGAAAATGACAGGCATGATCTGCCTCGCTTTCAACCCAGCGCACACTGCCCAAGTCCGATGGCCCTCGTGGTGGCAGATAAGGAGGCCCTAGTATCCTGTGGCCACTGAACACCAGGTGCAGGAACTCTAAGGGCAGCAGAGCCACAAAGGGGATGGAACACATGGCCTCGATTGGTCTCCAGTACCAAAGTCAGGGCCCTGTAGGAAAAGATGGGACCCTGAGACCTGGATGGGGTTAGTGGGTATTTGGGTTTCCAGGGCTTTCTCTGCATGCAAAATAAAGGCAGAGGACATGCTCACAGCTTGCGATTAAACCAATTCAACGTGGACAACAGTGAGCAGCAGAGACGCTGGGGATGGGCTGCACCCATCACCTCCACAGGCCACGGACAAGCTTTACAGCCCGGTGGCAATGTGCTGAGAGGCGCCCTCACTGTTGGTGGAGAAACTGAGTGTGGGGGTGACAGAAGGTGCCCAGGGTCCCACCGCTCACCAGGAACGAGGCCAGACTCATCCAGATTTTCCAACTTCTGAGCCAAACTTTTAAAAAGACAAACACAAACTGACCACAAACAAGCAGGCAATGCTGGCTGGAAATGGATGGGCAAGGGCGGCGTGTGTCCCCAGGCGGACTCAAGTGTCCCCAGGTGGAGTCATGTTCACAGCACTTGGAAGGAAACTCATTCTGGACCATCCGCATGCACTGTGGGGAGCTCCAGGGAAAATGACAGCTGGAATTCCTCTTCAGAATATCTGAACAAGACTTGAGGCAGGAAGGGGGCAGAAGCCCAGGAACCCCATGGGGAGAAGGCTAATTACTGGGCTCTCTGCACCTCCAGGTCGCCTGATGGCACAGTGGGACACAAACCCCGGGGGAGGCAAGGGTGAGAGGGTGGTTGAGCCAGGACACCACGGGGCAGCTCATTAGTCTCCTGTTGACCAAGTTCAGATAGAATGTTAAGATGTCGGGATAAAAAGACAGTGAAGTGAGAGCAGGCATTAATTAAGACCGAGGCACATGCCAACTGATATGGCTCAAACCCTGCTTGCCGGCGGGCAAACTGCGCACACACATCCATCCTTTGCCTCTCTCCTTCACTCCTGCTTCCCAATCCCATTTCATCATGGCCTGCGGGCTTCTTGGCAAGACCTGCTCAGTTTTAATTTCTTTCCAAACATTGAAGAAAAAAAGATGTTGCATTTTAATTTTCTTATGCCATTCGCAAATCATGTGCTCTTAGCCACTGTTTTCGAGACCAAGTACTGATCAATGCTGGTGGCCAACGTGACCTGCCTGCATGAACTCTGCATGTCATCGTAGAGGACATGTTTGTCATTGATACTTGGACAATTTATTTGAAATCTGCTTCAGTCTTTCTGGGGTTTATTTGTAAAGGTCTTGAAAAGAGTTCTATTGATAGCAATTTGTTTTCTATGCCTCCCAGAGAAAGGCACTACTCCTGTTGAGGAAAGAATCTGCTGTGCACCTCCCAGTTAAGAGTCCAACTTTAGAATCACTGCTCAGGCCCCTGGAGAGAGAAAAAGAACAAAACCAACCCCAGCAGCCCTAAGAAATCTGCGCCCCCTGAGCCCCCAAAGCATCCAACACCTTCCAAGTGCACCGGAGGATCCTCGGTGTAGGAGGGCAGGACTCTCACTATCCCCAAGCGGAGGGTCCTCGGTGTAGGAGTGCAGGACTCTCACTATCCCCAAGCGGAGGGTCCTCGGTGTAGGAGTGCAGGACTCTCACTATCCCCAAGCGGAGGGTCCTCGGTGTAGGAGTGCAGGACTCTCCCCATCCCCAGGCCTCAGGGCCAGGGCTGGCTCAGGAAGCTGGAACTGCCTCTGTGAAGAAGTGGGCAGCTGTCCCCGAGCCCAGGGGAACAGCTTCGGTGCTGTCCGTGGTGCTGCTTCTCTCTATTCCTGACTTCAGCTCACTGACCACACCTTAGTCTTATCTGTTAGCCCGGTCTGAAATCTAGTGGTGACCCCCTCCTCCCTTAATCTATGGCACTAATCCTGCCTCTGTCTGACTCTTGACCTAGGTCTTGGCACCAGCCCTAGCAGAGACTGGTTCGTAGTGTGGGCTACCCAGGGGTGGTTCCGGCCCAGACTCATACACACCCCACCTGTACCACACCTTGTCTCCCCCCATATCTGCCAAGCTAGCCCCTAACCTCTGGCAGAGCCTCCCATGTTGGCCTGCACCCCTGCAGGTGAGTGATACCAGAAACACGAACCAAGAAGTTTTTCTCTGAGCTTCTTCACAGAGGAAGCTTCTTGGTGGTCTTCCTACACACGCCCTTTTTTTAAATTCTTGGTAAATTGAAGTTATTGGGGAAAAAAAGAGGGTACCCAGGCCTTTTCCAGGCATGCCCCTTACATTCACAGAACCTTCCCTGAGCCTGCCAGCTCCTCCGAGCCACAGTTTACACAGACACTGGGAAGGGAAGTTATATGAAGAGGCCTCATTCCATGTCCTCTTCCAAGTTCATGCAAAGTTCCCCTGGTCCATCCTTGGCCATTCCAGAAATGAGCTGAAAACTGACGTGGTAGCCCCATGTTCACAGGCCTGCTTTCAGTGGCCAGCATTTTTTTTTTTTTTTTTTTTTGAGACAGAGTCTCACTCTGTCACCCAGGCTGGAGTGCAGTGGCACGATCTCAGCTCACTGCAAGCTCCGCCTCCAGGGTTCATGCTGTTCTCCTGCCTCAGCCCCCACCCGAGTAGCTGGGACTACAGGTGCCCACCACCATGCCCGGCTAATTTTTTTTTGTATTTTTAGTAGAGACAGGGTTTCATCATGTTAGCCAGGATGGTCTCGATCTCCTGACCTCGTGATCTGCCCGCCTCGGCCTCCCAAAGTGCTGGGATTACAGGCGTGAGCCACCACACCTGCAGTGGCCAGCATTTTGTTCTCACTGCTCCACTCCTCCAACAGCGCCAAACCCTCTTCAAACCATGGAAACAATGAGGACTGGAAGAGCTCTCTCAGGTAATGGCAAGCGAGGTGAGGTCAGAACTAGAGTTAGGTTAGGGTTGGTTGGGGTCTGAACTCACCTCCCACTTAAGGTAACAAAAGTGCTGAGAGGCCACATTACGTGGGACGATGTAGACTGAGAGACATGAGCAGGTTACTGAAGAACCAAAGCAGTGTTCGCCTGAGGGCATTCACCAGCACCCAGCCTGCACCTGTGTTCCATCACCTTGTGGGGATGAGGGAGATGAGAGACAAAGACCATGTCTGCTTTGGTGTGGGGTTCCACAGGACAGTCTCCCCTGTTCAAACCCTTAGGGTAAGAGGAAACAGAACTATACAACCCACACTCTGCCTCACCCCAATTCCATAGGACTGCAGAGAAGCCTGCCTTGGTAGGCAGCAGAAGAAGAAAAGGAAAAGGAAGGAGAAACCCCAACTTTGAGGGTGGTGACAGAGACTGATCAGCAGATGACCTCAGCAGACCAAGGGACTCCAGACTGAAACCGGGGCTTGAAGTGTTCCCAACTGGAGAGCCTCCAGCTGCCTGGCAGGAGCAACTGTGACCCTCTCTGGGGGAGGCACATTGATCCCAGGTCTCAGAGAAACCCCACAAACATGTCCTAATATTTAGCCAATGAGAACCAGGAAACCAGGAAACAAGGCACATGAGAAACAGCCAGGATACAAACAATTAAAAGACCCAGACTTTTTGAACATTAGAATTGACAAATACAGTTCACAAAACAATTCTATTTTTAAAACTAGACTTTTTAGAGCAGTTTTAGGTTCACAGCAAAGTTAGCAGAAAGTGCACAGAATTCCCACATACCCTTACTCCCCACCACATAAACTTTTTCTATTTCTTTGAAGAAATAAGTTACAAGCTTGAAAATAACTTCATGGAGTAGAAAACTATAAAAGGTGATATACCAAATTTGAATAAAAAGAACACTCTTAGAAATAACAAATGTAATAAATTAAAACAAAAGGCACAATGGACGCTTTTGGTGGCAGATTGGACAACAGATGAGAGGACGGATGCTCTGAAGATAATTGAGAACAAATTACCTGGAATTAAGTACAAAGAA
This sequence comes from Homo sapiens, assembly GCF_000001405.40. Classification (NCBI taxonomy): domain Eukaryota; kingdom Metazoa; phylum Chordata; class Mammalia; order Primates; family Hominidae; genus Homo; species Homo sapiens. The sequence continues at coordinate 132,052,585 of NC_000010.11, read as the reverse complement.
ACAAACAAAGAGGCAGAACCCAGAGAAGAAGCTACGAGAGATAAAAGATAGAATGAGTAGGTCTCTCAGAAGGAGAAATGAAGGGGAAAACTTGCCAGATGCAAAAGTTGAAGATATACTGACAGAATTCTCTAGAATTGATGAAAGACAACAATCTGAAGATTCAAAATAAGTCAAAATCTAGATCTACATAAGAAAACTCAAGGAGGAGAAGGAGCAGGAAACACAAAGACAAAATAACAAAATGTGCCAAGGGAAAAGCTCAAGGTCAAACGAAGACATTTAGACTAACAGCTGACTTCTTATAGGGACAATGGAAGCCACACAACAATGGAATCATGCTTTTGTTTTGTTGTTGTTGAGACAGGGTCTCACTCTGTCACCCAGGCTGGAGTGTAGTGGCACAATCTCAGCTCACTGCAGCCTCACCCTCCCAGGCTCAGGTGGTTCTCTGCCCCTCAGCCTCTTGAGTAGCTGGGACTACAGGCATGCACCACCATGCCTGGCTAATTGTGGTTTTATTTTTTGTAGAAACAAGGTCTCATTATGTTGCCCAGGCTGGTTTCAAAATTCTGGACTCAAATGATCCTCCTGCCTCTGCCTCCCAAAGTACTGGGTGTGAGCCACCACACCTGGCTGGGATAATGTTTTAAATATGCTTTTAGAAAAATAACTGCTGGCCAAGCGTGGTGGCTAACACCTGTAATCCCAGCACTTTAGGAGGCTGAGGTGGGTGGATCACTTTGAACTCAAGAGTTTGAGAGCAACCTGGGCAATGTGGCGAAACGCCATCTCTACAGAAAAATATAAAAATGAGCTGGGTGTGATTGCCGATGCCTCTGGTCTCCTACTACTCAGGAGGCTGAGGTGGGAGGATGGATGGCTTGAGCCCAGGAGGTCAAGGCTATAGTGGGCTGAGATGGTGCCATTGCACTCCAGCCTGAGCAACAAAGGGAGACCACATCTCAAAAAGAAAAAAAAAAAAGTAAAAATAAAGTCAAAAGACAAACAACCTAATTAAAAAAATAGGCAAAAGAATCCAACAGGCACTTCACAAAAGTAGGTGTACAAATGTCCAACAGATGTAAAGAAGCCCCCAGAATCATGAGCAGGCAGGGAAATGGTCATTAAACCCACAAAGACAGGCAGGTACCCCCCCACATAACCAGAACGGCTGGAATTAACAAGACCAACCATGCCAGGAAAGACAGGCAGGTACCCCCCAACCAGAACAGCTGGAATTAACAAGACCAACCGTGCCAGGAAAGACAGGCAGGTACCCCCCAACCAGAACGGCTGGAATTAAGACCAACCGTGCCAGGAAAGACAGGCAGGTACCCCCCAACCAGAACGGCTGGAATTAACAAGACCAACCGTGCCAGGAAAGACAGGCAGGTACCCACCCACCAGAATGGCTGGAATTAACAAGACCAACCGTGCCAGGAAAGACAGGCAGGTACCCACTCACCAGAACGGCTGGAATTAACAAGACCAACATGCCAGGAAAGACAGGCAGGTACCCCCCAACCAGAACGGCTGGAATTAACAAGACCAACCATGCCAGGAAAGACAGGCAGGTACCCACCCACCAGAACAGCTGGAATTAACAAGACCAACATGCCAGGAAAGACAGGCAGGTACCCACTCACCAGAACGGCTGGAATTAACAAGACCAACCGTGCCAGGAAAGACAGGCAGGTACCCACTCACCAGAACGGCTGGAATTAACAAGACCAACCATGCCAGATGTTAGCAAGGATGCAGAACAACTTTCATCCAAAATGGTGCATGTGGTGTTTTGTTTTTCTTATCAGTCAAAATGCACACCTACCTTACAACCCAGTGGTTCTACCCCTAGAAGGTTCTCCACAAAAAATGAAAAAATGTGCCTTGTATGGGAATGATCAGGGTGGAAGCTAATGTAGGCTGTTACCATAATCAACCCCCCCCAAATCTCCTTCCTAAATTATGTAAAATAATTTTACAACCTCAAGAAATCCTTCACCAAACTACACCCTTGGCATGACTTGAAGATGAAGCTGGAGAGTGCCAAAAACTGCTAAGTAACTGAGTAAAAAGAGAAAAAGCAACAAATCCAGGCCCCACATCCTCCCGCTCCCCACCCCACTACTTCCCGCCCTCTGGTGGCAAAGGCGACCGGCAGAAACCACAGGGACCCAAGCTGAGCGATGAAGGGTCCATTGGACACCACCACAAAGAAGAAAGCTGCTTTCCACGTGGGTGAGCCAGAGAGGTGCCTGGGCAGGGCCTCTGTCACTGCCGGAAAGAAGCCTCAGAGAACCCAAGCAGCCAGACCCTGTTAACGGGCAGCGCGAGGATCTGAGGGCCAGGAAATGGGCTGTGAGCTCTTCAGAGAGGCAAACCCGGCTCAGAGAGGCAAGAGTGATGCAAACAGGCATGCAATTGAAAACATCAGTCCTCCAAACACAGAACTTCCGGGGAGAAAAGAAGGCAAAAAGGAAGAGAGAAGCTCCCTTTGGCAATCAGGTAGAGGAAGAGAAAAGAAGAAAAAGAGAGAGAAAGAGATAAGGTCCTGAGAGACAAAATATGACCATGAACTTGGGAATATTCACAAACCTCCATCATCAAAACGAAACAAAAAAACCTCACTAAAATGTGTGGACATCGCCAGGCTGACAGAAAAGGGATTCATTAAGCTGGGAACCTTGTAAAATATCCCAATATCAAAAATAGCCAAAACAAAAACGTCACAGAAGACTATGGAAGAAAATCAGGAAAAAGAACTGATACAAATTCCCTCCCTGTTAAAAACCACCATAGGGCTGGGAAGGGTGGCTCACTCCTGTAATCCCAGCACTTTGGGAGGCCAAGGTGGGAGGATCACTTGAATTCAGGAGTTGGAGGCCAGCCTGGGCAGCATAGTGAGACCTCCCCCACTTTTAAAAAAGAAAAAACACAAGGCAGAAGAAACCTGTACATCCAAACAGAACCGGGCACACGCAAACAGCATTCAAGGATATGGAAAAACACCCCGATTTAGGAATTCAACAGCTTAGGGCAAAAAATCAGAGAAATGAAAAAAGAATGTATTGAACTCAGGAAAAAAAAAAGCATCTCAAAAATGAGAAATAAATTGTAAGATGCCCAAGGGAGAATAACACAAACGACAATTTAATAAGAGGCAGTTGAAGAATAGGCAAGGGGAGAAACAAGAAAATAAAATGACATAAAGAGAAAAGTAACAGGTCAGCAAGAAAGAGGAGGAAGTGGAAGGTGAGGAGGAGGGCAGCACTCCCAGCCCTAAGGAAGGGAAGCAAAGCCGTGGGTCAGTGCTCATAGCTATAGCTGTGCTCCCGGAAGACCGTCCCTACATAGAAACAGACCCGAATCCACGGTGCAAAGAGCTCGCCAGCCGCTAGAAAATCAACCCAGACCACCAACTTTGAGACATGCTGGTGAAACTATTCCATTTCAGAGCTAAAGATAAAATCCTCAAGGCTTCCAGGCAAAAAGGTCAATTAACTTGATGGAGTCGGCCGGGACCAGCAGCAGGCTTTCAGGACATGCAGAGAAGTAAAGAAACAATGTGGCAACATTAAAAAGAAAAAAAAAAAGCTCCACGAAAGAAAGCATAGACTAAGGATTTTAGAAACAGTCAAGCCCAGGCCGGGCGCGGTGGCTCACGCCTGTAATCCCAGCACTTTGGGAGGCGAAGGCAGGCGGATCACGAGGTCAGGAGATCGAGACTATCCTGGCTAACACGGTGAAGCCTTGTCTCTACCAAAAAATACAAAAAAAAATTAGTCGGGGGTGGTGGCGGGTGCCTGTAGTTCCAGCTACTCAGGAGGCTGAGCCAGGAGAATGGCGTGAACCCGGGAGGCGGAGCACTCTAGCCTGGGTGACAGAGCAAGACTCCATCTCAAAAAAAAAAAAAAAGAAAAGAAACAGTCAAGCCTGGAATTTCTGATGGTTCCAGAAAGTAAGGAAATACTTAACAAAACACACACACACACCGCAAAACCATGATGAGCTGGTCAACAGAACACAGCAGCCAGCCAGGAGCTCCTGAAGCTCAAAGCTGGAGTGATTTGTTTAACAAAACAAATATTGTCATTACCGGATTTTAGCCCATGGAATAAGTATCCACGTGTCCCTACTGACATAAACAAACAGACAAATGGGGAGAAGGAACAGCCTTTCCTTACAGCAAATCGCAGGGAGTGGAAAAGCACGACAGGCCAGTGCCTGGGAGCCCGAGAGCACCCGGTGCCAAGGCCAGGAGCAGAGACTCAAGAACCAGGCCCAAGAAGCAGGCCCTGCACAGTCTCAAAGCAGCGCTCGGAGAGCCATTAACTACGGAGGAAAGCTCTGAACAGGGACTTCCCAAAAGGAAGCCCCTTCCCCGAGGAGAAACCAGCAGACACAACCTCAGCCCCGTGGTCCAGCAACATCGCCCTCAACATCACACCTGCTCTGCTCCACGCGGAGGATGCACCATCCATGCTATTCCTACCAAAATGCACGACCTCGTTCCCGTCACGAGAGAACCCCAGCTAAACCCACACTGGGGACCCTTTATGAAATAACAGACGAGAAGTCTTCAGAAGGACCAAGGCCACACAATACAAGGAAAGACACAGGCGGCGCCACAGCCGGAGGAGCCCGAGGAGACACACACAGCTCCGCGCACCCCAGCTCCATGCACCGTCAGCTCGCGGGGGGCGGGGCGGGGGGTGGGGAACACACAGTTCTGTGCACTGAAAGCTCGTGGCGGGGTGGGGGGACACACAGCTCCATGAGGGGACACTCAGCTCGCAGAGGGCGGGGCGTGGGGTGGGGAACACTCAGTTCTGTGCACTGAAAGCTCGTGGCGCGGTGGGGGCGCACAGCTCCGTACACCGCCAGCCTGCGGGGGGCGGGACGGGAGGGTGGGGACACACAGCTCCGTACACCGCCAACTCGCAGGGGGGGGTGGGGACCCTGGGTCAGGAGGAGGATGTCCACGGGAACCTGTGGGATTAGGACAGGTGTGTGGCTTGGGTGATGATGTTGTACCAATGTTAGTGTCCTGGTTTTGGCAAATGCACTGTGGCTGTACGAGATGCTAGCTGGGAAAGAAAAAGAACTTTATCTGAAGTATGCAGGTCCTTTTAATGATCAGGCCCAGAGACACATTAAAACGAAGCAGCAGTCATGCCCTACTCCTCCACTTTGAGCTATGCGTTCCTCTCTGGAAACTGCTATTGCCACGGTAACTATCAATTAACGCAGTAATGCTGCACCAGACACTATAACCCATGGCCTGTAGCTTAGCTATGGATAGCCAATGCCAATCAATGTTATCTCTGCAAACCAATGAGAATTTCTGACAAACAACTTTATATCAGTCCACTCCCTGCCCCGCCTTTTTACCTTAAAAAACCTGCTTGTGGCTGGGTGCAGTGGCTCATGGCTATAACCCCAGCACTTTAGGAGGATTGCTGGAGGCCAGGAGTTCAAGACTAGCCTGGGCAACATAGTGAGAACCTGTCTCCACACACAAAAAAATGTTTTTAAATAGCTGGGTGTGGTGGCACCTGCAGTCCCAGTGACTCAGGAGAGCTGGGGCAGGACAATTGCTTGAGCCCAGGAGTACAAGGTTGCAATGAGCTCTGATTATGCCCCTGCACTCCAGTCTGGACAACAGAGCAAGACCTCAACTAAAAAAAAATCCAGTTGTAACTGCTGCTAATCACAGTGTATATTAAGGGCAACTTTAATCAGTGTTCCCAAGCGGCAAGTTCCTCAAGCTTGGCCCAGATAGCTCTCTACTTGGGTTAATTTTGCCTCAGCTTCTTCCTCTTAGGTTGAGAAAACCTTAGGAGAACCTGGGTGAAGGGTATACAGAATTCTCTTCTGTTTTTGCAACTTTTGTGGTAAATCTAAAATTATTTTAAAACTTAAAAGTTCATGACAGCTTGATTTAAAAGAGCCTAAACTAGGAGAATGGATAAATAAGCCGTGGCGGATGCGCACAGCTGAACAGCACGAGGCGGTGAGGTTGGGCGAGCTGGACACACACAGAAATGGAAGACCCAAGACGCGATGCTGAGAACAGAAAGCCAGGTGCAAAGTGGACGCCCTGGATGGTTGTTTTTTTTTTCTTTTTGAGACGGAGTCTTGCTCTGTCACCCAGGCTGGAGTGCAGTGGCGCGATCTCGGCTCACTGCAAGCTCCGCCTCCCAAGTTCATGCCATTCTGCTGCCTCAGCCTCCCCAGCAGCTGGGACTACAGGTGCCCGCCACCACGCCCAGCTATTTTTTTTCTATTTTTAGTAGAGACGGGGGTTTCACTGTGTTAGCCAGGATGGTCTTGATCTCCTGACCTTGTGATCTGCCCGCCTCGGCCTCCCAGAGTGCTGGGATTACAGGCATGAGCCACCACACCTGGCCCCTGGACGGCTTTATCTATGTGAAGTCAGAGAGTGGCTGAATGCATCTGTGGTGGGAGCGTGGAAGCTGGGGGTGTCAGGAACCTTCTAGGCTGATGGCTATGTTCTGTAATATCTGCCGGGTGTGGGTTACACAGGTGTGTGAATTTATCAAAACTCACTCAAGATCCATGCATTTCATTGTGTGTAAATTTTACCTTAAACTGAATATAAAGAGTGTGTGTATTTTTTTTTTTTTTTAAGACAGGATCTTGCTCTGTCACCCAGGCTGGAGTGCAGTGATGCAATCTCAGCTTACTGCAACCTCTACCTCCCTGGCTCAAGTGATCCTCCCACTTCAGCCTCCTGAGTAGCTGGGACTGCAGGTATGTGCCACCAAGCCCAGCTAATTTTTTTCCCAGATGTTTTGTAAAGATGGGGTCTTACTATATTGTCCAATATCGTCTGGAACTCCTGAGCTCAAGAGATGCTCCTGCCTCGGTCTCCCAAAGTGCTGGGATTATAGGCATGAGCCACTGTGTCCAGCTAAAGTATATTCTTGAAATAAAGAATTATAAACACATATCATACTTTTGTATTCACTTCCAAGTGAGCTGCAGACCTCAGTACACTTCCCTCTCGACACCTCAGCTCACACCGCGGGCTCTCCTTGAGGGCTGGAAGACACAAGGGCCTCAGCACAACCACATGTGCCCTTCACTAATTAGGGAAGCTGCCTCTCCTGAGCACCCACCTGTGCCAGGTGCGGGTAGAGGGTGATGCAGTGCTAAGTCAGCCTCGGACCCTCTCCTAGAGGAGCTTAAAATCTGCCGGGGAGACAGAGACGCGCCCAAAATCACATCAGGAAGAAGGGAGAAGCCAACATCCAGGCAGCCAACAAGCATGAAACAGGCTCAGAATCCCTGCTCACCGGGGAAACGCAGACCCAGCTGCAGCGAGCCACCTGCTCACCCGTGAGGATGGCCGGGATCAAAACGGAACAGAATGGAAAGGGAGCGTTGTGAGGATGTGGGGAAACTGGAACGCTCGTGCACGGCTGGTGGGAACCTGAACTGAGGCAGGCACTGTGGAAAACGGGATGAAAGAACTGAAAGCAGAATCTCGGACGGGCATGTGCACATCCCTGTTCATAGCAGCATGATTCGCAAGACTGAAACATGGAGCCCCCCAGTGTCCACCCGCGGATGATGAGTCAGCAAAACGCACATCCCTTCCGTGGAGTAGGATTCAGCCTTCAAGGAAGGAAATCCTGACGCGCATGCAACACGGTGAAGCACGCCAGTCACACACACGCACAAATACCATGATTCTACTCAGCTGAGGCCCCTAAAGGAATCAAAGACCAGTGGGGGTGTCAGGGGCTGGGTGGGGGGTACAGTTTCCGTTTGGGAAGATGAAATCGTTCTGGAGGTGGTTTGCACAGCACTGCGATTGTCCCTACTCTGAGCCGCACACCTAAAAATGGTTCAGATGGTGACTTGTATGTGTATTTCGCCACAATTTAAAACAAAACCTCCATCCTGAGCGCAGCATGTGGTGGCGTCCTGCTGCCCTGAGGAAGAGCCCGCGCCAGGACCCCAGCCTGCTCTAGTCCCAGGTGCACCCCAGCTCCCTTGGGCCACACTGGCTTCTCCCACTCCTCCTGCATCCTCCTCTGCACCGGCCGCACCCTCCTCTGCACCAGCCATAACTGTTTTCCCAAGCAGCCTTCCCTGACCTTCCCTACTAGACTGGTGAGCTCCCGTCACGAGCTCTTGCAGAATTGTGACAACTCGTTGGTGGCAGTGGTCACTGCTAAGATGACCTGTTTGCACGACGGCTGAAGTTGTGTCTGTCTCAGCCACTGGCCACTCCCAGCAGGCAGGGACTGTGTCTGTGTTGACTACTCACCCCAGGGAGGTCCACGATGCCTGGACCAGGAGACGTGTCTAGGAAATGTTTGCTAAGGGCACTGGAGCAGGAGCTGTGGCGAGCCACCTGGAAGGGCGGCCCTAAGGGCAGCTGAGGGCCCAGAGAAGCCCCCCCACCAGGCATCGGGCTGGTCCCAGGGGAGCAGCATCAAGGCGGCAGCCTGTGTCCCCAGGTGGGCCACAAGCGCCACTGCACACACGGTATCTGAACTGCCTGAGAGCCTACTGAACCCCGAGGTCTGTGCACTTCCTGCCCTCTTTGGATGGATTTTGGGACCATGCTGGGATCAAACGCAGGCCCAGCAGGATAAGAGGAAAGATCTTGAATCTCATTGCTCAAAAAGCAAAAAACTCAACTTGATTCAATTCCTAGCTTATTTCCAATCCTTATTCTCCTCTTGGGATTTTAATTCAAATGTTAAGGAAAACAACCCAGGAGATCATTAACACCGACGCCTGAAGCCCAGGGCGGGGCAGAGAATTCTTCCTCCCCACATGGTCCAGCTGATGAAGAGCCAGGGCTGGAAAGGGCCCCGCTCCCCCCAGCCCTCCTCGTCATGCTGTGTCCAGGTGGAAAACATTTCCCTCGGGCTTGCCTGTGTCCACGGGCTCCTGGACCCCCACATTGGTAAAGCCCAGGCGCCTGTGGGATTCTCATCAGAGAAATGCTTTGCTGGAATCCTGACTAGGACTGAAAAACATTTAAAAACTAAAACAGGAAAGAAGTGCTTTGGGGGCAACAGCATCCAACCCCGTTTCCCCCTGGATTCTCTGCGGTGCTGCACCAGACTTCAACCTAGAAAAGCCCAGGTTAAAAACCATGTGTGGATAATACAAAAGGTACAGTGCAGATTTGTATAACACAAACATACACACACACACACAAACGGAAAGGGCCAGGTGCAGTGGCTCATGCCTGTAATCCCAGCACTTAGGGAGGCTGAGGTGGGAGGATCACTTGAGCCTGGGAGGTCAAGGCTGCAGTGAGCCCACATCACACCACTACACTCCAGCCTGGGTGACAGAGTGAGACTCAAAAAGAAAAAAATTAAAAAGTAAAATGCAAACAGCCTATAAAATACATTGACCAGCAGAGGGAACAAAACACAGCCACATTCAGAAATAAACTATTACAAAGCTTCCCAACCAGGAAAAGCCTTTTGTGTTTTTGAGAGAGGATCTTGCTCTGTTGCCCAGGCTGGAGTGCAGTGGTGTGATCTCAGCTCACTGCAACCTCTGTCTCCTGGGCTCAAGTAGTCCTCCCACCTCAATCTCCCGAGTAGCTGGAACCTCAAGAACGTGCCACCATAACTCGCTAATTTTTGTTTTTTTTTTTTTGAGACATGGGGTCTTGCCATGATGCCCAGGCTGGTCTCGAACTCTTAGATTCAAGCAATCCACCCACCCTGGGCTCCCAAAGGAAAAGCCTTTTATAGGACCAGCCAAGTAAAGCTGATACAAAACAGCTCTTCAAGCACCTGGTTTTCTTAACTATTTCTAATACCCTAATGATCCAGGGTGAGTTACAATGGCAGAGAGCTCTAAAACCAGAGGAAAGGAACAGACGGGCTCTCCAAAGCTGCTCCAGGATGCTATGGCCTGGCTATCAGAGGACACAGGCTCCAGCCCTCTCCCCACGCAGTCCCTGGTTCCTGAGAGCCTGCACTCATCCCTGCAGCCAGGATGGGGAGGGAGGAACTCCAGGTGATCCAGGGTGGCCGCACCATGAAGAGGAGTGAAGATGAAAAGAGAAACACAGCAGGCGCCGTGGCTCACGCCTGGAATCCCAACATTTTGGGAGATCGAGGCAGGCAGATCATTTGAGCCCAGGAGTTCGAGACCAGCATGGACAAGAGAGAGACCCGTCTCTACAAAAATACAAAAATTAGCCAGGCGTGGTGGTGCAAACCTGTAGTCCCAGCTAATCAGGAGGTTGAAGTGTGAGGATCACTTGAGCCCAGTAGGTGGAGGCTGCAGTGAGCCATGATCATGCCACTGCACTCCAGCCTGGGTGACAGAGACCCTGTGAAAGGAGGAGGAGGAAAGAAGGAAGGAAGGAAGGAAGGAAGGAAGGAAGGAGCGAGCGAGCAAGTGAACTAGCGGGGCACGGTGGCTCACACCTAAAATCCCAGCACTTTGGGAAGCTGAGGCTGGCAGATCACTTGAGGTCAGGATTCAAGACTAGCCTGGCCAATGTGGTGAAACCCCCACTCTATTAAAAATACAAAAATTAGCCAGGTGTGGTGGCACATGCCTGTAATCCCAGCTATTCGGGAGGCTGAGGCACAAGAATCACCTGAACCTGGGAGGTGGAGGGTGCAGTGACCCGAGATGGCACCACTGTACTCCAGCCTGGGCAACAAGAGCAAAACTTTTTCTCAAAGAAAAAAAAAAGAAAAGAAAGAAAAAAGAAAGAAAAGAAAGGATAGAAAGAAAAGAAACACAAGCAGCCATGGAAGAGGCCTGAGGTGGGATCCCAGGCAGAGCAGGTGTCTGCTGGCACAGGCTGGCCACGCGACAGTTCAGGCCAGCTATAACGGACGATGAAATTCTCTTAGCAGCTCACATGCCCACCCAGCCTGGGCCACGGGGCCAGCGTGCTATGTTTCCAGCTTTCCTGACCGTGGTGCTCAATGATGCCACCAGCCGCAGGAAAGGAGTGGGGGTGTCGGCCTTGCTGGCCCAGCCCCAGCCAAGTCTCCCATACTCCCAACACCAGAAGATGCACCTCCTAGGGCGTGGGGACACGCGGCAGAGGGGCCACACTGGCTCCTGGTGTTTACCGCTGTGCCCGTCCGGGGCAGCAGCTCCCAGAACACAGCCCATGCTGCCGGGATCCTGCATACAGCCGCCCTCATCCTCTCACCTCCTCTCAGGGTTCCCCACCCTGGCTGTTCCCACTGGCACCTACCACCCACTCCAGCCCACCCGGACCCAGCCAGCTCTCCACTCCCTGAAACATATGCACTCCAGTTTGTCTGATCCACAGGAAAGCCTTAAAATAAACAGGTGATGAATGTTTATAGAAAATGTGGTGTCAATTAGCTGGACATGGTGGCACACACTTGTAGTCCCAGCTACTTGGGAGGCTGAGGCATGAGAGTCGCTTGACCCCAGGAGGCAGAGGTTGCAGTGAGCTGAGATCACACCACTGTACTCCATCCAGCCTGGGTGGCAGCAAGACTCCATCTCAAAAAGAAAGAAAATGTGGTGTGCACATCTGACGAATGCCGCTCAGCCGCGAGACACAGGTGCTTCTGCCATTTGCAGCCTGGATGGACCTTGAGGACACCATGCTAAGTGAAATAAGCCAGGCACAGAAAATCGAGTACTGCATGATTCCAGTTCTATGAGGTGTTGAAAATAGTCAAATCACAACAATAAAGACTGGAAGGGAGGCTTCCAGGGCTAGGAAGTGGGAGCTCTCAACAGAGAAAAGTTTCTGTTAATGTTAAGTGAGAGGAATAACCTCCAGAAATCTGCTATTCTGCGCTGAACCTGCACCAACCACCAAGGGTCATTGACACTTTAAGTGTCGTACACTTAAAATTTAAGAGGATTTATTTCATGTTAAGTGTTCTTATCTACCACGATAAAAAAAAAATGAAAATGAAAAAAAAAAAAAGCTCATCGGGAGTGGTTCACAATTGTAAAGGATTAAAATCAACCCAAAATACTTTATAAGGAACTGATTAAAGAAACAATTGAATAGTAAAAAAATGCTCATGAATATGACATTTTTAAAAAGCAGGATATAAAATGATTATAGCATGATCCAAACTCTGTGTGTGGCTGGGGGAGTCTGCAAACCCATCAGCGGTCAGGAGGTCAGCAGGCAGCCAGCAGATGTATAGATACGGAGCGAGGGGAGGGCCCTGTCTCGGTCAGCTCATCCCCATCACAATATGCCACAGACCAGGCAGCCTAAACAAGACATTTCTCGCAGTTCTGGAGCTGGAAGTCTGAGGCCAAGGAGCCGGCCGGTTTGGTTCCTGGTGAGGGTCCTTCCTGGCTTACAGAGCTGCCTCTGTGCCCTGTGGAGAGAGCCCGATCCCATGTCCCTTCTTGTAAGGGCACCCATCCCATCCTGGGGGCCCACCCTATAACCTCATCTCACCCCGTCAGCTCCCAAAGGGCCCACCCCCCCAATACCATTACATTGGGGGTCAGAGCGCAACCTGTGAACTTGGGGGACACAATTTGGTCCACAGCAGCACCTAATGACTTACAGCAGTCACCTGGGCACGTGTTAGTTATGAGTACTGATTGTCTTCATCCCAGCCTTCTGAAATTTTAGAATTTTTATAAACAAAACAAAGAAGCACGAGCTTGTGAAGGAACCCAAGTGCTTAGTGTCATGGCAAAGACTTGGGGAGCAGTGAGACCTCCACACACAGCGTGACTTGCAGAGGCGCCCCAGCACGTGAGGCGTGGAGGTGGGGGCAACCCAGAGAGGCTGTAAGAGCCAAGTCAATACAGCGGCTGGAGGCCGAGAGAGGAGGCCAGAAATGAAGCTTCCCCCATCTTCAAGACCTTTGCTGGATGCCGCTGTAGGGAATCGGGGGCCAGCCAGATTTTCAGACCTCACTGGTCTGACAGCCCAGCGCTATGGAGGGAGTGGGGGTCGCCTCTCTGGAGTGCACAGATGTGCTGCTGTACTAAGAGACCTCTGCCAGGGAAGCCAGTGAGCCACAGGCAGGTGACATGCAGCAGGAAGTCCTGGCACGTGTAGAGGGCCAGGCCTCTCAGCCTTGCAGGGACCACGCTGTCCAGGGGCCATGGGAGAAAGGGTCTAGCCCTTGGCCTTACTGGGAAACGGTGGGTGGCCTGACTGAGACTGTTCTGCTTGGGGGTTGCAGGTATGGGGGGATGTCAAAACCGGAGGGGGCAAGGCAGGGCAGACGGGGGCCTGGTGTGGGATCCGGGCCCAAGCTGAGGTGACTAAGTTCCTGAATCACAGCTAAGAGACATAGGTCCTGGCTGGGCACGGTGGCTCATGCCCATAATCCCAGCAGTCTGGGAGACCAAGGCAGGAGGATCACTTGAGATCAGGAGTTCAAGACCAGCTTGGGCAATATACCAAGATCTTGTCTCTATTAAAAAAATGTTTAAATATTTTTAAAAATGAGACAGAGGTTCGAATGCTGAGTTTGCAACTCCACACTCCTTAGTTCTGGTGATTTTAGGCGATGTCTGTACCTCCTCCCTTGCTGAACTGCATGCTCCTTGATGTGGCCTGAGCCTGGTTCCCCGTGTGGCCTCACGAGCGGCTCCGCTGGGTGAAGGGTGTGGCCTCCACCTGCCTCTGCAGCTCTTCCCAGCCCATCCCGGGCTTCTCCTGAGCCCCTGCAGCCCAGCTCTTGTACCCTAACAGGGGGACACCCACACCCCGTAACACAGGTAAAGAAATGGAACAGAGCCTGCCATACATGCAGCAAGTATGTTTATGATGGTTTTTTTTTTTTTTTTTTTTGAGACAGTCTCATTCTGTTGCCCAGGCTGGAGTGCAGTGGCGCGATCTCAGCTCATTGCAACCTCTTGCCTCCTGGGTTCAAGCAATTCTCCTGCCTCACCATCCCGAGGAGCTGGGATTACAGGCACACCATGCCCAGCTAATTATTGTATTCTTCATAGAGACAGGGATTCACTATGTTGGCCAAGCTGGTCTAGAACTCCTGAACTCAGGTGATCCACCCACCTGGGCCTCCCAAAGTGCTGGGATTCCAGGCATGAGCCACCACACCTGGCCATGGTTGACTATTTTGATCATCGCTATTTCTTTTGTGTCGTCTTTTTTTAAAAATTAGCTTATTGTTATGCCATTTTCCACAAACTCCTAGATCTTGCAAAAGTGTCATGCATGCACACTTGTGGGACCAAACCCCAGAGCCTGGAACCTGCTGACTATGAGCTGACTGCCGTGGGGGTTGTGCCCTGTGCGTGGGCTCCCTCGGGGCACCTGGAGTGTGAGAAACGCTGACTGCAGGGCATGCTGAACTGAACCCACCTGAACGGAACCCACCACCAGTCCTCTTCATCTTTCCCTTTCAAAATCTGGATTTCAGTGGCTATCATTGGAAATTGACAATAAAAGCCAGAATCATGTCTGGGCAGCTATTTTCAATATAAATAATGTCCTAAAACAGGAAGCTTGTCCATGGACAGATCAATTTGCTTGAAAAATCCTACTTAAAACAAACTATATCCTCAATGAACTCCAAACTATAACTTGTTGTTACATAAGTTGCTTCTTGCCAGGCATATTACTTTGTAGTAGAAAGCTGACCAGGCCAGACAAGGAGTGACATTCCCGGCTTCTTCCAGATTTGTGGCAAAGGCTGCAACCGACTCGGGGCCAATTGGTACTGCTGTTCTCTACAGCCCCAGAGCAGCCCTGGGCCAGGCCCCCGGGGCAGGGGTAGGGGGAAGCCTGCGCTGCGGCCCAGGCAACTGAAGCCCAAACCAGATATGCGCTTGGCCAGGCTCTTCCTCCTGAAAGGGCTGCAGGGTGCCTGCCCGCCTTCCGCTGAGCCTCCTGGAGACACTCCGCCCTCCCCACTCCAGTTTACTAAGGGGTCAGCAGAGCAGCCCGACTTGCCCTTTACTTGAGGGAGGGAATCCTGCCCCAGCTGCCAAAGCCAGCACTGATTCACCACCAAATCCAGCAGGGGTCTTTTGACCCCTGCGTTTAATCCTCAGCCCCTGCAGACACACGGCCTGGCACTTTCTCCTCCTGCCACCCACCCGCAGGTGGAGGGAGGCTTCCCCAACACCTAAGAGCTCCCTGGCTCCCTCCATGACAACGGATTTCCTAGGTTCTGCAAGCGAATCCCAGGTCTGCGCGTCACCACCCCATTTCTTACATTTGCAGACAGCTTGCCTAGGAGAGCCTCCTGTGCATTCCAGCACCTCACCAAGAAAACAGCCAGCCAGACCTCAGACGGGGGCAGGAGGGAGCCGCTCCAACTCCCAGCGGCTTTCCACGAGAGGCAAGGTCGCGGGTACACGCAGAGAATATTTTCTAGGAAAACTGTCCAGGCCGGCGCCTCCTCCCGACCTCCACCAAAGCCTTTATTCTCTGGCTTCCCGTATCGTCAGCATCCCACGGCCACGCTGGCCATCCCTGAAATGGGGGCTGTGAAATTTAAAAACCAGACACCAACATAAAAATAATCGCACGGCGCCCCTTTCCGCGGGAGGCACAGTCGGAGACACGGAGATGCGGGTCCCCAGCCCTGGCCCAGCACCTGCGCGGGCCCCACCCAGCGGCCGCGTCACGCCAGCGCCGAGGCCTGTGCAGGGCAGGGGGTGCCGTGGAGAGGACCCGCCCACGGGGGGACCGCCGGGAGAGGCAAGGAGGACCCCGCCCCAGACAGGGGCGTCTCTGCCGCGGGACCCCCTCCCTCGGGACGTCGCCCCCCGCCCGCCCCACGGCCGCCAGGGCGCCCGCGTCCCGGACGCACCGTGCCAGACGCAGCGCAGAGGCCCGGCCCCCGGTCGCGGCCCCACCCCGGCCGCTGCTCACCGAGGCTCCCCGCGAGCGACTCTGGGCGGCGTCCGACGGACCGGATCGGCCATGGCAGAGGCGGCGGGCGGGGGCGCGCGTCACCGTCACCGCGGGCAGGAGCCCCGAACCCGGCCCGCCCCGCCGCCCCCACTCCCGGGCGGTCCCCGCGGCCGCGCTCCTTGCTCGGCGACGGCCCCCGCCGCGATCCTCCCCCACGCAGTCCCGGTCTCCGCGGAGCCGCTGTGCAAGCTCCTAAAACAGGGCTCGGCGTGGCTGAAAATAGCCCGGGGGCCGCGGGGCGCGCGTAGGGAGCCGGGCACCGGGCGCCGCCGGCTTAGAGGGACTCACCCGCCGCTCAGGCCGATCCCAGCGCCATGCGCAGCACGGGGGAGCTGCACGCGTGCGGCCTCACCCTTAACTCTTGGCGTCCCATCCCCGAACGCTGCCTCCCCTGGCCTGTTGCGAGAGAAATGCTTTTTGGAGTCTGGCATTGAGCAGATGAAGCAGCTGCTGCGGATTGAGAGCCACAGTCTCAGCGCTGCGCCGGGGCCTGGGATCGCAGCTCACCACGGCCGCGTGCTCCGGGCTGGGACTTCAGGGTAAAGCGGGAGGAAGGTCCGCACCCACTTGTTGGTGTTCAGCCCACGTATAATCTCCATCCACGCCACCACGGCCACACGGATGCGCGCTTTGTGAAAGGCTGGGATAGAGCAGCAGAGCTGGCGACCTCTGCAGAGCTGGGAATCCCCTGAACCACGCCCCCCACCCCCACCCCCACCCCCACCGAGCTTGCAGGTGCAGGAGGAGTCCTGGGGAGCACGCACGTGGAGCACAAAAGCCCCCTCACCTCCAGACCCCTCCACACGGTCTGTCGGTCCACATACCTCCTCAACTCCAATCCTCCAAACCTGTGCCTTCTAAGCCCCTGATCATCAACTGTCCCTCCAGGTAAAGGAGAGGATAATCAGGTGTGAGGCTTGAAGTTTGGCCAGCTGCATGGAATTCCTTTCCACCACGTCCATCAGGGCCAGCTGGAGTAGGGCTGTGATGCTGAGCCCGGGCCCGCCGCACCAGCCTAGTATGCAGAACCATCTGTACACCAGGCTCCATTTTTCATTCCTCAGCTTGTTTTAGGGAACTCCCCATAAAACCAAAAATGCAGGTGGAGGAGCAAGGATTGCAGAGGGAGTGGGTGCCTTTGGAGGGCGAGCCTCCTGCTCATGTGGTGTCTCAGGGTGTCTCGGATATGCTTGAGGACAACCTCGTGTCAGTCTGTTCGGGCTGTCATAATGGAAGTGTATTTCTCACGGCTCTAGAGGCTAGAAGTCCAAGATCAAGGTGCTGATGGGGTTGGTTTCTGCCGAGGACTCTCTCCTTGCCTCACAGAGAGCCGCCTTCTCTGCAGGTCCTCAGGTGGTCTCTCCTGTGTGTGCTCATGTCTGGTGTCACACCTTTTCTTATGGACACCAGTCCCATTGGGTCAGGACCCACCCTGATGACCTCACTTAACCTTGATGGTTACCTCACTTCCTTAAAGGTCCTGTCTGCAAACGGGGTCTAGGCCTTCAAAATATGAATTTTGGGGGAACACTATTCAGTCCATAACAAACCTCACATGTACTGCCTCCATGTTTATGATAGTTTTGTTGGACAGGCCCATCTCTATGGCTTGGTGGATCAGACAACACCAGGTACTGATTGACAGCTTATGTTGCATGATCTTTTAGTGAATTGCAGTGAAATGTGCTGTCTACTCAACCCATGAGCAAGCCAGCAGCTGTTTCTCAAAAGGGAATGGTGACCTGTTGATGAGGCGATCACTCAACAATACTCATCAATAACCATGATTGTGGTTGTTCTGTCAAGGTTTGCCACAGGCTCCACACAACATTCTTTTAAGAGATGAGGTCTTACTATATTGCCCAGGCTGGTCTTGAACTCCCTGCACTCAAGTGATCGACGTGCCGCAGCCTCCCGAAGTGCTGGGACTACAGGTGTGAGCCCCATGTGCCTGGCCCTCCATATGACATTCTCACACTCCTCAGACACTCAGATTGCCATGGGTTCACCACGTCATAGGGCCAAGTGGAAGAAAGGCTTGTCTGGCAGCCTAGTCAGCAGGCCAGCATTTCTCTTGCTCTGAACCTCACTCAAAGTTCCTTGTTAAATAGGAAAGCACACCCAAATTTTGTATATATGGCCTCTGTGTTAGTCCGTTCCCACACTGCAATAAAGAAATACCCAAGACTGGGTAATTTATAAAGAAAGGAGGTTCAACGATTCACAGTTCCACATGGCTGGGGAGGCCTCAGGAAACTTACCATCACAGTGGAAGGGGAAGCAGGTGCGTCTCACACGGTGGCAGGTAAGAGAGAGATGAGAGAACGAAGCGGGAAGAGCCCCTTATAAAACCAGCAAATCTCGTGAGAACTCACTCAGTATCACAAGAACAGCATGGGGGAAAGTGCCCCCGTGATCCAATCACCTCCCACCAGGTCCTTCCCTCAACACCTGGGGATTACAATGCAAGGTGAGATTTGGGTGGGGACACAAAGCCTAACCACATCAGCCTCCAATATTCAAAGAGGTTTTAATAGTGACACGTACAGCTTATGGCAGACTGCCTCTCCCTCACTTTGGAGGACTTTCTGACATGTTCCCATCCTCTGAACCCCAGAAACGATGCTGAGGGGGCACTCGAACTTTCATGGCTATCTTCTCCCCTCACCTGGCACCCGTGTGCCTTTAGCCAGGTGTCCAGGGTACTTGCTACTTCCTGTTCATCAGGTCCTGTGGCTGTGATGCTTGCAACACAGCTGATCAGCATCATTTGGTGGGGATGACAAAGGCCGCCCTGGACTAAAATGTGGCACAGAACAGACTTGGTTACTGTTGAATCAAGACTGTGAAGGTGTACTGATGTCCCTACAGTGTGAAAGTGAACTCTTCCTGGTATTCTGTGATTGCTGGTACAGAGAAAATAAAATGCATTTGCCAGTTCTATAGTCACATGCTAGATGCCGGGAAGTGAACTGATTTGCTCCATTGTTTCAATCAACATGCCCCATCCGCAGTAGCCATTCAATTGAGATCACGACTTGACAAAGCTTAGGATAACTCACAGTCCTGCCCCATCATCCATCTGTTTCCACGCAGGCCAGAAAGTGAATTAAAGAAATCACCACCCCCAAATGTTTCGAGATTTTGATGTGGCACTAATCTACGTGATTCTCCCCAGGTAGGCAACAGTGCTTTGAGGTTACTGTTGTGGTGTCGGGCAGGGGTCCCACAGGATCCCAGGAACTTTCCACCTTACGGCCATCTTTCCAGAATCAGGGAGCAGATCTGGGAATCCCATCCATCACTGAATATTTCTGTCTATTCTGACTCTATTCTGAAAAGCAAAGGAACAACCACAGACTAGAGTCACGGACTGGGCCCCCTGGGAGTTGGACTCACAGCAAAACTTGTGTTCATTCTGCTCGTTATAGACCCTCACTCTTGGCGGGCATGGTGGCTCACACCTGTAATCCCAGCACTATGGAGGCAGAGGTGGGCAGATCGCCTGAGGTCAGGAGTTTGAGACCAGCCTGGGTAACATGACAAAACCCCGTCTCTACTAAAAATACAAAACTTAGCCAGGCGTGGTGGCACGTGCCTGTAGTCCCAGCTACTCGGGAGACTGAGGCAGTAGAATCACTTGGGAGGCGGAGGTTGCAGTGAGCTGAGATCGCGCCACTACACTCTAGCCTGGGCAACAGAGCAAGACTCTGTCTCAAATAAATAAATAAGTAAATAAACCCTCACTCTGCCCAACAGGTCACTGGGTTCTGTCTCCTGGTGATCCATGTTGGTTCTGAGTTAGTGTCCAGTCATCTCCCACAGCTCTGAATACGCCCCTTTACCCGGCGCCTGGTCTAGGGAACCTGGCTGCAGTTTCTTTAGGAAAAGCTGGAGGAACTTTCTAAAAACATGTTTCTGGTGCTAGCATAGGATCCTTCCCCAGGGACATCAAACGTTTCCCTTACTGAAGGGACTGTGGGTCTGTGAACGGATTCAGGTCCTGGCGTGGACTGAGGAACTGGAACTTCTACACAGTGACTGAAGGCTCTGGCTCTGTTTGCTTAACTTAGAGTTTGTTATTTCAATCAAATGTGTCAAATAGGCCAGGCACGGTGGCTCACGCCTGTAATCCCAGCACTTTGGGAGGCTGAGGCGGGTGGATCACCTGAGGTCAGGAGTTCGAGACCAGCCTGGCCAACACGGTGAAACCCTATCTCTACTAAAAATACAAAAATTAGCAGGGCATGGTGGCACATGCCTGTAATCCCAGCTGCTTGGGAGGCTGAGGAAGGAGAATCACTTGAACCCGGGAGGAGGAGGTTGCAGTGAGTGGAGATCGTGCCATTGCCCTCCAGCCTGTGTGATGGGAGCGAGACTCCATCTCAAAACAAACAAACAAAAAAAAAGTGGTAAATAGACCCTTAGTGGGCTTCCCATCTATTTCACTCTTGGCAACTGCGTGGCAATTTACTACCACAAAACACTCCTGTGGCTCAAGCCGTTCTGATCACCACCCAATTCTTCTGACAATTAAGGTAACTTCACCTGTGTTGCTTTGGCAGTTAAGAGCTGTTACCCGACCTCTACCTCCACAGGGTCCAACTCTCCACTGAAATCAGGAAGCCCATTTGCAGCAATCCCTCTACCTTGGCCTCCAGAGACAGCCACTGAGGTGCCATCCAGGGATTCAGGCACCTGCCTCACTGATGGGTGTCTTATTGTCCTGGGGAGGGGAGTGCCTCTGTGCCCTCCAGGGGGAAATGGGGGTGGCAAGAAATGAATCCACCCCCTCAGCCAGGCACAGTAGTGGTACACACCCATAATCCCAACACTTTGGGAGGCTGAGGCAGGAGGACTGCTTGAGCCCAGGAGGTCAAGGCTACAGTGAGCTATGATCATTCCACTGCACTCCAGCCTGGGTGTCAGAGCAAATCCCCATCACTATTAAAAAAAGAAGAAAAATTCGGCCAGGCACGGTGGCTCACGCCTGTAATCCCAGCACTTTGGGAGGCTGAGGCAGGCGGATCACCTGAGGTCAGGAGTTCAAGACCAGCCTGGCCAACATGGCAAAACCTTTTCTCTACTAAAAATACAAAAAGCAGCTGGGCATGGTGGTGGGCGCCTGTAATCCCAGCTACTAGGGAGGGTGCAGCAGGGGAATTGCTTGAACCCAGGAGGCAGAGGTTGCAGTGAGCCGAGATCGTACCACTTCATTCCAGCCTGGGTGGCAGAGCGAAACTCCATCTCAAAAAAAAAAAAAAAAATCCACTTCAATGCACCTGTGTCCCTGAGCATTCAGAGGCTTTCGTGTACATAAAGGAATTGCTTGCCTCTCAAATGCTTTCCACTTAAGTTACCACTGAGCTCAGATCTCACTGAAACAAATGCCCATTTGGAACTGCTCCCATTGTTGGAGTTTGTACGTTGAGCGCAGAATCTCTGCTTACTCACAAGTGAGCAAACCCGCGTCGAGAAAAATGTGCGCCCAATAGCAGCACAAGAAAGAGGAAACGGCACTGAGTGAGAGTCAGCTGAGAAACAGGAGAAGTAGGATACGTAAGTGGCCTCAAAGCACCTCTTCCCAAGGTGCTTATTGACAGCAAATGGGGATATGGTATATTCACAGAGGGGAAACCTGGCAGGCACCCGTTTAACCGAGAAATTAACATTAACAACATCTGTAAGAGGGCAAATAACTATGAGCCTCAAAAGATAACTGAGACACAATTTCATTTCTGAGGTATTTCTGCCCAAATTCATACCATGAGCAAACATCTGAAGTTGAGGGACATTGCTGCAAAATAACTGTAGCCCAGCGCTCAGAAAAATATCAAGATGCTGAAAAGCAGGCTGAGGGGCTGCTCTGAATTCAAGGAAAGCAAAGAGACGCCACAAAAGGCCAACTCGCCATCCAGGAGTTTGTTTTCCTATAAAAACATTAGTAGAATGTGGAACAATCTGTTTGGTTTTTTTTTTTTTTTTTTGAGACAGCGTCTTGCTCTGTTCCCCAGGCTGAAGTGCAGTAGCGCAATCACAGCTCACTGCAGCCTCATCCTCCTGAGAGCAAGTGATCCCCCCACCTCAGCCTCCCGAGTAGCTGGGACTACAGGTGTGCACCACCACACCATGTCCAGCTAATTTTTAAATTTTCTGTAGAGACAGGTCTCCCTGTGTTGCCCAGGTTGGTCTTGAACTCCTGGGCTCCAGTGATCCTCCCGCCTTGGCCTCCCAAAGTGCTGGGATTACAGGTGTGAGCCACTGCACCCAGCCTAGAGGATGTGGGAAAATTTGATTAGCAAATATTATACCAATATTAATTTCCTGATTTTAACAGTTTTTATGTGGTTACATAAGAACATCTTGTTTTTAGGAAATACACAATAAATTATTTGGGGAAAGAGGGCCTCATGTTTATAATTTACTTTCAAATGGTTCTGAAAAAAGTATATGTACATAAAATGGTATAAACACACATGTGTACACATGCATAAATACATCGTTATGAAGTAGATGTGGTAAAATATTTGAGGAATCTAAGTGAAGTCTATGTAATAATTCTTTGCCCTATTCTTGCAATCCTCTGGAAGTCTGGATCACGTCAGATTACATTTTTTTTCAAGTTCTCATCCCCGTCCGTGGTCTGGCACCCTCAGAATCCATTTCCTCATAGGTTCCCCACAATTTTGCCAAAATACATGATCAGCTCCTGCAGCCCCTCTGATGTGTGAGCTTCTCTGCCCAGGTTTGACTTTGTCATTGGTCCCTGCAGCAGGCTAGTCTCTAACCACCCTTCTGGCCCAGAACCACAGAGAAGGTAGGAGAGGGAACTGCAGCCTCCTGGCCTGTGACGACCACAGGTGAGGTTGCCGTGAGTCTTCAAGCAAAGCAGGACCAGTCTCCTCGGGGTGTTCACAATTACCCAGACCCCGGCAAGGGCCACCATTCCAGCCCAAGACCCTCACACTCTTTGCATTTAGCTCTGTATTATCCTGTGCTTCACAGGGGCCACCTGGCCAGCCAAAGCCAGGCCTTCAGCCAACGTGTCTTTCCAGGCCACCATGCCCAGGGGATGCAGATGCCCAAACGCTAACCACACGCTATGGTAACCGATGCTGACCATACACTACGGTGACCCAACGCTGGCCATAACGAGACAATGATAATCTCCTGTCTTCAAACTCAGCCAGGCAGATACGTCTCAGGCTCCCATCCCTGAGGATGTATTGCTTACAACCACTTGAGGAAATAATACTGTCATAGGTCAAATGCATATGAAGAAACAACACAATTTTTAGCAGAAATAATTTTCAAACAAGAAATTGACTGCTTATAAAATCATCAAGAGACTGGAAGAATGGGCTCCAGGCCGGGTCTCAGGATGTCACTCCCAGAATAACCCCACAGAGACAGCCCAGCAAGGGAACACCTACTGTGACAAAAACAAGAACTGAGTTCGAAAAAACACAGTTCAAAAAAGACCGTGTTCCCGTCTGGGAAGTGAGGATCGCCTCTGCCTGGCTGCTGCCCCCCTGCCATCTGGGACATGAGGAGCCTCTCTGCCCGGCTGCTGTGCAACCCTCCAAGTGTGAAGTGGCAGCCTTATGTGTGATCTTTCTGTCCTCCCCAAGTTTGCATTTTTGACATTAAAGTTTACTTTTAAATTAAAAAAAAAAAAAGACTGTGTTCAGAAACCCACCGACCCCACCACTGGCTCTGTGATCAGGCAACACCTGCTATACTCCCTCCGGGGGACAGGAAGGCACCACAACTTTCGGTCCCAGAAATATGCCACACCCATTAGCTCCACAGCAGTAAAATGACGACTCTCACAGCAGAACCTCACTTCCCACTTAACCAAATCCTGACCCCAGATCTTGTTCAGTTTCATTTGATTAGTGGAAACTGAATCGCACCTGGAAGCCTAGAGCTGCCAGAGGCACTGGCGTTTAACTCTTCAATCTCTACATCCAGGAAGGTGCCAGAAGGAAGTCAAAATAGACAATGAGTGGGGTGATCTGCTATACTGAACCCACGGGTAGAAAAAAACCAGGTCCTAAGAGAAGTGTCAGGAAATCCTGCAAGAATGCCGAGGAGAAAACCGCTTATCTGACTAGGAGTGTCTGCTCAGAAAGACTTGAATTAAGCTCCAATGGAAGAGCAGTGTTTTTGCAAGAAGAGAAGGAAGAGGGTGAAGCTGGTTGAGGGGCAGCATGGGTACAGTCACTGTTGCTGCCGCTCTTCCATAAATGTGAAACTGTTTCAAAGCCATGCATGTAAAATTACGGATATGAGGACTATACAGAAACAAGATTTTGGCCGGGCGCGGTGGCTCACACCTGTAATCCCAGCACTTTGGGAGGCTGAGGCGGGTGGATCATGAGGTCAGGAGTTTAAGACCAGCCTGGCCAAGATGGTGAAACCCCGTCTCTCCTAAAAATACAAACATTAGCCAGGCGTGGTGGCGTGCACCTGTAGTCCCAGGTACTCGGAGGGCTGAGGCAGGAGAATCACTTGACCCTGGCTGGCAGAGGTTGCAGTGAGCTGAGATCATGCCACTGCACTCCAGTCTGGGTGACAGAGCGAGACTCTGTCTCAAAAAACAAAAAGAAAAAAAGAAAGAAAGAAAAGAAAAAGAAAAAAGGTCTTGTGACATAAAATTATATCAGTTCAATGTCTTAGCAGCAAGTAACCAAAAAGGAAGAAAAGAAAAAACCCTCCAACACACTTAAAGAATAAGCAAATCTATCACCTCACATAGTGAGAAATCCAGAGATAGGGCAGACACCAAGACTGGCTGATTAAACATCTCCATATCATCATCACCAAAGACACAGGCTCCTTTCCCTCTTACCCCATCCTCAGCCTAAGGCTGATTAGCCACATGGTGCCAAGGTGGCTGCAGCGGCTCCACACATCACACTCAGTAATGACAGGGACCAAAAGAAGGGATGAACAGCCTCTTTTCTCCGAATCCCTGGAGCAGGCTTTCCTTCTAAACCATCTAAACCCTTCTAAGCCATCATTCATGAGAGAGGCAGTATAACCCTGGTCAGCTCAGCTGACTCATCCATGTGGAATGAATGTTGGGGGTCAATCATGTGACCACAACAGATACTGAGTTTAAAAAGCAGAGACAAGAGAGTGGTCATTAAATCCCTCTCATCATATTTGCCTGCATGTGCTAAATGGAAATAGACGTCCATAATTGGAAATTACTGTGTTTGGGTGGTGATTGTGGCATTATTTTCCTTTGTGTGAAATGTTTGCCACTAGTATTGGTGCTTCACCCTTTTTTTATAATTCTGAGGTGCCAGGGCATCAGTGCTGCCACGTGACGGGCAGTGCCGGTGCTGACAGAGGGCTTCCTTCAGCCTCAACCCCTTTGTCTCACATCTTTGTCTTTGCCTCTGATTCTCCCAGGTAGTGTGCAAATGTGCAGCATTTACAAGAGCAGTCATCGGTGGGGCTCTCCCCAAAGTCTCTGTCCATCTGTCTCTTTTACAGCATGATCGGCATGTGTAAAATGTGGATAATGATTCCTGTCACTTCCTACCTCCAGAGGTGGTTGTAGGGACAAGGATTTGTAGTAGATAAGAAAGGTCAGGCATGGTGGCTCACTTCTGTAACCCCAGCACTTTGGGAGGCCGAAGTGGGCAGATCACCTGAGGTCAGGAGTTCGAGACCAGCCTGGGCAACATGGCAAAACCCCATCTCTACTAAAAATACAAAAATTAGCCAGGCATCTGTAGTCCCAGCTACTGGGGAGGCTGAGGCAGGAGAATCGCTTGAACCCAGGAGGCGGAAGTTGCAGTGAGCCGAGATCACACCACTGCACTCCAGCCTGGGCGAAGAGTGAGTGAGACTGTCTCAAAAGGCACGATGGCGCATGCCTGTAATCCCAGCACTTTGGGAGGCCAAGGTGGGTGGATCATGAGGTCAGGAGTTCGAGACCAGCCTGGCTAACACAGTGAAACCCCGTCTCTACTAAAAAATACAAAAAATTAGCCGGGCGTAGTGGTGGGCACCTGTAGTCCCAGCTACTCGGGAGGCTGAGGCAGGAGAATGGCGTGAACCCGGGAGGCGGAGCTTGCAATGAGCCGAGATCGTGCCACTGCACTCCAGCCTGGGTGACAGAGCGAGACTCCATATCAAAAAAAAAAACAAAAACAAAAACAAAAACAAAAACAGTAATAGATGAGAAAGCGCTTGAGCTGTGGAAAACTGTGCAGGAAATAGTCATGCCATCCAAATCTATCCTGGAGCCTTCCTGTCCCCTGAAGATGTTGGAAAAGGTGCCTTGAATTCATGCCTCGTGGAAGCACAAAGCATGCTTCAGCCTTTTTGGTTTCTGAGACTCGTGTGTCTAATGATCACTCTACCACGGGGCTTGTGACTGAGGGTGTGGTCGTGTTGTTGGTTCCATATCACAATCCTTTTTTGATAACCTCATTCCTCTATCGTTTCCAACCCAAATACAAAATTTTCATGGGAAGGAGAGATTTGCTAAGGATCCGACAATAATAACCGCACAGGCAATCTTAGGCATCTTTGCTCCTGGAAAGGCCGTTGGCCTCTACCCCACTGTGCATGCATCCCCCTTCCTGCTCCCTCCCACCTCACTTCCTTCTCACCTCTCTCTAAGACCACCCTCTAAAACTCCAAATATTCTGGGTTATATAGAGGAGTGTTTTGTGAAATGTGGTCCACACACCCCAGGTGTTCACGTTAGGTTGGGAGGGGAGGTTTGCTTGGTAACCGAAGATGCCTAGACCTCAGCAAAGACCCACGGTCATGATGTGAATATCCGCTGGGATCGTTATAAAAATAAACATTTGTCTTATATTTTTATTAGATTATTTGAACGAACCCTTTCATAGAACGATGAAAATGATGCTAAGGGCTGGGCGTGGTGGCTCATGCCTGTAATCCCAGCACTTTGGGAGGCCGAGGCGGGCAGATCACCTGAGGTCGGGAGTTCAGGACCAGCCTGGCCAACACAGCAAAACCCTGACTCTATTAAAAATACAAATATTAGCTGGGCGTGGTGGCGGGTGCCTGTAATCCCAGCTACTCGGGAGGCTGAGGCAGGAGAATCGCTTGAACCCGGGAGACAGAGGTTGCAGTGAACCAAGATCGCGCCATTGCACTCCAGCCTGGGCAACAACAGAGTGAGACATTGTCTCAAAAAAAAAAAAAAAAGAACAAAAGAAAATGCTGTTAAGATTTTTTAAATCTCCTTAAACTCATCAGAGAAGTGATGAGACGGCAAGGACTTACTAGGCCAAAAATCTAAATCGAAGCAGGAACAAGATGGGTGGGCTGAAGACGGCAGCTCTTTTTACTACGGGGGCATTCACCTGCCCCAGTGTACTTAAGCATAGTTCTTAATGGTCTTTCAGGGCAAGAGGCACAAGAGTAAAACGCCAAGCCAGTGGGGAGTGTCGGAGGAAGCCCTCTCTCCATAAAACTGAGAACCCCAAAGGCTACACCCCGAGGGTAAGGGTGAATCAGAGGTAACACCCCCCAACCCCACATCATCAAGGGATGGCAAGACAAGCGGGGCAGGGGCAGGAGAAAACCCTTTTCAGAGAAGACAGAGGCATGAGCCAGCCACGTCCAAAGCTGCATCACACGGGTGACCTGGATCACACCCATGACCGAGAACTCTTTAAGCCTGTAATTTAATGTAATTAATGTAAAGTGGTCCCAGATTACCACGGCCCCTGGGCGCCTGGAAGAAGCAAATGCCAGCCTCTTTAGAGGGACAGCTTCGTGCAGGGCTCACAGGACACCTACAAGCAATTTTTCAAGGACAGCTGAAAACAATCATGACACAGAAAATAAGGTATTATGGGAGTGAATCAGATAAGAAGAAAAACAGGAGAAGAAATAGGAGGGGGTGGGTGGGAAGGAAAAGACAGACAGACCTAGAAAGACTTCAGATATTCAAACTACCAGACAAAGATATTAAAACTATGCACACTATGATTAGAGACATGAAAAGCAAGACGAAATTTTCTGGGGAAAGACAGGAACTGTATAAAATAGACTAGCATATTTGAAAAGCAACTCAATAGAATTTCTGGAAATGAAAAAATATAATAATCAAAATTAAAAACCAGGTTTAACAACAAATTAGCCACAGCCAAAGAAAGAATTAGTGAACCATAAAACAGGTAGAAGAACCCAGAAGCAACCCAGAGATACAAAAAATTAAAAATCAGAAAGAGAGGTTAAGAGAGATGGAGAACAGAGTAAAAAAAAAAAAAAGTTTAATATATGTTCAATTAGTGTTCCAGAAGAGATCAGACAGGAAATAGCCAGAAGCAATATCTGAAGAGGTAACAGTTGAGTCTTTGATGTACTGGTAAAAGAAATGGGCTGGGTGCGGTGGCTCATGCCTGTAATCCCAGCACTTGGGAGGCTGAGGTGTGCGGATCATGAGATCAGGAGTTCGAGACCAGCCTGGCCAACATGGTGAAACCCTGTCTCTACTAAAAATACAAAACTTGGACCAGGCATGGTGGCTCACGCCTGTAATCCCAGCACTTTGGGAGGCCGAGGCGGGTGGATCAGAAGGTCAGGAGTTCAAGACCAGCCTGGCCAACGTACTAAAAATACAAAAATTAGCTGGGCGTGCTGGTGATCCCCCATAGAATCTTCTAGAGACGCAAACCCCATGGCACCGCCTCTGCTGGTAAACCTCCAGTGGTGTCTCATTATCCTCTGGTTTAGTCCAAAATGCTTCCCAAGGCCCACAGGGCCCCCCGAGACAGCATTTGCTGATTCTGCTCCACAGAAAATGAACGGGTTTCACTTTCTCAAACCCTCCTATTTTTCCGTAGACTCCGGACCCTGGAGCATGTTCCTCACGGGAAGAAGAACGGTCTCCCTCCTGCGTTCCGGACTCAGCGTCGCCTCCTTGGGGATCCTTGAGGGGATGGGCAGTGACTCAGTGGATGAAGCCGCACTTCGTTGCATTCAGTTTCAGAAAACACGGCACTGTTTCTGGATCAGGCTCTTCAAGGGACACGCACTCCCCAAGCCGCATGACCAGAGTATCCACAGAGGCGAGTGAGTCTCCACCTGGCCCTGCTGCCCCTTCTGGCTAGTCCCTGCCCTTACTCTCCCAGAGGCACCCATTTTTTCTGATGATTTTCCCCATAGATTAGTTGAGGGGAGCTTCGCATCCATGCAATCCGTGTGCTGTTCTGTGGAAGGTTTCCAAATTGCCACGCGCATCAGTGGCGTGCTCTTATTTATTGCTGGAGATTGTTCTCTTGTACAAATTTGCCACGGTGTATGTATCTATTCTCCTGTTGAAGGACACCCGTCTGCTTTCCAGTTTGGGGCTATTACAAATAAAACGGCTGTAAACGTCTTCTTGCGCACAGCCTCCTGTCACGGGCACGCTCTTGCGACTTTCAGGTCTCCCAACCGTGGACAGCAGAGGGCGTCGGCGAGCCAGCGAGCGGAAGCCAAGCGTCCAGAGCGCCAGGCTGTCTCGGAAGAGGAAGCTCAGTGACCACCTTCTCAGGAATAGATCCAGGAAGAAAGGCGTCAGCATATTCCAGATATTAAGGAACTTTGTTCGATACGACAATTTCTTTTTAGAGACAGGGTCTCCATATGTTGCCCAGGCTGGTCTTGAACCCCTAAGCTCCGGTCCTCCAGCCACGGCCTCCCAAAGTGCTGGGATCACAGGTATGCACCACCATGACTGGCAGACAGTTCATTTTTTTGAGGTGGAATCTCGAACTGTTGCCCAGGCTGGAGTGCAGTGGCTTGATCTTGGCTCACTGCAACGTCCGCCTCCCGGGTTCAAGGGATTCTCCTGCCTCAGCCTCCCGAGTAGCTGGGATTACAGGTCCCTGCCACCATGCCCAGCTAATTTTTTGTATTTTTAGTAGAGACAGGGTTTCACCATGTTGGCCAGGCTAGTCTTGAACTCCTGACCTCGTGACCCACCCACCTCGGCCTCCCAAAGTGCTGGGATCACAGGTGTAAGTCACCGCGCCTGGCCAACAGATCTTAATTATCAGGGAGCTGGTTATTGCAGGAATCATGACCAGTGGCCCAAGTGTGGTAGGTTTCATCACCAGCAGGGAGGCCCCACATGCGGGATGTGGTGAGTGACAGGGCAGGGGAGCAGCAGGGGAGGCCCTCACGCCCTGCAGGCCTCACTGCTGCTGCCCATGGGGCCACACTCAGAAAACGCCGTGCTGCTGGGCTCCCGCGGCGTCTCTCACAGGATGCAACCCAGATGCTGCGGCGCAGAGATCCTCTGACACGTTCTTCCTGGTCCACTCTGCGGGGGACGTCCTTGGACCACCAGCACCGCCCCTTAGCGTTCCTACAGCCTCCGGATCTCACCCGGGCCTTGGGTCCTGGGTGTGGCTGTGTCCCTCCCAAGTGTCCTCTGCTGGAAGCCACTTTCGACGCTAAAATGGAAAGCAGAGTGGTGGGCAGGAGGGCATCAGATGCCGACAGACTGGTTCCAGCAAGAGTGGAGTGACTTGGTTCACAGTGCGGCTTCCAGAGTCATCGAAACCTTGTTTAAAATGCAGAGTCCGGCCCCCTCCCCAGTAATCCTGAGGTCTGGGCTGGGACCTGGGAATTGGTCATTTGAACTCGCTGACCAGGCCACATGCAGCAGGTTAGGAAGCTGCAGGTCTGAGCGCCTGATGAGTGTGGGTTGGAGAGGGCAGGTGTGGGGTCCTGAGCGACCAAAGGGACCCACAGGGGACGGGGAGCAGGCAAGGAGTGCCACGTGGGTTGGCCAGCCTGTTCCCACCAAGGCCAGCGCCCGGCACTCACTGTCATAGTGCCAGACACACTGCCCTTTGTTCTGGATCCCCCTCCACCAACACCTCTTCCACCCACCCCACCCTCTCCCCGGTGATGAGCACGTGCTAGGCTCACACGTGCTGTGTGGAGACATCTCTCCTCCCAGCCCTCCCAGGCCCCGAGCCTCAAGCTCTCCTGCAGCCGCCCCTGTGCACCTGGGCGTCTCTCTGCAATGCCTGCCTCTCCCGCACCTGGACCCACACCACACAGCAGCCGTGCAGCCTGTGCCCACAGCACTGCCATGGCATCCATCAGAGAGAGGAGGCCCAATGGGATAGATTGAGGAGGGCCAAGTGTGACACCTTAATGACATGTTCATTTCTGGCAGCAGCAGCATCTCAAAGTGCCCTGTAAATGTGGGCATCAAACCCGAGGCAGGACAGGTAGTCAAGGAAGTGACCAGGTCCTCGGGGCATGGCGACCATGGTGACCGTACGGTCGACACAGCAAGCCTCAGCATTGGCAGTGTAATGGAGCTCATTTGAGCACAGCTATCTTCAGTAGGGACCTTCCCCTCTGGAGAGCACGCGCACTGTGAGCTTACCTGTCCTCACACCGACCCTGGCGTTGAAGACGCTAGTGAGACAGGCGACGTATGAACAAGCGTGGACGGGTACTGCGCGTGCGCACCTGGAGGAGCACCCGGAACAAGCTTCCCAGCAACGCCTCTCGCACCTCCTCATGCGTAATCATGGAAGACTCCCATAGAGGGAATCTCCCTCCTTCCAGTCTTTGCCGTCTCATCCTCATGAGCAGCCGACCCCGAATCCTCTCTTTCAGAGTGTACTGCCCATTCTGCACCAAACTTTTCTCATATTATTTTTCTTTTGCACTAAATCACTATACATGCCGCCTCCTTTGCTGTGTGTCTCTTGCTTAAACTCCCTTAAACTAAGAAGACAAGAACTGAGATCTCACAGCAACCATCAACTAAACTACCCATCAAGTTGGCCCCCAAAGCTGCTGAGCCCTGAGAGAAGCCTCAGGGGAGCACGATGAAGTCTGTCCTGTGAAGACACGAGTCCCTTAGAGAACGCGCACACCCGGCAGATCAGTGGTAACAAGGGAGCAGGTGCTCAGTGAGTCTCTAGGCAATGACCGCTGCAGCATCTGGAGGAGAGTGTGAGCCCGAGGTCTGGGCCAGGCTTGGGAGGACTCAGGAGGCAGAGAGAAGAGCCAGGGCACTGGGGCCAGGCTTGGAGACGAGAAGAGCAGGAAGAGCTCGGCAGAAGAGGGCTGCCTAAGAGAAGAGCTCGGCAGAAGAGGGCTGCCTAAGAGACACAGGTGGAGGTTGAGCTCCTGGGTTTTTACCCAGAGGAACTGGAAACGTGTCCACACAAAACCTGCGCGTGGATGTTTACAGCAACTTTGTTCATACTCACCAAAACTTGGAAGCTGCTGGGATGTCCTTCAGCAGGTGAGTGGAACCATCAGTTGTGATTCATCCCATCAAGTGTGGTTCAGGGTTAGAAAGAAATGAGCTATCAAGCCAGGAAAAGACATGAAGGACCCTTAAATGTACATTACTCTGTGAAAGAAGTCAATCTAAAAGGCTACACACTGTATGATCCCAACTCTTTGACATTCCAGAAGAGGCAAAACTATGGAGACAGTAAAAAGATGAGTGGTTGCCAGGGGACAGGGGAGGGAGGGAGGGAGGAACAGGCAGAGGATAGAGGACTTGGGGCAGTGAAAGTGCTCTGCGTGTTACTGTCGTGGGGGATACATGTCATTACACATCCGTCGAAACCCATAGAATGTCCAACACCAAGAGTGGACCCTAACGTGGACTCTGGATGATAGCGATGATGGCAGAGGCGGCCCATCTGGAGCGGTGGCTGCCATCATGCTGGGTACAGTGGGGAGGTGTGGCTGGGGCTGCATATGGGCTGCACACTCCACAGAGCCGGCGGGAGCCAGGGACAAGTGGGATCCCTGCCCCTTCTGAGTTGATCCCTGCCCCTTCTGAGCAGGAGCTCTGTAGGTGCAGCCACAGCCAGCCAAGTTGTGGCTGCAGACCGGAGCCTGCCACTACAAGGAGCAGACAAGAGCCCTGCCCACCCCCATCAGGCACAGCTGCAGCTGCCCAAGTCATGGCTGCAGACCTGGGCCTCCCTGTGTTCTTAGGGGGACTGGAGCAGGCAGGAGCCCCGCCCTCCCAGGCTCAGCTGCAGCCACCCAAGTCACAGTTGTAGACCTGGGCCTCCTACTCCATGGAGAAGGCAGGAGCCCTGCGGCCCCCACCCTCCAGGCGCAGTTGCAGCCGCCCAAACTGTGGCTGTGGACCCAGGCATCCCTGCACTCTTGGGGGCCCAGGAAGGCATCCCCCTGCCCTCACAGGCTCAGAAGTGCCTGCTCCCACTGCCTGGCTTCTCCCTGCTTTCAGTGTTCACTCCAATCTCAGAGCAAAATTGGGGCCAAGCCCGGGTGCTGTCACAGCCCGGTTGGGTGTGCATGCACGTGGAGCACTGCTGACATGCCAACCCCCTGCTGCCTGGCCCCCTCCAGACTTTGGGCATTGACGAGCTTGGGAGGGAAGCCGATGGGGTCTGAGGGCAGGTCTGTGCTGGCCTGCAGGCAGCCCTTGGCACCTACAGCCTGGACACTATGAACAGCAGCAGGAGGCAGACAGGCTCCCGGATGGAAGGGGGTGGGTCCCTGGTGAGAGCCCACCTTTAGGCCAGGGAGGGCCTGAAGGCTAGGGGCAGGGCTGCCAATCCTGCAGACCAGAGAGGGGACTTGTGGTGCCTTTTCCAGGCCTGCCCATGGCCGCCCATGGACCAATTGGTACGCACTTCCTCCCCTCTGAGGCCCATAAAAGCCTGGGCTTAGCCAGAGCTGAGCAGACGTTGGGATGAGCAGTTACAGAGAGGAGCTACTCACTCCAGGGCCTCCTGTGAGCTATTCTGTCACTAAATGAAGCTCCTCTTCACCTTGCTCACCCTCCATTTGTTCACATACCTCATTCTTCCTGGACACAGGACAAGAACTCAAGACCTGCTGAATGGCAGAGCTGAAAGAGTAGTAACACAAACAGGGCTGAAACACACCCCTTGCTCTCCATGTTGCAGGTGAAGAGAAGGAGAAAAGAGCTGTGGCCCTTCAGGGAGCCCAGTCCTCGAAGCTCCCTGAGCCAGGGCTGTAACTCCCTCTTTGGGGCCCTGTGGTTCCTGGAGTCTCCAAGCTTCCAGCACCACTGCATTTCCCAGTGGCAGCCTTGGAAGCTGCTTGCAGTGCACCTGGTCCAGCCACAGCCTCACAGAGAGCCAGCGCCCAGGCCAGAGCCAGGCTGAAGAGAGAGGATTGGTTGAGGCCAGGAGTTCAAGATCACTCCGGGCGACATGATGAGACCCCATGCCTACGCACACACAAAAATAATAAATTAAAGTTTATTAAAAAAAAAAAAGAAAAAAAGCAGGTGAGGCCTAGTCACAAATACAGATGAGAGCCCAAGTCCACGTCTCATGCTGAAGATCTGACTTTACCTGCCTTTGGTGTCTCTTTAGATAGTTCCTCTCCAGCAATTTAAGCTGCAAGTGTTTAGCACCTCTAAGAGTCCCACAATGAACAGCATCCCTTTTCCTTGCTTGAGTATTGAACAGAGAGAGAAATAAAACAAAAGCAGATGGAGCCCAAAATATTCCCCTTGTTACTGGCAATGGCTAATTTGAGCAGTGGCTGAAAGTCAGAGTTGAACAGTTAACCAAACCCCAGAGAGGAAGACACCTTCCCAGATCGCTGTGGGTCCCCAGCCCTGGGCACCCCTCAGCCCCTCAGGCTCCTCATGCCCCTGAACCCAGCCCAGGCTTCTGAGGTCCCAGGATGGCTCCATGTACAGCACACTCCCAGGGAAGGAGGCTCAGACGTGGGGACCCCCCACCCAGGGAAGGAGCCCCAGAAGTGGGGACCCTCTCCTAAGGAAGGATGCTCAGAAGCGAGGACCCCCTCCCAGGGAAGGAACCCCAGAAGTGGGGGCCGTCTCCCAGGGAAGGATGCTCAGAAGTGAGGACCCCCTCCCAGGGAAGGAACCCCAGAAGTGGGGACTCTCTCCCAGGGAAGGATGCTCAGAAGCGAGGACCCCCTCCCAGGGAAGGAGCCCCAGAAGTGGGGACCGTCTCCCAGGGAAGGATGCTCAGAAGCGAGGACCCCCTCCCAGGGAAGGAGCCCCAGAAGGATCGCTGGTCATATGGTATTTCTGTTTTAATGTATTTGGGAGCCTCCATGCTGCTTTGCGTAATGGTGGGAATATAGAATGCCATAGCTATTTTGAAAAAGCATTTTTCATTTTGAGGTATAATCTAAAAACAAATAATGTTTGATCATGGTTCATATGAGGCTGTAAATCTGGTATAAGTCTGGAGAGTTTTCCCACCTTGGGCAAGGATGAGTTTGCCCCTAATTATCTTTGAGGCAGAAGATTGGCAGAACGTGAGATGGAGACTGTTGGCAGGATTCAGTATGATTCAGTAATAAATAGCATTGACAGAGAAAAATAGAGACATGGAGAGAAAGGGAGAGAGAGAATATGAATCTCATAAGAGGAAAATCTGCTGGATATCAGTGTTGGGTTTTCAGTCACAGAGACATCTGTATGAGCGAGGAACCATGAAGTCAAGTGAGGAGTGGAGAATATGTCCAGTCCAAAAATCAGCATGTTCTCAGAGGCACCCAGTGCCCCATCACACGGGTGAGAAATGTTTGAAACCAGTGATGTGTGAGTGCACAGTAAGTGATAAAGGTATCATGTCTCCATGAACTTTCATTAATAAGACAAGGACTTCTGTAGATCACTCATGCACAAATATACAAAATGTGTTTTTGCATTTGTGAATGTTTAGAGAAAAAGAATCTGTTGAGAAAACTTCTTCGGTTACAGAGAGTCTAGCACCTTCTAAGCATCTGAATAGGAAATATTTGTCATCTATTGTCTCTGAGGGCAGCCACTATGAGGCTTCAAAAGAAACTTGGGCTCCACAGTCTTTTATCTTAACCTGAATATTTCCTTTCTATAGATCCCAGGACTTTAGACAAACTCAACCAATTGTCAACCAGAAAATGTTTAAATTTACCTGTAGCCTGGAAGCCCCGCCCCCCACTTTGAGTTGCCTGCCTTTCTGGACCCAACCAATGTATTTCTTAAATGTATTTGATTGATGTCTCATGACCCCCTGCCCCGTAGAAGATATAAAACCAGGCTGCACCCCGACCACGTGGGGCGCAGGTTCTCAGGACCTCCTGAGGGCTGTGTCACGGGCCATGGTCACTAATGTTTTGGTCAGAATAAATCTCTTCAAATATTTTTCAGAGTTTGACTCTTTTCATTGACAAAAGTAAAGTGAAGGAACAGCTACTCCATAGACAGAGTAGGGTGTTCCCAAAAGTAAGAGGAGGAATGTGTCCACCCACAGTACAATACTTGTTTATACACACGATAAAAAAAGATCATGGGGAGATGTGCTCTGCTATGAGGGTTTGTGATGAAGAGTTACTGTTCTTAATTACTATATTTTGCAAGAATCGATATTATCTTTAAAGCAAAATAGGACTGCTTCTGTTCTCAAGATATCGGGATATCAGGACACTCCTATGTCTGGATCTGTTTAGTAAATGTTGTCAATCTGTTCCCTTGACTATAAACATCCAGAGGCTGGGAATACCTAACTTTCCGGCCCTGCAGCCCAGCAAGCCCCAGCCTCCTTTCCCAGCCCTCACTGTAAAAAGTAAAGTAGAGGTTCCTCTTCAAAGACTTTCCTCCCCATCTAATTAGGAATAAATAGCAACTTCTCTTAGAGGCAAAAATTTGTTCAAAGACCTGTGCTAACATTCTTAAATATCTGCTAGCTGTAATAAAGAAATCAATGTACTTTAAGTTCTTAGCTCCCCCAATTTAGCCTAAATATTTGCCCTGGCATGCTTATACTAGCCTGAGCAAGCATTAGGTCAGAGCCTGTTCCTCTTCCTTATTTGAAGGTGTTTTTACCTTCCTCAGCATTCCACAAGTTACTTCCTCCTTTCCTTGTTCTCCTATGACTTTGCCTCTTTTAAAAAGTTCTAAGTTGCAGCCGGGCGCAGTGGCTCAGGCCTGTAATCCCAGCACTTTGGGAGGCTGAGGCGGGTGGATCACGAGATCAGGAGTTCGGGACCAGCCTGGCCAATGTGGTGAAACCCTGTCTCTACTAAAAATGTAAAAATTGGCCGGGCATGGTGGCGGGCACCTGTAATCCCAGCTACTTGGGAAGCTGAGGCAAGAAAATCATTTGAACCCAGGAGGAGGAGGTTGCAGTGAGCCGAGATCGTGCCATTGCACTCCAGCCTGGGTGACAGAGCTGTTATAAGTTGCTAGCCAACTGGGACAAAACCAGAATGTGAGGTCCCGTTCCAGCCAATGGAAACCGGACACAGACGTAGGGTGGACACGTCAGGTTATAAATGACCCTGCCTCCTTTGTTCGGTGTACTCTCATGGCAAAACTGCTGGGAAGTGTACCCTTTCTGCAGAAAGTAAAAAAAATGCCCTTGCTGAGGAAATTAAATTTATGTTCAAGTGCTATTTCTTTATGGCACCGGGGAATAAGCATTACGAACACTCACTCACGAGAGAGATGCTGTGATTTGAATGCCCCTGACATGGGTGTTCATGGTGGAGGGTGTCCAGGTTCTCGGTGTCTGGAACAAAGAATTGGACAAAACCTACAAACAAAGCAAGGAAGAGATGAAGGGATCTATTGAAAATGAAAGTGCACTCCACAGTGTGCGAGCGGGCCTAAGCATAGGGGCTCAAGGGCCCCGTTAAAGAGTTTTTGTGAGTTTAAATACCCTCTACTTGGGGTACGTCCTATGTAAATGAAGAGGATGAAGTAAATTTACAAAGTCATTTACTCGGTGTATGCCCTATGGAGAGGATATTTCCTGTTATAGCTGAAGTGTGAATCGGCCTCATGCTTCCTGCCTGCAGACCCTATTTTCCTGTCTCATATCCCCCCAGTATGTGATCCCCATAAATCTTTATGGGAGGCAGAGGGACCAATGGTCTTTTTTCTGTACTGCTTCATGCTGACTTGGAGCGTAGTCCCTTCCTATTGGGAATCATGGAACTCTCGCCCTGCTCTGTCTAGTGGAGGAAGGGTAGCTGTTTGATAGCCAGGGGTGGTGTCTTCACCTGGAACTGGCTGGAACATTTGTTGCGTGATCATCTGAGGCTTGATGGTCTTTAGGCGAGAGGAAATAAATTTGGTTAAAAGATTTCATAGGAACTTCGGAGGTGGATACCCATGCAGTCAGAAATGTTCGTTATAGAGATTTGCAGGAGAAAAAAACAAAACCTGGTCTGTTCTAGAATCTATGTGTTTCCTTAAAGTCTTAGCACAAGTGACTCCATTTGGGTTTGGTTTGGTTTGTTGGGGCCTAGTGCATGAGCTTAGTCCAAAACAATGGCCTCCCAGAATTTTGTTTAAAGAATGCCTCCTTTTTGGTCAGGTTCTCACTTCGGCGAGAGAGTGACCAAAGCTTAGGGGCTTTACACCACTCTCAGTTACCATCATTTTGGGTTTCCAGTCTCAGCACATCATTTATAGGTTACGGGGCCCTCGTGGTTGCACATTTATTTTAGCTCCTGCTATTTCAGCTGAAGAGAGACCATGTGACATTCTAGAGATAGCTACACAGCATTTACAACCTGAGAGAACACAGCGCGCCAGGGAGACTATTATTATGACTACTGGGAGGATAATACCAAGAGTTTGGAGTACGCCCCTTAGCCAGGGTTCTCATAAACTGAACCTCTTAAAATCAGATAGATCAAAGAAAGAGCTACATAAAAAGCTCACTCACTTGACTAAGCAATTTCTTCATCCATCTCCTACCACTGAATTTCTATAATCTTCATTTGCTGTATTTCTCCATAGGCCACAAGTGCCAGCAGCTGCACAGATATTTCTCTGGTCAGCCAGTTCTATTATAACTTTCACAAGAGAATTTAAAGTCTGTTGCGTAACTGTAGCCTTTACAGGAGAATCTTCTATAAAGCCTATCATGAGGGAAACATTTCTTTCTTTCCTTTTTTTTTTTTTTTTTGAGATGGAGTCTCGCTCTGTTGTCCAGGCTGGAGTGCAGCGGCGCGATCTCAGCTCACTGCAACCTCCACCTCTAGGGTCCAAGTGATTCTCGTGCCTCAGCCTCCCGAGTAGCTGGGACTACAGGCACACGCCACCACGCCTGGCTAATTTCTTGTATTTTTAGTAGAGACGGGGTTTCACCAGGCTGGTCTCCAACTCCTGACCTCATGATCTGCCCGCCTCAGCCTCCCAAGAGGGATACATTTCTAATCATTGCTTCTTTTATTTTAAATCATGGAAAAAGGACCCAACAGATGATGCCTTTTTAGAATAGTGAAGACCTCCTGGCTATGTTCTCTTTAACCCATGATGTGGGTTCAGAGGAGTGAACCAATGTTTTGTTTTTGATTGATTACGAGGCAACGTGCGTACCAGTAAAATTTCTTACCTACATTGGGCCTTCATCTTTTATCTATCAAAGTATAAGGTTATCCATGTATAAGACTGGCTGCAAACTCCTTCACAAATAAAAGTATAACCCATAAGTGCACATAATAGACCCTTTTCTACTTCTAGTGTTCGTAGAGGTATAAGCAAGAAAAAGTATTCAAAGAGAAGTTTCATGACAGAAGTCTTAATCTGTGAACTCGGGAAAAGCTGTTCACAACAAGGATGCCATCCTCGTCTTGGGAGAAATTTCCCTGATTATTTTTACCTTAAGGGTTCCAACGGGTGCACAGCTCCAAGAGTGTGGAGGGACCCTTCTCAGTTGTGACATTATAAACCCAAAGTTCAAGGTCCTGAAGTTTTGTTGTAGTGTGGATGGCAAGGACAGTCTTTCTCTGATGTTCCCAGAAGATCTGAACCATAAAAAGCCTTTTTTCAACCTGGTGAAAATATACTGTGACAAAATAATCTACTGTTATAACATCAGTCCTCTTGCATGGGAAAGATTTTATACAACCAGAACACATACATCAAAAATAACAACTGAATGAAATCCCTTTATAAAATGTTTAATGGCTCACCAGGTGACCAAATGTATCTGAAGCTTTAATTGTTTTCCCAGGAATACGGGATCAAGCATTGGTTATAAACTATTTTACTAATTTGTAAGTCACTACACCAATGTATCCAATTTGGATCATTATATCGTTTCTATGATGAGTCATGGAATGCAGAAGTTTTAATAATAAAAGCTTTAAGGACTCAGGAAGGACAAGGTGGCCATCCTGGTTCTCCATGAGTCCATGTTTATATCCTTTTGGATACCAGTTGTTTTTCCAAATTAGGTGCATAGCACTGACAAGGAAATTTGGTTATTTTTGTGGTTCACAATAAAATAACATAATAACCATAATTATAATTGATGGAATACACTTAGACATTAGAATTTTAGAAATCTCATATAATTTAGGAATATATATTAGTATTATTCACAAAAATACAACCTAAAGAAGATTGAGCATAATTGTGGCAATCCTGTGTACCTAAACACATCAAATAATTCTGTTTACCTCATTTCTGGATGCTTTCAGGGGCTCTCTGATTCGTCCAAGAAAGCCAGGCATTAGGAAAGACAATTTTGAAACTGAAGTTTGATTTTGAAATTCCAGATTACCATTACTTACTTATTTTGTCAAAATGATGACTCAGACATTTTAAAGAAGGAAAAACCTTTTATAATCTTTAAAAAACACACACATGGCTGGCCGCGGTGGCTCACACCTGTAATCCCAGCACTTTGGGAGGCCGAGGTGGGCGGATCACCTGAGGTCAGGAGTTTGAGACCAGCCTGACCAATATAATGAAACCCCGTCCCTACTAAAAATACAAAAATCAGCTGGGCATGGTGGCATGTGCCTGTAATCCCAGCTACTCAGGAGGCTGAGACAGGAGAATCACTTGAGCCCAGGAGGCAGAGGTTGCAGTGAGCCGAGATTGCGCCATTGCACTCCAGCCTGGGCAACAAGAGTGAAACTCCATCTCAAAAAACACACACACACACATAGACACACACATTCTACTGTTCTTACACACTTTGCATGTAAAGCTGTTTCTAGCAGTCTTAATTGCATGTTATAATGGTGAATTTTAATGTAAGACCTGGTAAGTTATGTTCTGATACAGTTTGGCTATTTCCAGCACAGCCAGGGGTGTGGCCAACTCCACAAGTCCCCAGACCTTACCTAGCTGGAAAGCAGGCAAGTCCAACAATTTTCAAAACCCAAAGAAACAGTTTATGACCTTAAAGCATTTAGCAAACCTAATATTTGAACATATTTTAGACCATACGTTTACATTTTGAAGACATTTGTATTTTACCAATAATCTTTAAAACCATTTTTATTTCCCAAAGATTGCTAAAGTCACATGAACTAAAGGGCATTACACTTTCTACTTTTCTGACAAAATATTGGATTTAAGCTCTTATTATTATTAAACCAATTAATTTAAAACTTCACAGAGGAGATTCACCAGTTTGCAGAGAGAGAAAGAGGCCAGAGACTGACGTAAGAAATTCTTCCCCTTTTGCCGGCGTGCCAGGTTTCTGGGTTCTCTCTCCCTGAGCGGCCCTGGCGGCCCTGCCTGACTGTATGCAAACAAACACAAGGCCATGAATTCAGAATATTCACAGGTATAGTTGACACTTTTTGAAGAAACTCAGCAGAGAAAGAAAGATAACTCAAATCCTATTTGTAAGAATATACTCAACACGCTTAAAGTATCAGGAAGCCTAAAATCCCCAAAGTTCATTTAAGGATAAAAAGCTGGTGTACTCCATTAATTCCTGCATCCCGACAAAGGTAGCTTGGGAATTCCAGATAAATGGAAGGAATGATGACTTCCTAAAAATGCAGAAGAAACAAAATAACTATTCACAGAACGGAATAAAAGTCTTCACTCACATGGTTTTATATATGTAGATACACAAGCAAAGCCAGAGAATAAACAGCAAATGAATGAAAACTAAAAGCAAAAACAAATAAAAAACCAATCCTAAATTTTCATACTAAATGTGCCCTGGAGGCTATGGTTACGCAGGGCCCCAAAACACCCACATAATGAATATTCTATTCCTGATACATGATGTAATGTCCTTAAGTTTCCTAATATCATTAGACCTTCTGCGCAATCCAGAAATCCACTTTAGGCACATGACTGAGAAGTACTCCAGCACTACCCACACTAAACAAGAAACAATTTTCCAAAGTGTGAAGCATGTATGTGAAAATTGGCTTCACACTAAATCCAGCTTCATGCTTAACTATATTTTAAAAAAAAAAATTGCCAAGCTGCTGATGCATTTTACAATACTTCTTATTTTACTTTAATCAAGACTAAGAGCTTTAACTATGAAAATGTTAATTAGCCAAATGTCTCCAATTCTCTGTCACGTTTTAAAGATTTTATTATTTAAACTTTTTCCACATCTTTCTCCTGTACTTAATGGTTCCTTACTACATTGTTTCAGAAATAACCTTTTCAAATCTGTAATTTGAACTTTTAGATAACTTCTGAATTAGACAAAATTATTCTTTTTTTTTTAAACTAATAACGTAACCCTTTCTGGTACATTTTGTATACAGAATTACATGTTAACTAGAATTTTATCCTTAGTAACCTAAAACTTCAGTGAAATCCTAAAAAGCAGGAAATCCTGAACTATCAGATATTGGCATTTATAGATAAGAACAATTTCACAATTTCAGAAATATATTTCCCCATATCACAACCCTTTCTTTATTGGAAATGACCCAGATATTGAATGAGCATCAAAAATAACTTTAAGATTTTAATTTACACAAAAAGTTTACCTAAAACATTTATTTCATTCACTGTACTTAATTTTTACTTTCAACAAAGGAGACAGGAGATGTCAGTCAACATATTCAAAATGAACATTGGTTTGGTCCAGAAAGGTGGGAAAACTGGAGGCAGCAGGGAGGAGGCTTAGGGGTTTTTAGATCACAGGTGGGAGACAAACAGTTGCATTCTTCTGCGTTTCTGATTAGCCTTTCCAAAGGAAGCAATCAGATATTCATCGATCTCAGTGAGACTCTGAAAAGAATGGGGGGCAGGCTTGCCCCAAGCAGCTGCCAGCTGGAATTAATGCTGACATTTTAATCCAGCAACGACAAACATCAAATTCAGACAACATGTATGCTGACAATTTTGAAGGCATTTCTATTTTTATTCCACCACTAATTTTAAAGCTAGCTTGTTTACTAAAGTTATACTTGAGTCATGTGAAGTTGAAAATTGCTTAGACTTATTTACTTAATTTATGAGCACTCTTTTACTTATAAGCCAATTTGGTAGACACAACATATAACAATAAGTGTACATACAAATAAACACATCTAGACGTGTATACACACACATAAATGAAGACCCAATAGCTTGGAACCTTAGCTGTGAGATTGCAGTACAAGCTCGCCGGTTTGACTTTGCCCCAGTAGGTAATCCAAGGAAGGCTGGGAACCAAAATTTCGGGTAAAGCAGTCTCAACAAAGGCTAAACCTCCCGAGACTCCAAGGAGCACTGGAGCCAAACAGTACCAAAGGAGGGTGTCACGTTAACCAGGCCCCCTGCTTAGAACAGCAGCACAAAACCCTGGATCCATGCGACGCCATCCCACTTTCCCATTAGACAGTAAACTTCAGATTCTAAAAAATTTGGGGGCCAAGCAGCATTGCAACCGTGAGAGAAAATTCTAAGGAGGGCTTATTACTAGACCTCAGAACCTCTGCTGAGAATGTCCTCTTTGAAGAGCTTGAGGTCCGGAGGATCCCCTGAAGTGTCCTTCTGTGGGGTCCAATCTTAGAGCTCCAAACGTCTCTGGCCTTAGGTGGGCACCGGTGCCGCTCTGCATGTGTTCCCTCCAGCGCCCACTATGAGCTTTCCTTTGGTACCTGAGTGTAATCCCTGACTTTTAGCATCCTTATAATTTCATAAGGCCATGCTTTTCCCTGCTTCCTGTTCCATGAACTTTAAAGACAGGAACTGGAGGCTGGGTGGGTTTCCTTTGCCCTTTGCCAGTAGAATAGGGGAAGGGACGAATTTAGCATAAGAAAGGTTTTTTTTTTTTTTTTTTTTGAGACAGAGTCTTGCTCTGTTGCCCAGGCTGGAGTGCAGTGGCGAGATCTCCCCACAACCTCTGCCTCCCAGGTTCAAGCGATTTTCCCGCCTTAGCCTCCTGAGTAGCTGGGATTACAGGCACCCACCACTACACCCAGCTAATTTTTGTATTTTTAGTAGAAACGGGGGTTTCACTATGTTGGGCAGGCTGGTCTCGAACTCCCGACCTCGTGATCCGCCCACCTCAGCCTCCCAGAGTGCGGGGATTACAGGCATGAACCACCCTGCCCAGCCAAGAAAAGGTTTAAGTTGCCTGAAACGCGTGCGAGTTTGCTCCGAGCTGCGTCACACTTAGGGATCAGGGCCACGTGTCGAAAATATATATATATATATATATATATATATATATAAAGGCCTTTCCCCTTTGGGGCAACTATTCCCATTCGTTCCTAGGCCCTCAGGCAATACCGGGGTGTGACCCCAGCCAATTGCCCTCAATTCCAAGGAGCTACTAGGCAACAGCCACTGAAAGACTGAAAAAGAGAGGAAAAAAAATGAAAAAGACCCTGGTCCCTTAAGCAAATTGGTGGTGGCAGTCAGGTTTCTCCACATGGAAGCCCCTTAGTTTCACTGGCC
The DNA here is from genome assembly GCF_000001405.40 of Homo sapiens. Taxonomy (NCBI): domain Eukaryota; kingdom Metazoa; phylum Chordata; class Mammalia; order Primates; family Hominidae; genus Homo; species Homo sapiens. The sequence continues at coordinate 132,008,075 of NC_000010.11, read as the reverse complement.
ACCGCCGGAAACCTACAGTTGCTTCCATGTTTAGGCGCTACCTACACATGGGTCCCAGTTTGGAAAGGAAAAGAGAGAGAAAGAGATTGCCCTGGATGAAGCAGAAAGGAAAAGGAGAAACAAACTTTGGGCTCACCTCTTTCTCCTGGCTGGCTTGCCAAAATATGTTAACGGTGGAGCGCGTCCAGGTTCTTGGTGTCTTGAACAAAGAATTGGACAACACGCACAAACAAAGCAAGGAAGAGATGAAGGGATCTATTGAAAATGAAAGTGCACTCCACAGGGTAGGAGCCGGCCCGAGCATAGGGGCTCAAGGGCCCCGTTACAGAGTTTTTGTGTTTAAATACCCTCTACTTGGGGTATGTCCTATGTAAATGAAGAGGATGAAGTAAAGTTACAAAGTCGGTGTATAGCCCTATGGAGAGGATATTTCCTGTTATAGTCAAAGTGTGAATCAGCCTCATGCTTCCTGCCTGCAGACCCTATTTTCCTGTCTCAAGAGGACAGCTTCAGCCAGATAAGGTGGCTCACTCCTGTAATCCCAACACTTTGGGAGGCCGGGGCAGGCAGATCACTTGAGGCCAGTTCAAGACCAGCCTGGCCAACGTGGTGAAATCCCATCTCTACTAAAAATATAAAAATTAGCCGGGCGTGGTGGCGTGTGCCTGTAATTCCAGCTACTCAGGTGGCTGGGGCCGGAAAATCCCTTGAACCTGGGAGGCGGAGGTTGCAATGAGCCAAGATTGTGCCACCGCACTCCAGCCTGGGTGATAGAGTGAGACCCTGTCTCAAGAAGAACAAGAGGTGGGGACAGCTTTGACTCCCTATAATTTCATCCCTGAGCCAACCAATCAGCACTCCCGACTCACTGGCCCCCTACCCACCACATTGTCCTTAAACACTCTGATCCCTGAGTTTTCGGAGAGACTCATTTGAGTAACAATAAAACTCCTGTCTCCCACATAGCTGGCTCTGGGTAAATTACTCTTTCTGTATTGCAATTCCCCTGTCTTGACAAATCAGCTGTCTAGGCAGTGGGCAAGGTGAAATCCACTGGGCAGTTACAGCAGGTGTTACAGGAAAGCAGTCCCAATCCAGACTCCAAGAAAAGGTTCTTGGATCTCATGCAAGAATGAATTCAGGCCAAGTCCACAGTGCAAAGCAAAAGCAAGTTTGTTAAGAAAGTGAGGACTAAGCTCTGATTTTCTCATCTTGCCCAAATTCCTGTCTCAGGGGTCTGGGGAGTCATGCCCTACAAACCATAAATTCTCATCAGATGGGTTTTATTTAATCCTATATATTGTGACTTACTTTCCAACCTGACCCTGGCATAATTTTATGAGACAAGGAAGAAAATCAAAATATTTAACCCCAAAACATGTTTCTCTGCCATATCTTGAGATGGCCCTACAAAGCTGTCCTTCGTGGGGGAAAATGTGCAACTGTGAAGAATCTCTAGAGACACAGCCAGATCTTTTCTTTCCAGGCCCTCCCAATCCTAAAGAGGTTAACTAAGAGTCTAACACCTTTTGAACATCTGAATAGGAAAAAATTGTCATCTATTGTCTCTAAGGGCAGCCACTATGAGACTTCAAAAGAACCTTGGTCTCCACAATCTTTTATCTTAACCTGAATATTTCCTTTCTATGGTTCCCAGGTCTTTAGAGAAACTCAACCAATTGTCAACCAGAAAATGTTTAAATTTACCTATAGCCTGGAAGTGCCCTCTCCCACCCCCACCCCCACCCCCTCCCACCCCCACACCCACCCCCACCCCCACTTAGAGTGGTCCCGCCTTTCTGGACCAAACCAATGTATTTCTTAAATGTATTTGATTAATGTCTCATGCCCCCCCCACCCCACCCCACCCCCCGCTCCATAGAAGATATAAAACCAGGCTGTACCCCGACAACCTGGGGTGCAGGTTCTCAGGACCTCCTGAGGGCTGTGTCATGGGCCATGGTCACTCACGTTTGGGTCAGAATAAATCTCTTCAAATATATTACAGAGTTTGACTCTTTGTTGACAAAAGTGGTGAAGGAACAGATACTCCATAGACAGAGTAGGGTGTTCCCAAAAGTAAGAGGAGGAATGTGTCCACCCACAGTACAATACTTGTTTATACACACGATAAAAAAAGATCATGGGGAGATGTGCTCTGCTACGAGGGTTTGTGATGAAGAGTTACTGTTCTTAATTACTATATTTTGCAAGAATCGATATTATCTTTAAAGCAAAATTAGGACTGCTTCTGTTCTCAAGATATTGGGATATCAGGACACTCTTAAGTCTGGATCTGTTTAGTAAATGTTGTCAATCTTTTCCCTTAACCAGAAACATCTAGAGGCTGGGAATACCTAACTTTCCGGCACTACAGCCCAGCAAGCCCCAGCCTCCTTTCCCAGCCCTCACTCAAGATGGAGATGCTCTGGTTTGAACCCCCCAACATGAGGAGCCCCCTCCCAGGGAAGGAGGCTCAGAAGTGGGAACTGTGGCCCCCACTGCCATCCTCAGCCTCTGTCCTCCTCTCAGTGCCTTGGGGCTCAGGTGGACTAAACGGACTAAACGGGGCCTACAGCACCCCAGTGTAACGGCCCAAGGGTTCACCTGGCCTGCTGCCTAGACAGAGCCGATTTACCAAGACAGGGGAATTGCAACAGAGAAAGGGTAATTCACACAGAGCCAGCTGTGCAGGAGACCAGCGTTTCATTATCACTCAAATTGGTCTCCCCGAGCATTCAGGGAGCAGAGTTTTTAAGGACAACTTGGTGGGTGGGGGGAAGCCAGTGTGCCAGGAGTGTGATTGGTCAGAGATGAAGTCACAGAGAGTTGGAGCTGTCTTCTTGTGCTGAGTCACTTCCTGGGTGGGGGCCATAAGAGCAGATGAGCCAGTTTATGGATCTGGGTGGTACCAGCTGATCCATCAAGTACAGGTTCTGGACAATATCTCAAGGGCTGATCTTAGGAGCAGTTTAGGGAGGGTCAGAATCTTGTAGCCTCCTGCTGCGTGACTCCTAAACCATCATTTCTCATCTTGTGGCTAATGTTAGCCCTACAAAGGCCATCTAGTCCCCAGGCAAGAAGGAGGTCAGCTTTGGGAAAGGGCTGTTACCATCTTTGTTTAAACTATAAACTAAGTTCTTCCCAAAGTTAGTTCAGCCTACGCCCAGGAATGAACAAGGACAGCTTGGAGGTTAGGAGGAAGATGGAGTTGGTTACGTTAGATCTCTTTCACTGTCTCAGTCATAATTTAGCAAAGGTGGCTTCACCCCGAAAGAATAGCAAATCATACTCCTGGAGTAGCTTGGAGGGAATTTAGAGCAAATATATTAATTGTTTTTACCCCTAAGAGGGATCATAGCACACCATAAACGTATGACATTCTTGGCCAGGCACAGTGGCTCACACCTGTCATCCCAGCACTTTGGGAGGCAGAGGCAGAGGGGTTACCTGAGGTCAGGAGTTCGAGACCAACCTGGTCAACATGGTGAAACCTCATCTCTACTAAAAATACAAAAATTAGCCGGGCACGGCGATGCATGCCTGTAAGCCCAGCTACTCGGGAGGCTGAGGTAGGAGAATCTCTTGAACTCAGAAGGTGGAAGCTGCAGTGAGCCGAGATCGCGCCACTGCACTCCAGCCTGGGTGATAGAGCATGAGTTTGTCTAAAAAAAAAAAAAAAAAGGCTAAGGTGAATTGGCGCCTTATGCAGATGAGGGGATGCCCTGTGGCCACTCCAAGGCCCTCGCCCTCTTGGTGGAAGTGGGAGGGCTGTAGGGAGAATGGCCTTTGATCCTCTGTTACGGGGTGGGGAGATGTTTTTCCTTTTGATCCAGCGTTGAGAAGTCAGCACAAATTGGCCTCAGATTCCCTGCCCCCAGACCCTGGTGTTCTTCCTTGATTCAGCACGCATTGGCCTGAAGTCCCTGCCCCCAGACCCTGGTCTCCCGCTCCACTGTCACGTGCGTTGCTTTCTGTAATCCTCGGCAAACTCAGTGAAGTGGGTTTTAGCACTATCTGCATTTAACAGACGGGAAGAATAAGGCCCATGGGGTGGCCTTGGAAATACTGCACACACTCTCTGTACACTTCTCTCTTTCCTTTATCCCGTTCCGGCAGGACTGGGCTCTGTGCTCTGCCAGGAGTGATGCAGAGAGAGGGAGCAGAGGACCCACCAGCCTGCACATTTTCCAGATGCTTCTCCCGAAAGCCGAGGCTCAGGGAAAGGCAAAGAGGGTCTCAGGGCAAAGAGCATGCCCCGAGGATTGGGGGGTGTGCAGTAGCCCCTCCCAGATGGCAGCCAGGGATGGCAGATGCTGGAGCAGCCAGCTGAGGGTGCCTGGGGCCACCCGCACGGGGCAGCTCCATTCCCAGCCAAGCTTGGGGCAGCAGAGTCCAGGGGACCACAGGGCCACCCGATGGACGTCTGCCAGCAAGCTCTGAAGACCGATAGTCCATTCCCTCCCCAAGGAAGACCACAGCCCTGGGCACACCCCCAGGGAGGACCTTTCCTCCCACCAGCTGAGTGCAGAGGGGCCTCAGAGGCAGATCAAGTTGTTACACATGACAGGGGGCTATTTCCTGAGAGATAACACCTGGCAGCTGTGAGAGGATCAGGTGAGAATTCGCAACTCTGGTTCAGGGAAGGGAACAGAGGGCGGGGCTGTGGGGAAAAGGCGCTCACTAGGGGATGAAGAACTCAGCATCTCTTCTATGCAAGATAGTGTACCTTCCACGAGCTCCTTTATTTTTTTAGAGACAGGGTCTTGCTCTGTTGCCCATTCTGGAGTGCAGTGGCGAGATCATAGCTCCTGTAGCCGTGGCCTCCCAGGCTCAAGTGATCCTCCTGCCTCAGCTTCCTGAACAGCTAATTTTTTTTGTAGAGATGGGATCTCACTTTGTTGCCCAGGCTGTTCTTGAACTCCTGGCCTCAAGTGATCCTCCAGTGTTGGGAGTACAGGAGTGAGCCAGCATGCCTGGCCTTTTTCTTTCTTTTGAGGCATTAATGTTGTCGATGAAAAGAGTCGAACTCTGTAAAATATTTGAAGAGATTTATTCTGAGCCAAACATGAGTGACCATGGCCTGTGACACAGCCTCAGGAGGTCCTGAGAACATGTGTCCAAGGTGCTCGGGCGCAGCCTGGTTTTATACCTTCTACAGGGGCATGAGACACCAATCAAATACATTGGTTTGGTCCAGAAAGGTGGGATGACTCAAACGGGGGCTTCCAGGCCACAGGTGAGTTTAAACATTTTTTGGTTGACAATTGGTTGAGTTTGTCTAAAGACCTGGGACGGCTAGAAAGGGAATATTCAGGTTAAGATAAAAGATTGTGGAGACCAAGATTCTTCTGAAGTCTTCTAGTGACTGCCCTTAGAGACAATAGATGACAAATGTTTCCTATTCAGATGCTTAAAAGGTGCTAGACTCTTAATCCTTTTAGGATTGGGAGGGCCTGGAAGAAAAAGATCTAGCTATGTTACTAGAGATGCAACTTTTCCCCCACGGAGGACAGCTTTGCAGGGCCATTTCAAGACATGGCAAAGAAATATGTTTTGGGGTAAAATATTTTGATTTTCTCCCTTGTTTCATAAAATTATGCCAGAGTCAGGTTGGAAAGTAAGTCACAATATATAGGGTTAAATAAAACCCATCTGATGAGAATTTATGGTTCCCCAGACCCCTTAGATAGGCATTCGGGCAAGATAAAAAAATTAGAGCTTAGTCCTCAATGTCAATGAGCAAAAATGGTGATAGGAGAAGAGAGAATGTGCCCAGCTGGGCATCCTGGCCTCCCACCTCTGTGTGGGCAGGGAGGATGGCAGGTGTGCGCCTGCGTGGCTGGAGGCAGGACAGCCAGATAAGGTGCAGCCTTGGTGGTAGGTGGGGTATTTGCTAATTCCTGGATGTTGGGAGCAGACATGGGAGAGCTGGTGTCCAGAGCTGCCTTGCGGAAGAGTACACAGCCAGTGTCTCTTACCCTCTGAGCAAATTGCAGGGGTGACTTTTCCCAGCAGCTGTGCCAGATAATGCTGTTACTGGTGGAGGGTGTCCAGGTTCTTGGTGTTTTGAACAAAGAATTGGACAAAACACACAAAGCAACCAAAGAAAAGCAGATGTATCAAAACAAAAGCCCACTCCACAGAGTAGGAACAGGCCAAAGCAAGAGGCTCAAGATCACGGGTTACAGAATTTTCTGAGGTTTACATACCCTCTAGAGGTTTCCCATTGGTTACTTGGTTTACACGCTATGTAAATGAAGTAGCGGCCTGCAACCAGTCTGATTGGCTGAGGAAGGTGGCCAATCACAGGCTGAAGTGAAGTTACAAAGCTACACATGAAGACTTAGCCGGAGACCAGTCTAATTGGTTGAAGGAGGGGAGCAATCAGAGACACTTTCATTTTTCATCTGCAAAGCAGAAAAGTGAGGCTTGCAAAGGGAGTAGCCTCTGGTCCGTTTGTTACTTGGGTGTGGAGAGATGAGGGTTTTCCTTTTGATTCAGTTCTAGGTAGTCAGAGAGAATCGGCCTTAGGTTCCCTGCCTCCAGACCCTATTCTCCCTGCCTCAACGCTGCTCTCTCCTGGTGATCCTAAGCCTGAGTCCTGCCTGCACCTGGATGTTTATTCCATAGTCACCCCAGGCACGTGAGCCCCACTCAAAGCCTCCTTCCCTGCCTTCCTACCTCCCGCGGGCTCCTCTTCCTGTAGCTGTGTCTTGGCAAACAGCACGGCCCCCTCTTTAGTCACCTGAGCCAGCCTCATTCTGCCGGCAAGTTTGGCTGTTCTTCAGCTGAGTGTCGACGAAGAGAGTCGGACTCTGAAATATTTGAAGAGATTTATTGTGACCCAAATATGAGCGACCATGGCCAGTGACACAGCCCTCAGGAGGTCTTGAAAGCATGTGTCCAGCCAGGCACGGTGGCTCATGCCTGTAATCCCTGCACTTTGGGAGGCTGAGGAGGGTGGATCACCTGAGGTCAGAAGTTCGAGATCAGCCTGATCAAATATGATGAAACCCTATCTCTACTAAAAATACAAAAAATTAGCTGGGCATGGTGGCGGACGCCTATAATTCCAGCTACTCAGGAGGCTGAGGCAGGAGAATCGCTTGAACCCGGAAGGCGGAGGTTGCAGTGAGCCGAGATCATGCCACTGCACTCCAGCCTGGGCAACAGAGCAAAATTCTGTCTCAAAAAAAAAAAAAAAAAAAAAAAAAAAAGAAGCAGCAGCATGTGCCCAAGGTGGCCGGGGTGCAGCTTGGTTTTCTGGATCAGAGGCTACTCCTTTTGCAAGCCTCACTTTTCTGCTTTGCAGATGAAAAATGAAAGTGTCTCTGATTGCTCCCCTCCTGCAACCAATTAGACTGGTCTCAGGCTAAGTCTTCATGTGTAGCTTTGTAACTTGCAGCTTGGTTTTATACATTTTAGGGAAGCATAAGATATCAATCAAATACATTTAAGAAATACATTGGTTTGGTCCAGAAAGGCAAGATAGCTGGGGTGGGGTGGGGGGGGGTGGGGGGATGGGTGGGGGGGCGAGCTTCCAGGCTATAGGTAAATGTAAACATTTTCTGGTTGATAATTGGTTGAGTTTGTCTAAAGTCCTGGGATGGATAGAAAGGGAATGTTCAGGTTAAGATAAAAGATTGTGGAGACCAAGGTTCTTTTGAATCTCATAGTGGCTGCCCTTAGAGACGATAGATGACAAATGTTTCCTTTGCAGATTTTTTTTTTTTTTGAGATGGAGTGTCACTCCGTCACCCAGGCTGGAGTGCAGTGGCGTGATCTCAGCTCACAGCAACCTCTGCCTCGCAGGTTCAAGCCATTCTCCTATTCTCCTGCCTCAGCCGCCCGAGTAGCTGGGACTACAGGCGCGCACCACCATGCACAGCTAATTTTTGTATTTTTTAGTAGAGACAGGGTTTCACTATATTGGACAGGCTGGTCTTGAACTCCTGACCTCATGATCTGCCCACCTCTGCCTCCCAAAGTGCTGGGATTACAGGCATGAGCCACCGCGCCCGGCCCTATTCAGGTCTTTAAAAGGTGCTAGATTTTTAAATCTCTTCAGGATTGGGAGGGCCTGGAAGAAAAAAATGTAGCTATGTTACTAGATACTCCATTCTTTACAGATGTAGATTTTCCCCCACAAAGGACAACTTTGCAGGGCCATTTCAAGATATGGCAGAGAAACATGTTTTGGGATAAAATATTTTGATTTTCTTCTTTGTCTCGTAATGTTATACCAGAGTCAGCTTGGAAAGTAAGTCACAATATATAGGGTTAAATAAAACCCATCCCATGAGAACTTACGGTTTGTAGGGCATGACTCCCCAGACCCCTAAGATAGGAATTTGGGCAAGATAAAAAAATCAGAGCTTAGTCCTCATGAGTTACTGGTCATCAGGGCCTTCCCTACAAAGCCTGGCCTGGGCCCCCTCAGTGTACCCCAAAAGAGCTCCACCATTCTCCTTTGACCCAGGGAAAGGGCTCGGCTAGAAGCGCAGGGCTCTTGGAGACAGTGTCTCTGAGCTTGGAATGCGAGCTCTGCCACTCCAGACGCAGCCTGGGGGCTTCCACCGAGGGGCAAAGCTGTTGTGCCGGGCTGGCTTTTGCTGGGGCTCTTGCGGAGGCCAAGGCTCAGTCCTGCCAGCTCTCGGCTCCAGCCAGTGCTCTGTCTTCCACTTGCCCAGCCAGGGGCCCCGAGGGCTGTCACACTGGCATTTTCTGGGTCCCCTTGGAGGGACCACTCTTCCCACCCTCCTGCCCCTGCTTGGCCCCTCTAGCTGATCACTGATCCTGTCTGTTTTTGGTGACGCAACGCGAAATGAGGCCAGCACTTACAGCCATGAGGGCCTGTTTCCGAGTCCCAGTTCATGTGGCCATGGACTATCTGAGCCTCAGTCCCCTCCTGTGCGAGATAAGGAAAGCACACCTCCCCTCGCTGGCTATTAGGAGGTAACAACACAGGGCAGGAGTGTCAGGCACAGGCACCACCCACCAAGCACTGTAATTTGCCAGGCACCAAATGCAGTGCCCTCGTGAACTCACGGAATCATGGCAGCCTCAGAGGGCAGTGCTGTTGTGGTCACCCTCATTTTAAAGATGGGGACCTTCACAGAGGTGAGTCGCTTCTCCAAGTGACACAGCTTCTTAGTAGCAGAGCCCAGATACCAGCCCTAGCTGTCCCCTGCTTTCTGCTCCCCTGCTATCTGCAGACTCTCCCACTGCCACCTCACACAGTGGCAAAAGCCTGTGTTCTCTTCTCTACTCCCTGCTGACCTTTCCCCATCGCCACCACGTGTCAGCAAAACTGTGGACTTGTGCTTTGAAAGAGACAGAGCCGGGTGTAGCGGCTCATGCCTGTAATACCAACATTTCGGGAGGCCTAGGTGGGAGGATCACTTGAGGCCAGGAGTTTGAGATCAGCCTGGGCAATATAGTGAGAACTTGTTTCTACAAAAAATAAAAAATTAGCCAGGCCTGGTGGCACATGCCTGCAGTCCCAGCTCCTTGGGAAGCTGAGAAGAGGGGATCCCTTGAGCCCAGGAGGTCAGGGCTGCAGTGACCTGTGATTGCACCACTGCGCTCCAGCCTAGGAGACAGAGCAAGACCCTGTCTCTAAAAACTAAAAATAAAAAAATGAAAGAGACAGGGTCCACGGGACAGACGAGTGTTAGGCATGTTGGTCCCATGTCAGTGTGCAGTGAAATTGACAGGAGGCACTGGCTTTGGGCAGGGCTCCCGCACTAAGCCCAACAGACCAAACCCAAACAGGGTTGTTTGCGCTGAGTTTCCACACCACCAAGAGAAAATTGTTTGAGCTTCTAAGAAATCAGGAGAGAAGGAGATCGTAGCCAAATCCCCAAACAGGCCAGTTTCAGCTAGCACAGTAGGGAAGCCCTCTGCTTAAACCTTTAACTGTGAAAAGACCAATCAGCTTTCTGTTCTGGTTTCTGCTTTCCTCGGCCCTTTTCTCTATTTTATCGAACGAGGTGTTGCCCATTCTAGAAGAGCAAACGCAAGCCAATGAAGGCCTCTAAACTAGATCTGCTGTAACTCTGTCTTCTGACACTACCTTGACTGGTTATTCCAGCCAGAACATTCTGCAATCTCTCACGGAGGAGCAACGGAGCTATTGCTTCATGTACCCAAGGACAAATAAACACGCCCGCCCAGCACTGCTGGGATTCCGGCCTGGGGGATCACGTCTAGCCTCCGGCAGGAATGTGACTTGAATCTAGTGGCTGCTTCCTGTTTTGAAGGTTTTCCAGCAAGCAGTCCAGCCTCTTTTCAAAGATCACCCTCTGCTTTCCACTCACCAGCAAAGTACAAGTACACACTCGAGACATGTTTGTGTGCACACTGTTTACAATGCGGAATATTTCATCATACCAACTCCTAACAATAGCCCCAGCATAGTACAAATATCATTGTGAATTCATAGAAAAGTGTTTTCCTGCAAGAGGGAGGGAGACAGATCAGTCTGCAGGCGCACAGCTGGGTGCCACAGAGGTGGAAGAATTACCCCTCCAGCGCCCGCCCCCTGATGGTCCCCTGTGCATATAGTGTCACTGATGTTTGAAGGTAACAGAAGAATTACATTCATTTGAATAAGCCCCCACCCACTTTTGCAGCTTTGCGAGTTATTAATAGAAGAGAAACAAATCACTTGTATTGTTCCTTCCCCCAGTGTTCTTCCCCACCCCACACCCACCACCGGGTGAAAATCTGGCCCCGTTTTCATGCCCATTTTCGATTTGGTCTCACTGAAGTAATTTTTGTGTCCTGGCCGGTGTAACCATCAAAACTCCCAACTTTACTCTGAGTTGAAATGCCTCCTGCTCCAGCCTGGGCTCTGCCCACTTCCTCTCCAGTTGTAGCTCCTGACCCTCTGGGGACAGCCCAAAGGCCAGCGGCAAGGGCCGGGGGTCTTTGCTGCCTACACACTGCTTGGGCTCCCAGGTGACCAAAGCTGACTGTCCCTCTTGGGCCACTTTTTCGGGGTCTGGAGTCTCTCTGCCTTCGGGTGAATACTTCCAGCCTCCTTCAGTTTCACTCTTCCAGGTCCCCACTTCAGGCAGATTCTAGACAAGCCCAGCCCCACTCCCCTTCACATGGGGTCCCCCTGGGTCCCAGAAGCCAGGTCCTTGACCTGCCTGCAAAGGTGCAGCTTCCCGCTCTGCTCAGCAACCTTTCATTTAGAGGGGCAGGCAGTGTGATCCCAGCTCTGCCCTCTCTGTGTGCCAGGACACGAGGACATGTTTGGGTGGTACCAGGCTGGGGAAATGTAGCAGTCAACAAGTGTCCACTTGAGCTGGTGGCCATGAATTTAAAATGAAACCAATCCACATGGCTGTGTCTCCTCTCTTTCCACTCCTGGCAGCTTGGGTGCAGGCCCGGTGCCCAGCTGGGCTTGGCCAACTGGGTGAGAGGGACAAGGCAGCTGAGGGTGCACTCCAGGGAATGAGCAGATGGAGCTGGACTAAGGCGTGAGGAGCTACAGGCAGCGAGGGGCCGTGGAGGGGAAGCAGGCAGGACCGAGACCCCTGAGCTGCCAGTTCCCAGCAGTGAGCACAGCCGGAGAGGAGGAAGGGCTTCATTGCTTCAGCATGACGTCCCTGCGGCTGCTAAGGCTGCGCGTCTTTTCAGTTCATTGGCCATTTCTCTGTTTTCATGAGGTGCCAGTTCTTTTTCGACTTACCAGATTGTACTGCTGGGGCCGGGTATGGTGGCTCACGCCTGTCATCCCAGTGCTTTGGGAGGCTGAGGCAGGTGGATCACTTGGCTCAGGAGTTTGAGACCAGCCTGGGCAAAATGGTGGGACCCTGTCTCTACAAAAAAAAAAAAAGAAAGAAAGAAAGAAAAAAAAATTAGCTGGGCACAGAGGGGTGCACCTGTAGTCCCAACTACTCAGGTAGCTGAGGTGGGATGGCTGCTTGAGCCCAGGAGAACGAGGTTGCAGTGAGCTGAGATCACACCACTGCATTCCAGCCTGGGCGACAGAACCAGACCCTGTCTCAAAAACAAACAAAAAAAAAGATTGTGTTGTTTGTACATTTACTGTGATTTTTAGATCCATTTGCATATTCCGTTACTAATCCTTTGCCTATTATGTGGGTGGTGGATATCTTTTCAGTTCAGTCATGGAGTGAATGTACAAAAATCCATTTTACCTCAATAAAACGGATGCGCCACTCTGTAAAAAAAGAACAGTATAATTCCTGCCTGCATGAGTCCTGGACAGTGTTAAACGGGTCATTCAATGGCAAGTGCTCAGAACATTGTGGGGCCCAGATAAGGCAAAGGAGAAGCTGAGCTGTCTTTATGATCACCGTTATGATCAGTTTTGTCCTTTAAGAACACGCTATGTCTTATAATCCTTAGTAATGGCTTCTTTTTCTGTTTTTAGAGAAGACCCGGTCAGCTTGGGTGCAGTCCTGGGTAGGATCTGGGGGCCCTGAATAGTGTCTGTTATATTTTAACATAAAGTTTTATGATTTTCTTTGTACGTGTCTTGAGTCTTGAACATTTTTCTTTTTTTGAGACAGGGGTCTCACTCTCTCACTCTGTTGCCCAGGCTGGAGTGCAGTGGTACGATCTTGGCTCACTGCAGCCTCGACCTCCCAGGCTCAGGTGATCCTCTGACCTCGGCCTCCAGGTAGCTGGGACCACAGGCACCTGCCACTATGCCCACCTAATTTTTTGTATAGATGAGTTTTTGCCACGTTGCCTAGGCTGGTCTCGAACTCCTGGCCTCAAGGGATCTTCCCACCTCAGCCTCCCAAATCTTTTTTTAAAATTAAAAAAACTTTTATTTTTTACTTTTTTAAGAGATGAGGTCTCTTTATATTGTCCAGGCTGGTTTCAAACTCCTGGGCTTAAGAGATCCTCCCACTTCAGCCTCCTGAGTAACTGGGATGACAGGCACAAGCCTTTCCTTGAACATTTCTTCTTAAATTTATTCTTAGATTTTGTTGTTGTTGCTCTTACAAATGAGGTGGTGTTCATCTCTAAAATGGTCATCACCAGCATATAAGAAAGCTACTGATTTATACATGCTCACCTCTCAACACATACTTTATTGCATTCTTATTTGTCAAATAGTTTTTCAGTTGATTTTCTTGGATTTTTTAGGTGAACAATTTTACTATTCTTTGTGAATTTATATTCAGCAAATGTTAACAGAATACCTGCTATATACCAGGCATGGTTCTAGGTGCTCAATGTACAGCAGTGACCCTAAAAGACAAGGATCCATACCCTCATGGAGCTTACATACGGTGGGGATGATAGTGGGCAATAGAGACAGTGTGTCTGTTTGGTATTTGAAAAACTTCATTTCTCCATCCTGCCTTAGGGCATGGCCTAAGCCCCTCAGAACACAGCTGAGTAGCAGGGGTGCTGATGACAGCCACTGGCCTGCTGCCCACTGAAATGGAAATGCCACTCATATTTCACAGCCAAGCACGGTGCTCACGATGGACTTCTGGTAAACATGCTTTATCAGGAAAGCTTCTGAGTTGCAAGTAATAGAGACCAGCTCTGGCTGATGGAATTGGAAAACACCTTTGCTGACAGTGTTGGAGGGCTCACAGGTGGCTGGGAGGGCCCAGATTTGAGAACTGGGCAGGAACAAAGAGCAGCCACATGGCCAGGACAGCAGAGTCAGCCAGTCCTGCAGGTAAACCATGGCCATCGAGGTGGAGCATGAAGCACAAGCACTACCCCTTCTATGCTGGCACCAGGGGTGGCTCACGCCTATAATCCCAGCACTCCAGAAGGCCTAGATCGGCAGATCACTTGCGCCCAGGAGTTCAAGAGTAGCCTGGGCAACATGGGGAAATCCCAGGTCTAAAAAAAATACAAAATTTAGCTGGATGGGGTGACATGCACTTGTATTTCCAGCTACTTGGGAGGCTGAGGTGGGAGGATTGCTTGAGCCCGGGAGGTCAAGGCTGCAGTGAGCCAGCTGTGACTGTGCCACTGCACTCCAGCCTGGATGACAGAGTGAAGCCCTGTCTCAAAAAAAAATTTCCCCTGGAGCCTCTGGAGGGAGTGCAGCCCTGCTGGCACCTTGGTTTCTGCCCAGTGAAACTGATGTTGAACTTCTGGCCTCAAGAACTGTGAGAGAATAACTTTGTGGTAATTTGTTATAGCAGCTACAGAAAACTAATATACTAGGACACAAGAAGCATGAACTATTAAGGAAATCAATAAATTGGACTTTGTAAAAATTGAAAACTTTGTTTTTCCAAAGACACTTATGAAAAGGCAAACCATAGACTAGGTGTAAATATTTGCAAACACATATCTGACAGAAGGACTTGTATCCAGAATAAACACAGAACTCAGAACTAAATAACACAACCCAGTTAAAAACTAGGCGAAAGATTTGAACTGACACTTCACTAAGGAAGATATACAAATGGCAAGCAAAGTTTGTGGGTTTATGAAAAGATGTCACGATAGGGAAATGCAAGTTAAAATCACGAGACGGCAGCACACACCCATTAGAATGGCTACAATTAAAAAGCCCGGCTAAACCACAGTTGGCGTGGGTGTTCAGCCACTGGCACTCTCCTGCTGCTGGGAAAGTAACATGTGCGAGCACTTTGGAGAACACGATGGCAGCTCCTTAAAAAGCTAAGCACACCCTCCCCATACGACCCAGCCGCTGCACTCCATGGCATTTACCTGCAAGAAATGAAAGAACATGTCGATACAAACGCTGGCACATGAATGTGAACGTTCCCAGCAGCTCGATTTGCCAGCGGCAAGAACTGAAAACATCCCAAATGTCCAACAGGTGAACAGTAAACAAATGGTGGCACATCCATACAACGGATGCTGCTCAGCCATAAAGAGGAACCGACTACTGATGAATGCATGCATCACCGACGAATCCCAAAGTCATTACACTGAGTGGAAGCAGCCAGATGAGGAACCTTTTGGAGATAACGGGCATGTTCATTATCCTGACGGTCTTGTGGTGTCTACAGATGTAAATTTCATCAAATTGTAACTTTAAATATGAGCGGGTTTTGTACATTAATTACATCTCAATAAAGCTGGTTTTAAAATTGCATAATTTTAAGGTCTTACGAAGCCTGAATCTGCTTCTGCTTTTGGACATTCTAGATTGCTTCCTCGTGTGTGTGTGTGTGTGTGTGTGTGTGTGTGTGTGTGTGAAGAAACAGGTCTCGCTCTGTTGCCTAGGCTGGAGTGCAGTGGCGCGATCATAGCTGACTGCAAGCCTCGAACTCCTAGTCTCAAGTGATCTGCCTGCCTCAGCCTCCCAGAGGGTTAGGATTACAGGTGTGAGTCACGTGCCCGGCCTTCCTGTGCTCTTTTATATTGTCAGTGTTCCTGTCACTTTGTCTTCTAGATGCTATTAACGCTGGTCCACTGAGGAACCCACTCTAGTTCTCCTCTCCATTGTGGGTTTAATCTCTTGCATATGTCTTTACTGTCATTTCAATGAGGTCTTGAGAGGAAGGCAAGACTAAAAAATGTGTTCAGTATGCTATAATTCTCACTTAGGTTGTAACACATATCGACTTCATAATCTTTTTTTATTATTGTGAAAAATATCCAACATATACAATAGTAGAATAACATGGACCCATATGTACCTAAGACCCGGTTTCAACAACTGTTAAGTCGCAGCAAATCCTGTTTCATCCATACCCTCAGCCACGCCCCCCTCCTGTGCTATGTTGAAACAAATCCAAGACATCATTTCATTTCACCCATATTTCAGCAAGCATATAGGTGACACATTAAAAGATAAAAATGCCAAAAGAATGCCAAAAAAAGACTGCGATACTATTATCACATCTAAAAGTAATTATCTATTTTAAATCTTCAAATGTCCATGCGTTCAAATTTCCAATTCCTTTTCTCTCTCCTTTTTTAGTTTGTTTAGATAAGGAACAAATCCATCTCCTATTTTTCCTCTTGCAATGTATTTACTGAAAAACTCATTTATCATACTTCGCCACTTGCTGTATTTTGCTGATTCCAATTCCACAGTATTATTTGTCTATTTTATTTTTTATAGAGATGGGATCTCACTGTGTTGGCCAGGCTGATCTCAAACTCCTGGCCTCAAGCAATCCTCCCACCTTGGCCTTCCAAAGCCCTAGGATTACAGGCCTGAGCCAACTTACCTGGCCCACAGTGTCATTTAATACGTTCCTCTGTCCTGAATTTGGTAGGCAGTTCTAAAGCCTGGATCAGGTTCAGGTTCTATTTTGCAGGGAGGATGTGGGAAAAGGACAAAACTATTTCTTTTTTTTTTTTTTTTGAGATGGAGTCTCGTACTGTCATCTAGACTGGAGTGTAGTGGCGCAATCTCAGCTCACTGCAACCTCCGCCTCCCGGGGTTCAAGCGATTCTCCTGCCTCAGCCTCCCAAGTAGCTGGGATTACAGGCGCCCGCCACCACGCCCAGCTAATTTTTTGTATTTTCAGTAGAGACGGCGTTTTACCATGTTGGCCAGGCTGGTCTTGAACTCCTGACCTTGTGATTCGCCCGCCTCAGCCTCCCAAAGTGCTGGGATTACAGGCGTGAGCCACCGCACCCAGCCGGACAAAACTATTTCATAGACTGTGTTAGGCTCTTCCATCAGGAGGCACAGGATTTCTATCAGTGTCTCTTTTTGCAATACTGGCAGCTGTGATTAGTAGTTAGATTCACTGATTCATTAGGTGTTATAAAATGTGATTTTTTTTTTTTTTTGAGACAAGGTCTTGCTTTGTCACCCAGGCTAGAGCGTAGCGGTGTGATCATGGCTTACTACAGCCTTGACCTCCTGGGCTCAAGCGATCCTCCCACCATGGCCTCCCAAATAGCTGGCGCCCTGTTAGTTTTAAAATCATTTTGGTAGAGACAGAGTTTTCTCATGTTGCCCAGGCTGGTCTTGAACTCCTGAGCTCAAGCGATCTGCCTACCTCAGCCTCCCAAAGTGCTGGGACTACAGGTGTGAGCCACCGTGCCTGGCCCTCTTTAAATTTATGTTAAGAGTAACTTAGAAGGATTTTTTTTTTTTTGAGATGGAGTCTCACTCTTATCACCCAGGCTGGAGTGCAACGGCGCTATCTCGGCTCACTGCAACCTCCGCCTCCCGGGCTCAGGTGATTCTCCTGCCTCGGCCTCCCGAGTAGCTGGGATTACAGGTGCCTGCCACCACGCCCAGCTAATTTTTGTATTTTTAGTAGAGATGGGGTTTCCCCATGTTGACCAGGCTGGTCTCGAACTCCTGACCTCAGGTGATCCACCTGCCTCAGCCTCCCAAAGTGTTGGGATTACAGGCATGAGCCACCGCACCCGGCCAGAAGGATTTCATAATTAACAATTGGAATGATTTCTGGCGGGAGGTTTTCTTTTTGCAGATGATGTTGAGAACAATATTGTATTCAGAATGCAGCCTGAATAATTTCTACTTTTGATAATTTGAGGTTTTCTGTTTTAAAAAACTGACCCAACACCTAGCAGATTGGAAAAAAAGATCAAGGGTGTTTGATTTAAACGTGTAGTTTCTGTGTGTTGCTATGAAAGTTCATATAGACATGTAAAATCAAGTTTGTTAACTGTTTTATTTCTATACTTGCTATTTCCCCTTTCCTATTGCTAGTTTTCTCTTTTTTTCTCAAGTAGTTTGAAAGTTGAGGGCCTAAATCTAGTCTTCTAGTGGTTATCTTTATATATATATATATATATATATATTTTTTTTTTTTTTTTTTTGAGACGGAGTCTTGCTCTGTTGCCCAGGCTGGAATGCAGTGGCATGATCTTGGCTCACTGCAACCTCCGCCTCCCGGGTTCCTGCCGTTCTCCTGCCTCAGCCTCCCAAGTAGCTGGGACTACAGGCGCCCGCCACCAAGCCCAGCTAATTTTTTGTATTTTTAGTAGAGACGGGGTTTCACCGTGTTAACCAGGATGGTCTCGATCTCCTGACCTCATGATATGCCCGCCTCGGCCTCCCAAAGTGCTGGGATTACAGGTGTGAGCCACTGCGCCCGGCCCAGTTATCTTTATATTTTAAGAAACATAGTTCAACTTCTACTTTTTCCATCAACATATTTAACATATTTCTATACACATCAGTATCTACAGCCTTTTCTTCCTGAATGTCCTGTAACGTACAAGTTCCTTGCCTCTCTTCCAATTTCTAACTGAAATCCTGTGGAATTTTAGTGCAAGATTATATTTTTATTTCATTCTATCTCAGGAATAATTTATTAACAATTACCTTAGGGTTTTCAGCCACATTAGCAGCAGTTATTTTCTACTGTGATGGGAGGGCATTGCGGGGTGGATGACACATGCAAAGAGGGGCGCTTCTCCCTTCTGGAAGCTTTCAACGACTCAGTCCAGGAAGTCACTTCTATTAAAGGGTTTGAAGTTGAGAAGCTGTGAGAAACCTCTCCTTTTTTCATGTGAAAGGCAAAGAAACCACTTGATCTGGTAACATTTCTAACTCTCCATCAAGTTCACATTTTCTATCTCCTTTTCTCTTAGTAGACCAGCTGGTCTGGTAGACAATTCCAGGGCCCTCCTCTTTCCCTTTATGTGTCATTGGGGCCTGTGCGGTGGCTCATACTTGTAATCCCAGTACATTGGGAAGCCAAAGCAAGAGGATCTCTTGAGCCCAGGAGTTAACGACCAGCCTGGGCAACATAGCCAGTCCCTGTCTCTATTTTTTAAAAAACATTTGTCATATGTCCGGTCACAGTTATCTCCCTCTGCTCAGTTCTTACTTTGTGCCTTTCAGGGACTGGGCTTCCCTCTGCTGCAGTTTGTACCTCCATTTACATGCTTCATTTTGCTTCAACTAACTTTTCTTTGAAAGGACTAGAGTCTGTAGTAGTTTAAAACAGTAATGTTTGGGCTGGGCGCAGTGGCTCACGCCTGTAATCCCAGCACTTTGGGAGGCCGAGGTGGGTGGATCAGCTGAGGTCAGGAGTTTGAGACCAGCCTGACCAACATGGTGAAACCCTGTCTCTATTAAAAATACAAAAATTAGCCGGGCGTGATGGCAGGTGCCTGTAATCCCAGCTACTTGGGAGGCTGAGGCAGGAGAATCGCTTGAACCCGGGAGGCGGAGGTTGCAGTGAGCCAAGATCGTGCCATTGCACTCCAGCCTGGGGGACAAGAGCTAGACTTCGTCTCAAAAACAAAAAACAAAAAACAGTAATGTTTGTCCTTAAAAACTCTGATCCGGAATGCTCAAATGCTTGAGACTGATTTGAATAATAATAAAACTCCAGTCTCCTGCATAGCCGGCTCTGTGTGAACTACTCTTTCTCTATTGCCATTTCCCTGTCTTGATAAATTGGTTCTGTCTAGGCAGCTCCACAAGGTGAAACCACTGGGCGGTTACAATATAAGTGGAGTTATATAGTATGTATTCTTTTGTGTATGGCTTTTACCTAATGTTTATGAAATTCATCCATGTTGTTACGTGTATCAGTAGTTCATTTCTTTTATTGCTGAATTCTATTATATGAATATACTGTAATTTATCCATTCTCTTGTTCATTGACATTTGTGTTATTTTAGACTTTTGGCCATTATGAATAAGGTAAATCTGTAAACATCATTTTATGGATATATGTTTTCATTTATCTTGAGAAATACTTGAGAGAATTATTGGATCACGTGTTTACCTTCACGAAAAACTTGCAATCAGTTCTTCAAAATGGCTGTACCACTTTGTTACCACCAGCAATATATGAAAGTTCTTTTTTTACCTTTTATCTTTATTTTTTACATTATATTTTAAGTTCTAGGGTACATGTGCGCAACGTGCAGGTTTGTTACACATGTATACATGTGCCATGTTGGTGTGCTGCACCCATTAACTCGTCATTTACATTAGGTATATCTCCTAATGCTATCCCTCCCCGCATCCCATGACAGGCCCCAGTGTGTGATGTTCCCCTTCCTGTGTCCAAGTGTTCTCATCGTTTAATTCCCACCTATGAGTGAGAACATGTGGTGTTTGGTTTTCTGTCCTTGTGATAGTTTGCTGAGAATGATGGTTTCCAGCTTCATCCATGTCCCTACAAAGGACATGAACTCATCCTATTTTTTATGGCTGCATAGTATTCCATGGTGTATATGTGCCACATTTTCTTAATCCAGTCTATCATTGATGGACATTTGGGTTGGTTCCAAGTCTTTGCTATTGTGAATAGTGCTGCAGTAAACATACGTGTGCATGTGTCTTTATAGCAGCATGATTTATAGTCCTTTGGGTATATACCCAGTAATGGGATGGCTGGGTCAAATGGTAATTCTAGTTCTAGATCCCTGAGGAATCGCCACACTGACTTCCACAATGGTTGCACTAGTTTACAGTCCCACCAACAGTGTAAAAGTGTTCCTATTTCTCCACATCCTCTCCAGCACCTGTTGTTTCCTGACTTTTTAATGATCGCCATTCTAACTGGTGTGAGATGGTATCTCATTGTGGTTTTGATTTGCATTTCTCTGATGGCCAGTGATGATGAGCATTTTTTCATGTGTCTGTTGGCTGCATAAATGTCTTACTGTGAGAAGTGTCTGTTCAT
This sequence comes from Homo sapiens, assembly GCF_000001405.40. Taxonomy (NCBI): domain Eukaryota; kingdom Metazoa; phylum Chordata; class Mammalia; order Primates; family Hominidae; genus Homo; species Homo sapiens. The sequence continues at coordinate 131,987,496 of NC_000010.11, read as the reverse complement.
GTCCTTCGCCCACTTTTTGATGGGGTTTTTTTCTTGTAAATCTGTTTAAGTTCTTTGTAGATTCTGGATATCAGCCCTTTGTCAGGCTGGTCGTTGCTTTGGCTTCCCAATGTACTGGGATTACAAGTATGAGCCACCGCACAGGTAGATTGTAAAATTTTTCTCCCATTCTGTAGGTTGCCTGTTCACTCTGACGGTAGTTTCTTTTGCTGTGCAGAAGCTCTTTAGTTTAACTAGATCCCATTTGTCAAGTTCTTGTTTCTCTATATCCTGGTTAGCAGTTGGTATTGTCAGATTTCAAAAAATAATTTTTGTCTATGAAATCATAAAAAAAAACTAATGTACCACTTGTGATGCCCCCTGCAATCCTGCAGCAGACTTTTTTTTTGTTTTTTGAGACGGAATTTTGCTTTTGTTGCCCAGGCTGGAGTGCAATGGCGCCATCTTGGGTCACTGCAACCTCAGCCTTCCAGGTTCAAGCATTCTCCTGCCTCCGCCTCCCGAGTAGCTGGGATTACAGGTATGCACCACCACGCCCAGCTAATTTTGTATTTTTAGTAGAGATGGGGTTTCTCCATGTTGGCCAGGCTGGTCTCAAACTCCCGACCTCAGGTGATTGGCCCACCTCGGCCTCCCAAAGTGCTGGGATTACAGGCGTGAGCCACTGCGCCCAGCCCGTTTCTTTAAATATCATCAGCAGGCCACATTTTCTGGTGTACGAGCCTTCACTGGTTAACCCTGCAGAAAGTAACTTCTTTAAATATCATCAGCAGGGCACATTTTCTGGTGTACGAACCTTCATTGGTTAACCCTGCAGAAAGTAACTTCTGTAAATATCATCAGCAGGGCACATCTTCTGGTGAACGAGGCTTCATTGGTTAACCCTGCAGAAAGTAACTTCTGTAAATATCATCAGCAGGGCACATCTTCTGGTGAACGAGGCTTCATTGGTTAACCCTGCAGAAAGTAACTTCTGTAAATATCATCAGCAGGGCACATCTTCTGGTGAATGAGCCTTCATTGGTTAACCCTGCAGAAAGTAACTTCTGTAAATATCATCAGCAGGGCACATTTTCTGGTGAACGAGCCTTCGTTGGTTAACCCTGCAGAAAGTAACTTCTGCTTCTGGCTGCACCCACCTCTCCACTGTTTCCAAACAGATATTCTCCAAATTAGCTCCTTTTGGGATTCCTACATCTGCTTTATCTACCCAGAGCTGTACCAAGAAGAAATCTCAACCCCCAAAACTCTGGGGACTCCCTGTCTGCAAACCTAGTCCAATAATTCTGAACACACTTGGCAGCTTTTACAGGGACTAGGCACAGAATCCTCCCAAATCCTGGACCACTGAGGGCCTCTCCCACTCCATTCCTGCCTGTAGAAGCTGAGTTCTCACCAACTGCCTGCTCCCTGCTGTCCTGCCACACATGACAGCTTCATTGTCCACTGTTGCTGCCGGAAAATAACCGTTTTCCTTAAATATCTGCATCAGAGACAGCAGAGGCGATGACAATGGGTGAGTGAATCCAAAATTTAAGGACAGAGAGGTTTATTTCACTGAAACAAAGATTCCCTAAAACGAAGCAGGTGGATTATTCAGTGCTTGCTGGAGAGCATTGAAGAGAGGCTCCAAGGCCGGGCACAGTGGCTCATGCCTGCAATCCCAACACTTTGGGAGGTTGATGTGGGTGGATCACTTGAGGTCAGGAGTTAAGAGACCAGCCTGGCCAACAAGGCAAAACCCTGTGTCTACTAAAAATACAAAAATTAGCCAGGTGTGGTGGTGGGCACCTGTAATCCCAGCTACTTGGGAGGCTGAGGCTGTAGTGAGCCGAGATCACACCACCGCACTCCAGCCTGGGTGACAGAGTGAGACTCCGTCTCTAAAAAAAAAAAAAAAAGGCTGCAGGTGGGAGATGGCCTTGGGTGCGGGGAAAACAAGTACATAATTCCCAGAGGACAGTGAGATTCACCCAACAAGCCAAAGTGTGAGAGCTGATGGGTAGGGCTTTGGTGCTCCACCTTCCCGGTCAATTCCAAAGCCCCCCTTTTTTGAATAAGGACTTTAGCCAAGGCTCTTCCTGATGCCTTGCCCCAGTTCTTTCCTAAAAATGTAGATTGGAGGAGAACTCAACAATGTACTCAAAGGTCAGACAAATCTCTGCTTAGATGTTTTGAAGGGTTTGTAAAAACCTTTAAATAATATTCTGGAATGCCTGTTAGCCTCCAAGATCATTAGAATGACTCCTCATAAATTCTACTTTCCTCAGTGGCTTAAGTGAGGGTTTGGTTACCTAAGTTAAAAAGATACCAGCTTAACCGGGTGAATATACAAACCCACAAATTAGTAAGCTATGCAGATCAACTTCCTAAGACAATTCAGAAGGAAGAAAAAAACTAAGGTCTCAAAGATTATGAATTTGCAACTACAAGAACTGACTAACCAAATGAGGCCTTTTAAGAAAAGACAGGGCCTCCTTCTAATGACAAAAGGGCTGTTTGCTTCTACTGTAAAAAGCCTGGCCATTTCAAAAAAGATTGTAGAAAATTTAACAGCAGGACCAGTGAAAAACCAGGATCCCACATGATGAACAGGATTGCTCTGATGATCGAAGGGAGGTGTTCCTATTTCTACTAATGCCTTAGGAGAAATGGACATTGCCATAAATGAAGAACAGACACATGCCCTCAAAGACACTGGTGCCACTCTTTTCGTCCACTTTAAGTTGTCTCCTTCCTTGGAGTAATGGAACTGTACAAACGGTAGGGTTATCTCATCAGCCTATCACTGGATACAAGTCCAAGCCCTTAGAATCCCAGGGCCCTCATTCTTTTCTTCATTCCCCCACCTCTCAGACATCTCTTAGGCAGACATTTTGTGTTGGAACGTCACAATGCATGCTTTCCTTCTCCCAAAAGGAAGAAATGGATTTAGGTTTAGAATGGAAGGAGCAAATGGAAAAACTACAGAATGAGAAATTACTGAAATTATAAAAATACAGATCAAACAACTTTTTTTTCAACTGGCACTAATGACACGGATGGCTTAGGGCAAGCTTTGTCAGACCACTTATGGTCAGAGTCTTCCACCGACATTAGTAAAATATATTCAGCCACTTTCATTAAAGTGGAAGTAAACCTGATTAATCCTTTACCCAATATCAGACAATATCCTCTAAGGCCTGAAGCAAATGAAGGAATAAGATCCGTAACAAAAGACTATATTAAAAGGGGTCTAATTATTCCTTGCGCCAGCATGTAATACTCCAATCCTTCTTGTAAGGAAGCCGAATGGGAAGAGCTGGTATTCTGTACAAGATTTGAGAACCGTCATCAACACTGTGATCCCCAGACATCTGGTAGTACCAAAGCCCCATCCTCTTTCGGCAGCTGGAAGTGAGACACTGTGACTCATTTATGTAGTGCCTTCTTTAGTATTCCAGTGGACCTAGAGTCAGTATTTGTTTGCTTTTACTTGGGATGACTGCGAGCATATCTGGCCTATCAGGAAATATTGCTGATGAAACTGCTGCCTCCATCACAGCCCAACAAAAAGCTACTGACTCACTGGCTAAGGCTGCACTGGACGACTGCATTGCTTTCGATTATTAGCTGAGCAAGCAAGTCTATGTATGGTGGCAAATACCTCTTGATGTGCATAAACCCTTTCCACGAAGTAGAAACTCATATGGGAAAAAGTACAAGCCACTAGGCTACACTATTCTGAACAATTCTCCATTTGATTTTCTTCGTAATACTTTTAGTTGACTCCCTCGAATAGGTTCCGTTTTTCATTCTGGCATACACATTCTCTTTTTCATTGTAATCCTTATGTGCACCGTACTTGGTAACATTTTTGTTTTAATAGAGATGGAGTCTTTCTGTGTTGCCAGGTTGGTCTTGAACTATCAGGCTCAAGTGACCCTCCTGCCTTGGGCTCCCCAAATGCTGGGATTACACACAAGAACCACTGCCTGGCCAGCACTACAGTTCTACTATCGAAATTATTAATGCTATGCTATGTATCTCTGGCGGTTTTTTTTTTTTTTTTTTTGAGACAGGGTCTCACACTGTTGCCCAGGCTGGAGGGTAGTGGCCTGATCATGGCTCACTGTAGCCCCTACCTCCTGGGCTCAAGGAATCCTCCCACAGCAGGTGCCACCATACCCAGCTAAGTTTTTTGTATTTTTTTAGGGGAGAGAAAGCGTTTCGCCATATTGCCCAGACTGGTCTCCAACTCCTGGGCTCCAGCGATCCTCCTGCCTCGGCCTCCCAAAGTGCTGAGATGAAAGACATGCGCCCCACACTGGCCTCTGGATGTTTGTTACTCCTGAGAAAACTAAAATCATGGCACTCCAAAGACTAGAGACGATTCAACAGGCAAGAGCAGGGATGAAATGCACGCAGCGACTGAGGTCTGGCTTCGCGGCTCTGTGACCCCGGTTCAGCTTCTGAGCGCCTGGTTCCTTGGCGGGACGCCTCCTCCTTTCCCGCAAGACCAGACACGACTGTCTGGGAAGCAGCGTTTCTGGGGCGCACCTTGACACTTGGATTTGGATCAACAATGCTTTCAAGAAGAAAGACTTTTGATCAAAAGCGGGAAATGAGAAAGCGACTTTCCTCTGAAAAGTGCCTCCCAGTCCCGAGGCTGCGAGGCCCCCACGCCAGGCTGGCTCCCACGGAAGCCGGGCACCCACCCGGCCCGACCAAGCGCCACTCCGCCCCGTGGACGGGGCGTCCCACCCCGGGGACGCCCGCCCCACACCGCGTTTGCACCCCGGAGGCCCCTTGCCGCAGAGGCGGACGGCGCGCCTCTCCCGGGCCCCTGGGGTCCGCGCCTCCCTCGGGCAGACTCTTTCGACTCTGCTCGAGCCTCCGCTTCTTCCTGCGGGCGGACGCCCCGGACACAACGGGCCCCGCTGTTCACGCAGGGGCGCCCCGGCGGGGCGGGCAAAGACCCGGGGACGCGGTCCCGTCCCGAGACGCTCAGCTCCGGCCCACCGCTCGCAGCTCCCGCCCCGGGCGCAGGTCCCGACCCCACGGGCCGTCTCGGAGCCGCAGCGGCCGCTTCCCTGCACGTCCTCACGCCCCCCGCACGGACGCCGCCAGCCCCGCGCCTCAGTTTCCCCACTAGCAGGATGGAAAGACGGGCCCCGCCCCGAAGCGTAGCGGCGTCTCCGTGGTAGCCAGTGCCCAGAGAGTCCGCCGGTCCCACCGCCCCTTCAAAGGAGAACCCGGCCCACCGCCCGCCGCGGCGGCGACCGCGCAGCCCACTCGTCACGCGGCCCGCGGCGTCCAGCCCGGGCCGGCTCACCTCAGGCGGTCGCTGCCGCCCTCGCGCCTGCGCGCCCCTCGCCCCGCCCCTCTCCCCGCCCGCGTCCCGCGCACCGCAGGCCTCTGCCCCTCGCCCACCGCAGGACCCGCCCCGCGCACGCGCCGCACGTGCCACACGCACCCCACGCCCCTGCGCACGCGCAGGCCCCAAGTCGCGGCCAATGGGCGACGCGGCCGCAGATCCGCCCGGCCCCGCCCTGCCCTGTGAGTTCCTCCGGCCGGGCTGCGGGGCTCCGCTCAGTCCGGGAGCGCAGCTGGGCCGCGGCGCTCCGACCTCCGCTTTCCCACCGCCCGCAGCTGAAGCACATCCCGCAGCCCGGCGCGGACTCCGATCGCCGCAGTTGCCCTCTGGCGCCATGTCGCAGAACGGAGCGCCCGGGATGCAGGAGGAGAGCCTGCAGGGTGAGGCGGAGGAGGCGGCGCGGGAGCCGAGGGGGCGCGGGGGGGAAGCCTGGGGAAGGCCAAGAGGGCGCCAAGGGGAGGTTGCCGGGGAGGCCTAGGGGGCATCGCGGGCCGGGCGAGGCTGCGCCATCCTCCCCTTCCGTACCCACCCCTCCTGCGGGCATGCGGAGCCCGGGGCGTGGGGACCCCGCGTACTGCCCGGGGTTCGCGGCCTCGCCACTCGGGCGGGGGTTGGCTTGGACCCGGGTCGGACCGCACGGGAAAGCCCCGATTCTCCAGCTCCGCGCGAGCTAGAATTCCACCTGGAGGTGAATCTGCGTCTCGCAGTTGGACCGAACAGCCTCAAAGTCCACGTTGCCCTCCGCGGTCTGTAGTTCAGACCAGTATTGGTTTTAATGACCAAACACCAAGGCGTGGCAAGTGGCCTGTTATGAGCTTTAATTTTGTTATTAATGTTTATATCCATGGTGACTGTTAGGATTTCCTCAAGGGTGAACGCGGAGATGGGAGGGGGTTACAGCGTTTTTAAAATATGGCATTAAATGGGCATGTTCCAATTTCACTAGAGGGTCGTTCCAAAACAAAGCTTTAAATGACTTACGGGTTAAGAAAACACAAGCAAAAGGACGCTGCCCGTGCAGCACTCAGTCGTTACAGCCTGCCTAATGCCCGAGTAGAGGCTCGCTGTGTGCCCTTGGCTAGATTCGCAAGACCATCCGTTCACGCAGCGGGAAACGCAGGCCCGGGGTGCAGGACTTGCCCCACGCACAGCCGGGTGGCGTGGAGACCCACCCCACCCGGTGGGTCCGCGTCAGAGTCCAGACGAGCCTTTGCTCAGGGAAGCGGGCACTGAAGCCGCCTTCCCAGGGTCCCTAGGGCCAAAGCCTCGGAGGAGGGACCTGGTGGCAGCTGACCTTTGTGTTCTTTGAAGCCAGAGTTTACTAAGCAAAATTAGCATGTAAATAAGCTTGGGAAAGGACTGCTGAAACCTCTGACAGTGAACTTTTAATCTTCATTGAGAGTTTTTAAAACCATATATTCACATAAATTTAGTGAGTTGCTAATTTTATTACAAAAAAAAAGATTTTACTAGGCAGGACTTAGTTACCGTAATATATTGAATAATATATATATATACATATGAACACTACAAGCTTTTTTTTTTTACCTTTTTTTTTTTTTAAGAGACGGGGTCTCACTGTGTTGCCCAGGCTGGTCTGAACTGGGCTCAAGCGATCCTCCCGCCTCGGCCTCCCAAAGTGCTGGGATTATAGGCCTGAGCCACCAGGCGCGCCTGGCCTAAAACCATATTCTTTAAAATCCTGTAATTCGGATTTTTCCTCTTGAAATTTAAACATTGGCTAATTACTATTTTGAAATAGATTAAGAGGTGTTTTCCTATCTTTTGTCATAAAATAAAGTCCAAGGGATGTTTTTATAAACTCTTTGCCATAAAATCACCCATTTTCCGGTTGTGAAGCCGCGTTACTCCTGACATTGTGCGTTTCACTGTCCGGCTGGGATCTGGGCGCTGGGAGGTGGAGGGGGCTCCGGGGGGCTCGGTCCTCTCTCCAATATGTAACTTACACAGGCTGCTGAGTCATTGGCAGTGCAAGGCGGCCAGCGCCGGAGTTACGAGATTTTTGTTTTTCTGTTTTGTTTATTCTATAAAAAGATAGTTACCCGCGGGGTGGATCCCATGTAGGCGATTCCTTGGGCCGCCCTGAGTGTCCGCGCGGCAGGACGGGGCCACTGTGGGCTCGGCGTGGGCGGGGTTGGCCGGTCCCGCGGGCTCCAGCTGCCTGCAAATCCGGGACGGAGCGGTGGCTCAGGCAGCGCTCACCTCTGCCTGTCCGATTTCACTGCCCCTTGTTGACCTCGGAACAGAGAACAATGGGAGCCTTGCAGCCAGACCCACGGATGGAAGCAGCAAGCACTCTCTCCTCTGAGTGTACCCTCTGGGGCCAACTGCTTTTCCTAAAGAGTTAATGGCAAAATGGGCTGATTCTGTTCCTTTCTATCTCTTGATCATTCTAGCTAAAGTTGTTGACTCGCAGGATGCTCGTATTTGTCCTTTTCCTTTTTTTTACAAGCCCAGTCTTACTCCCCCAGGCTGGAGTGCAGTAGCACAATCATTATAGCTCACTGTAGCCATGAACTTGGCCCTTTTCTCCTAGACATGTCACTGCTAACATGCAGGAGAGGTAGGATTCTGTGACGAGACCGTGTCACGGTGGCGGGGGCATCACTTCCTTGAAGGACCCACTGTCTTCACCAGGAGGGCATCAGTTCAGTAAAGTGCATGCCCATTTACTCTGGAGGGCCGTGTTTAATAATCCAAGCCCTCACCTCTTCACCCACTGCTGTGTCTGCAACTGGCAGATGGTTCTCTCTCTTGTCAGAGGCAACTCACCATGGGCAAAGTTGTATGAGGGGAAAAGATGTTTTCTACTTATTTTGGAGTGGAGTTGTAGCATTGTGTGCTTTGAGACCTGAAGGGGTTGCAGACATCGAGATTCTCGTCCAAGACTTGCATTTCATAGATGGTCACAATGAGGTTCTAGAGGTGGAGTGAAAGATAAGGCTGGCAACAACACTTAAGGAGAAGCCAAGGTCTCTGCATGAGGCAGCAGTGGGATACCTGGAGCCCAGATGCCTGAGGCTGCGTGCAATAGGCCCTGGAGGGTCCTGGAGGAGAGGAGGCCAGAGGTCCTGGAGGCAACAGGAAGGTGGAGGGAAACGAGCCCCGTTGGAAGCCAGGGACCTGATTTACCTACCCAGCTGACTTGATACTTGAAATCTTTTGTCAGGCGGGTCTCTTTTGTTCTCTCCCCACTAACCTGAGAAGCTTTAAAGGTAAAACAGCAATTTCTTAGAGCCCACCTCCCCTGGGGAAGAAGCCCTTTGTATGGTTTTGGGGTGCTAGTTCCCTCGGGGGTTCACAGCTCCTCTGCTTCAGGTTTTTTTTCTGGGATGCTGCCTCCCTCTGTTCTGACATTTATCCCAGAGCTTTTTCAATCTATTTGCCTGGATTCCACCCCAGCATCCCAAATAGTCACTTTCAGAGTGGGCTGAGGCTAGGCTTTTGGAGAACAATGAAAAAACACCACAGGTGATTCTCCCTTCATAGCCAGAGTTGAGGTTGTCACCCCAGGTTAGGGCATAGGGTGGCCTTGAGAACTTGGCCCTGTGTTTACTCCACGTGGGGCTCGTGGCTGTGGCCCATGAATCCATGTTGAGGAATGGGACCCAGGGAGTTGCCCTGGGACATACAGAGGGCAGTGAATCGAAGGGATTCCCTGGAGTCTGTCACTGGAGGGAGAACTGCTTTGGGCACCTAGAAAAGCTGGATGTCAGATGATTTTTTTTTTTTTTTTTTACACAAAGTGAGAATAAGAAATGGATTAAGAACTCTTGTTGGACTGTATTTTGTCTCTGAGGCAGACCTATCAGTTTTCTTTTTGTACTGTGATATAAATATTTATAGTCTAGGCTTTTCAAAATCTCATCTACCTTGATATAGGAGGGAGGTAAGATTTACTGGCTGTGTGTCTTGTTAGCAATGTAAATTATAAGTGAGTGAGGAGGGGGAGGAACATGAGAGGGACGCGAAATGAGATTAGGAAGGAGGGCTTTTCTTGCAGCAGCAACAGCAGCACCTTTCCGTCTGGGGCCTAATTATACTACAGTGATTTGAAGTGTAAACTGCTTGTGATTATGAGCAAGTTTTCTAAGGTTATTAAGCAACCTTACTGTAAGCCCATCTTTCTTTGAAAAGGTGAACGATCCGAGTGGAGAACTGTAACACGTGAGTAGATACACAGCACGCTCCATTCTCCAGGAAGTGCCTTCCTTTCCTACGCGGTTGCTGTGGGTTAATAATAAAACTCCTGTCCCTTAGTAAATCATTCCTGGGAATACAGCTTTTGGGCCCAAAGTCATTAGCCATGGACAATCTGGAGTGAGTTTTTTTTCCTTGTTTCCTGGATTTTTAGGTCCTTTCTGGGGTGATGTTTAAAAAGCACTGCTTTGGTTCGAATGTGTTCCTCCATGTTGCCAGTGGGATGGTAGTAAAAGGTGGGCCTTTAAGAGGTGGCTCGGCCATAGGGGCTCCTCTCTAGTGAATGGGATTAGTGCTCTAAGGGGCTGGATGGAGGGAGGTGGGTCCCTCTGTAGCCTCATTGAAGGGATGAGGCAGGAAGGCCCTCAGCCGACACCAGATGTTGGTGCGTGGATCTTGGACTTCCCAGCCTCCAGAACAGAGATCAGTTTCTGTTCGTAAATCACTAAGTCTGTGGGATTCTGTTGCAGTAGCGCAGAGGATGACAGAGATACACTTGTCTCTCCTTCATCTTCCTCTCCCTGTTGTCTTCAGCCTGCCCCTTGTGTGATAGATTACAGTATGTGTTTGGTCTTGACCCTACCTACTTCCTGGTGCAGAGCACCTAAACCCCTGGGGCTTCCTGAGCAGTGTCTTTTTTTTTTGTTTGAGACACAGAGTTTCGCTATTGTTGCCCAGGCTGGGGGGCAGTGGCATGATCTCGGCTCACTGCAACCTCCCCCTCTCAGGTTCAAGGGATTCTTCTGCCTCAGCTTCCCGAGTAGCTGGGATTACAGGCGCCCACCACGCCCAGCTAATTTTGTATTTTTAGTAGAGACGGGGTTTCACCATGTTGGTCAGGCTGGTCTCTGACTCCTGACCTCAGATGATCTGCCCGCCTCGGCCTCCCAAAGTGCTGGGATTACAGGCATGAACCGCTGTGCCAATAAGTGTCTTAAGCATGTTTATTAAAGAAAGTAAAACAGTAAAAAGATGGTGACTCCATAGGCAGAACAACCTGACCAGTGTGTGCGTTATTCATAAAGTCACCCTATTAGCAGTGTACTCCAAAAGTGCTCCTTGGTTAACCATTTTTGGTGTAAGTTGTAAGGAGCCCCTTCAGAATACACTGCTAATACAGTGGCTCAAGGGTGGCCCCAGGATAGTTACTTGAGGTAGAAATTCCCAGGGCAGCCCCTCCTAGGAGGGGAGGGGACTGGAGATGGAGATGGGGGAGCCATGAGGTGCGGGTAGCATGGTTGGGGTTAGGGTTGGGACATGTGGGGTAAGTGGGAGTCTGGTTGCAGAGAGTGTGGTTGGGGTTAGGGTTGGGACGTGTGGGGTAGGTGGGGATCTGGGCTGTATGTCATTTCCATTTGTCTGCCCTGGAATTGTTTCTGGTAAACTGATAAATGTAAGTAAAGAGTTTTTCTGAGTTCTGTGAATTGTAGTAAATTACTGAACCTGAGGCAGGTGTGTGGGATCCCCTGAGTAGGTAGAGGCACTGGCAGAAATACGGGTAACCTGGACACCCCATTCTCTGCTTGCATCTGTGGGAACAGTCTTGTGGGCTCCACACTAAGTCTAGGTAGATAGAATGGAATTGAATCGTTGGACACCCCGGTGGTGGTGACTTGGTGTCCCACATTTGATGTTAAGAGTGGCATCAGAGAAGAGACACCACACCTTCAAGTTGCATTTGTGTTCCATATCGTCAGATAGCTGAACAACACTTTAGTCAAGTAAATTGAAGCAGGCCCAGAATCTGAATACTGTAGATTCAGCGGAGAAAGACAGCTGGCCAAAACAGAGGCTGTGGTGCCGTTCTCTCAGGGGCAGGCCATGGCTAGCCGGCCGCATGGCATCTTGAACCGCAGAGAGGGAAGGAGGGCTAGTGAACATCAGAGTACTTGGCAATACTGTCTGGTCAGATGAGCGGCTTCAGGAATGGTGTGGTCTGTACATCTCAGAAGGCACCATGTAGCCTCTGCCAGAGTGTGGGGCAGACTGGCCTGGGCCTTTCTCCTCCATTGAGCTCCAGGCTCCGAGACAGACCCTGGCTTGCCTTTGTATTAGGGATGTGCTTCGTGTAGGCCAGGACATGAGGCAACGTGAGAGGCCAAAGAGAACAATCATGCGTTCATTTGAAAATTTGTGTGATCATTTCGTTAGCAGCTTACTGGGAGACTGTTGATGGCATAAGTTGCAAATCCACTTTTCCTTCCTGGGCCTTCGGTTTGCTTTTTTCTGGTTAATATGAAATAGACTCTGCAACAAGTGGCGTATGGAGCCTAGGCCAGCCCTCTTTCAGGAGAGATGCCTCGTGTGTGTGGAAAGCTGTGCACCTGCCTTTGCTTCCAGCGAACATGACGGATGAAGAGGCTGCTCCTTTCCCCCTAATTGCATGGTGTTATTAGTGCTGTGTTGGTTTAAGGACAGTCAGCAGCTCAGGGTGATTATTCTGCTTACTAAAATTATAGTGACTGCAAAAATGAGATAATTCCATTGTTCTCGTCCATAAGTTTCCCTGTCTTTTGTGGCCTGCACTTTCCTCCCACTGCACTCCATCCTCCATACGCTACCAGAGGAAGCTCCTACCAGATTTGCTTTAAATAAATAAACCTATGACACAAAGTAGAGAGATTATCTGGGGCCCAGAAATAGACGTGTGCCTATATGCACGCTTGATTTCTGACACAGGAAGCAGCCAGCGCAGAGTGAGGCGGGAGCTGTCTGCAGTAAATGGGGCATCCGTCTCACATCAATGGGAAAATTAATCCATGTAGATTTTGGATCTAAATGTGACTGTCATAACAGTAGAGCTGTGTGAAAATAATAGAATAGAATATCTCAGCTCAGGAAGGGATTGCTGCATTTGACTGAATTAAAATCAAGAACTTCTGTACATCAGAAGACATCAGAAGTGAAAAGAACAAGCTACCGAGGGAAAGTTACTTGCAACATATTTAAATGCAGAAAAACATATATCTAGAATACAGAATTATCCCAGAATTGCACTTTTAGCAGTAAGGGAACGGGAGCAGCGTTCCAGCCTCAGTTTCTATTTATAATGGTGACATGGAAAAAATACTGCTGGATGCCCACAAATAAGAGAAAGACAGATAATAGAAAAGAATAAGAGATTCGAAGAACCAGTTCAAAAAAGATGCTATCCAGATGGCTAGCAAACTTGTAAAACCGTCTTCAACCTCGTTAGAAATTATATAAATGCAAAGTAAGCCACACGATGCAAGTCATAGAGGCTGGGCATGGTGGCTCACGCCTGTAATCCCAGCACACTGGGAAGCTGAGGTGAGAGGACTGCTTGGGCCCAGAAGTTCGAGACTAGCCTGGGCAATATAGCGAGACCCCATCTCCTAAAAAAAATAGCCAGGAGTAGTGGTGCATGCCTGTAGTTCCAGTTATTCCGGAGGTGTCAGCTAGAGGATGGCCTGAACCCAGGAGTTTGAGATTATAGTGAGCCTTCATCGTGCCACTGCACCCCAGCCTGGGTGACAAAGCGAGACTCCGTCTCGAAAAGAAACAAAAAATAGAGCTTAAACCTTTTAAAGAAAACTTCAAATCCCTTAAGCTTATGTTGACATTAGTGTTGTTGTTGTTTTTTTTAAAGACCTCTTTTTCCAAATAATAGCCTTTTTCTTATAAAAGCTCACTGCAAGGAAGTATTCTAATTGGATTCTGTTGACTCAGCAGAGTTATTGGACATTGGCTTGGTATAAAGGGACTGCAAGAGCTGGACAGATACATGGTCTCAGCCCCAGGGGGCTTCCTTCCTGTACCCAGGGAGTGTGTGCGTGGACAGTCACTGCCATGAGAGTGGGCAGAGGGATGTCTTCAAGTCGGGGTTGAGGGATGGTTCCTGGTGTGGCACCATTGCTACCTCTTGGAAATGGAAGGGCAGGCTGGTTAGATATCAAGAGCAGATTCCAGAGTGGGTAGAGAATTCCATCTGCGCCCCTTTTTTTGTCCCCATCAGGCTCCTGGGTAGAACTGCACTTCAGCAATAATGGGAACGGGGGCAGCGTTCCAGCCTCGGTTTCTATTTATAATGGAGACATGGAAAAAATACTGCTGGACGCACAGCATGAGTCTGGACGGAGTAGCTCCAAGAGCTCTCACTGTGACAGGTAGGCGCGCATCAACAAGTGTATGTGTTACAGTGCCGATGTCTTCAGTGGGTGACAGTCACAGCTGGAAGTGCCCGTGTCACCTCTAGGACAGTGGGCTGCTGTTCGCCTCGGGCCGCGTTCTGGACTGGCTCCTGCTGCAGTCCGTCCTTATATAGGAGCCTCGCCCTCTTTGGGGATGCAGTGACCTGGGACTTAGTCTGTGGGGAGCCATGTTCAAGTCATCAGTAGGCAGCGGAACAGCCACAAACCCCACTCTGAGAAACGCACTCACGCGCCTCAGCGGGGCTGTGGTCGCAGGAGGAGCGGTCCCTGGTTAGCAGTACTTCTGAGTGACTCCAAGGTAGAGTGGCCGACAGTGGTCAAAGGTCGCGTGCCCTTGAGAGCTGTGCAACAGACCCAGACCGTGAAGGCGGCAGGTGACAAAGCCAGCTGCTTGCCAGTTGCCCCTGCGTCTTCTCTGGAAGACTGGCTAGCTCACTCCTGTCGTGCTCAGCCAAAAGGGCTGAGGAAGAGTTTGGCTCTGGCAGGTGCTGGGTGGAAGGGAAGACGCGTACGCTGACTGGCTAGAGCCCCTCATCACGGAGGCGGTTCACTGCCTTTGGGGTTTGAGCTTCTAATGATAGAATGTTCACATGATGTTCTGTTTTTCCCATTCTATTCACATCGCCAAGCCCACCTCGCTCGCAGACACCACAAGATACCAACAGAGCTTCTGAAACAGATACCCATAGCATTGGAGAGAAAAACAGCTCACAGGTAAGCTGGAAGGAGAATGTGCAGTTGTAAAAGTATTTGTGATCTGTTTGTACAGGAAACGGTTTTAAATGTAATTGAGCACCTCAGAGAAAAGTCGGGCTTTAAGGGTGTTTCCTGCTTTAAAAAAAACAAAAAAGCGAAACAAAAAAACCAAGAAACTGTGGGTGGGAACATCCACAAGCACATGGGCTGGACACTCAGCTGAGCGGGGGAGGCGCCGAGTGGGACAGGCAGCGGGGGCCTCCTGTCCCTCCCTGCCTGCCATCAGGGATACACCGGAAAGGAGGAAGGGCTCCCTGGTGGCTGCAGCCTAGAGAGGAGGGAGGGACCATTGGAAGGGGTGGCAGTGAGCCAGCTACTGGCTGGTCTTTCCTCGTGGTTGCTGGTTGGACAGTGAGTGGGTTTTAATATTTGCATGCTGTGTGGGACTCAGGAGTTACCCACGGGGCCATCTAAGGCCATGTGGCCACTGTGGCTGTGACTCTGAGGTGTCTTCCTCATTAGACACTCACTACCTGCCGGAAATTACACCCTGTGCCTTTCCTAGCATTAGTCCTGAGCTAACTGGTGCCGGAGCAGTGTAGCATTAGCGGCTGATCAGCCTGATAATTTAGTGTAAGATCACTTTTTCTTCTTTTTTAAAAAAGTTTTTTTTGTAGAGACGGGGTCTCCCTGTGTTGCCCAGGGTGGTCTTGAACTCCAGGGCTCAAGTGATCCTCCCAAAATACTGGGACTATAGGTGTGAGATACTGTGTCCAGCCTAAGATGACTTTTCTGTTAACAGCTATTGAATGGGCTTTACAGAGCGGCCTTCAGCATTGTTGTGAAAGCGGAGTGAGTCTTAGAGGAAAAAGTGTACCTGGGGTTATTGCCTTGGTGTACTATCGTTCTCCCTTCCTACTCCGGCACAGATAGGGTTCGAGGCAGTGATCAGTACTGTCTTGCTCAGTTATATCTGGCAGTGCCTTACCTTGCTGCAGATGAGATGCGCGATGTGTTTTCTTGGGTGTTCGTTGCTGGTGAGAACTTTGACGACGGACTGTGTTCTGTATTTTGGAAGCTCTGTGAGGAAGCATGGCCTTCCAGGCAGGGTTAGTAGCTGACCCTTCCGTGCTAGCGCTTCCCTCAAGGCTTTCTTCACCAAGGAAACAAGGAGTCCCTGTTACCCAGGCTTTCTCAGGGACATCCCCTGGCCCCACTCCGAGGGGCAGCATGATTTCGGGAGCCCCAGGAGCCCTGGCTGTGGGTGTGTGGGTGCATCCAGGGCGTGCGGCCTGCTCCTGGGCACTTGGGGCTGTACCCAGCTTGGGTGTACCCAGATGTTTGGTGGGTTTGGGGAGCTATATTCTTGAGTATTTTCAATTTTATTTCTTTTTTTTTGAGACAGGGTCTTGCCGTTTTCACTGTTTTACACAAAACTTCCCCTAGTTTTAAAAGGAATTAGATGTTCAGGTACAGAATTTTGAAAATGCAAAAAAGTAGAGAAAAACACTTAGACTCTCAGATTTAAAATCCTCTTTAATGTTTCGTGCTGTTATATAATTCTGAGGATTTGGCCGCAGCTGTGGTTATGTGGACATTTCTGCCTTTTCCCTCCTGCTTATCCCGGAAGCATCTTGTAAACCTGCTCACTATACAGTGTCCCTTCCTTCGTCATGTCCCTGTTTTGAGCCGTTTTCGGCTGTTTTCATTTTCTTTTCTTATAACCAGTGCTGCCGTCACCATCTTTGCCCTCATGTCACGTGACTTCCCTAGGACAGTGTTTGCCGCTGTCAGTACCCCCAGAATCTCACAGTGAACCAAATGTATTTACGCCCTGAGTGGGGCTCCCCCAGAGGTGATCTGTCCCTGGAGGCGGCGAGCGTGCTGTGAGCCGGGAGTGCGGCGCGGCCCGGGGAAGGCCCCCAGCCCCAGGACTCCCCTTGGACCACGGTCCGAGGCACTGACATGTGCCTCTGGGCTCTTGAATTGAGCCTGCGGATCTGAAGCTCGGGTGGGAGCTGGGTGCTTTCCCGTGTCACGTGTGGTACACTGATCTGCCTTTAACATTGACTTTATCTTAGTCTGAGGAAGATGATATTGAAAGAAGGAAAGAAGTTGAAAGCATCTTGAAGAAAAACTCAGATTGGATATGGGATTGGTCAAGTCGGCCGGAAAATATTCCCCCCAAGTGAGTGTGTTCTCAGTGTCACGGGGGCACCCCTTGACAGAGGACACATCAGCTGACACGTTTCTTCCCGCCTCAGGGAGTTCCTCTTTAAACACCCGAAGCGCACGGCCACCCTCAGCATGAGGAACACGAGCGTCATGAAGAAAGGGGGCATATTCTCTGCAGAATTTCTGAAAGTTTTCCTTCCATCTCTGCTGCTCTCTCATTTGCTGGCCATCGGATTGGGGTAGGTGATGTGACTGTGTGACTCCTGTCATGGCATGTCGTGGGGCGATTCTGGGTTGCAGTGATTTATTCGTAACCTGTTTCCTGAAGTCCAGATCATCAGTTACAGCTTGGTGCATTTTCACAAACACCCACGTAGTCACTGTTCAGGTCCAGAAACCACCAGCCTGCAGCCCCCAAAGGCCCCAGCACAGGCGCCCTGTGGTGCTGCTGTCTGGCCTGACGAGTCTGCCTGTTGCTCACTGAATATAAACGGAGTCAAAGCAGGGCTTCTTAGGTCTGACCTCTTTGTCCTGTGTGTAGGTGAAAGCAGTCTCATTTCTGTGTAGTACTGTGGCGGGAATGCACCCAGCTCTGCTGTAGGTGGAGGGTCTCAGTTACCTGCTGTACTTCCTCCAGACAGGACTGTTGTTCTAGTAACTCTCAGCAATGAAGGAACCAATGCAGTCTCCGACTTTACTGGCTTGAGTTTCGCTCTTGTTGCCCAGGCTGAGTGCAGGGGCGTGATCTCGGCTCACTGCAGCCTCTGCCTCCTGGGTTCAAGCGACTCTCCTGCCTCAGCCTCCTGGGTAGCTGGGATTACAGGTGCCCACCACCAGGCCTGGCTAATTTTTGTATTTTTAATAGAGACGGGGCTTCGCCACGTTGCCCAGGCTGATCTCGAACTCAAGGGATGGCTCACCTCGGCCTCCAAAGTGCTGGGATTACAGGCGTGAGCCACCGCGCCTGGCCTTTCCTGGCTGCTTATACTCACTCACCCTGCAGAAAACACAGAGACCAGGCAGGCGCCGCTGTGGGTTCTGAAGAGCGTTCGCCGCAGCGGTGGTGAAGAGCCAGAGCGGGAAGCCAAAACGGCTCCTCCTCGGGCTGGTCCCAGCCTCTCAGCGGGGAGGAGGGCTCTAGTCCTGGCGTGCAGACAGTGTTCTGTGGCTGCCGTGTGTTGGACAGACTGGAAAGACCGGAATGCCACTGGGGGCAGGTGGGTTAGGTAGGTTGGCCAGAGGGCTCACATCTGGGGTTGAAGGAAACGGGATAAAAGCCACTGAGTTTCCTGGGCCGGGACCTGAGCGCTGCCCGTGTCTCCACCTCGCCCTCCCGTGTGCGTGGCTTTCTCCTAGCTCTTGGGCACATTCTC
This sequence comes from Homo sapiens, assembly GCF_000001405.40. Lineage (NCBI taxonomy): Eukaryota > Metazoa > Chordata > Mammalia > Primates > Hominidae > Homo > Homo sapiens. Next base: position 131,969,503 of record NC_000010.11, on the reverse strand, counting down.
ACGTCCCCCCCATAACCCGTCACCTTCATTTCTGCTGGTGCTTTTGGGAGTCAGACCTACAGACTGCATCAGCATCACCAGGCAGTTTGCTTTCTGGAGCCTTTTCCAGAACTGTCAAGCAGACTCTGGGGGCAAGGCCTCGGGATCCTCATTTTAAATACAAGGTTTAAGCCCTTCGTTTCAGGATGGATTTCTGCAGCCACTACTTCCCAGCTACTGTCCTTCGTCCTGCCCGGGTTTTCAGAGCCTGATGCTGCCACTGGCGACCCACACCCCCTCAGCTGCTTTTCAGAACCACACGATAAAATCTGCCCCGAAAGCTGCTGCAGCACTGTCTGCGCTCACAGTGCCCACCACACCACCGCCCACAGGCCAGGCCAGCCAGGCTTCCGATTCTGCCCTTTCCTGGAGACCCATCCTCCTCCCTCCGGGAGTGATGCCCGCTGGTCAGCTGGAGCGAGCCTCTCTATTGCCGAAAAGCCTTTTCTGACACTCCTGCATCTTTAGTTTGGGACATCTCTCCCACTACCAAACTTAAACCACATGAGGGCAGGGGCTTCATTTTTAAGCAGTTGGCTTTGGTGAGGCTGGTGGTGATGAACTAGCAACACCATCTTGCCCTGGTAGGTGACTTCCCCCAGCACTGAGTTGGAACAAAGCAGAAGCTTTCTGTGTGGAAACAGCATTCGGTTTGGTGATCCTTCTATGTAAGAATACGATCTGATGTTTTCTAAGTTAATTAATACAAAATACATATTGATAAAACACTAGATAAAAGATCACAGATAGATTCATTACAAAATTTTTATAATGGGTATAAAATCACCAGTCCCCTTGCATAAGCTCTAACCACAGTGAGCTACCCTGTTTCAGCTGTAACACAGTCTCCTGTGAATCACAAGATACATTAACTACTGATAATTTTTCTGTGAAGGATCTATATTGGAAGGCGTCTGACAACCTCCACCAGCACCTTTTGATGAAGAACTGGAGTCTGACTTGGTTCGTTAGTGGATTACTTCTGAGCTTGCAACATAGCTCACTGAAGAGCTGTTAGATCCTGGGGTGGCCACGTCACTTGTGTTTATTTGTTCTGTAAATGCTGCGTTCCTAATTTAGTAAAATAAAAGAATAGACACTAAAATCATGTTGATCTATAATTACACCTATGGGATCAATAAGCATGTCAGACTGATTAATGTCTACTGTGAAAATTTGGTAGTAAATTTTCATTTGATATTAGATATAAATATCTGAATATAAATAATTTTAATATACTAGTCATGATGTGTGTTGTATTTTAAAAATTATCTGCAACCTTAATTCAGCTGAAGTACTTTATATTTCAAAAGAATGAATAACATTGATAATAAAATCGCTACTTTAAGGGGTTTGTCCAAAATAAATATTGTGGCCTTATATATCACACTATTGTAGAAAGTATTATTTAATTTAAATGGATGCAGGTTGTCTACTAAAGAAAGATTATATATAACTATGCTAATTGTTCATAATCAACAGAAACCAAGATAGAGCTACAAACTCAGCTGTACAGTTCGTACACTAAACTCTTCTTGCTTTTGCATTATAAGGAATTAAGTCTCCGATTATTAGGTGATCACCCTGGATGATCAGTTTTCTGCTGAAGGCACCTACTCAGTATCTTTTCCTCTTTATCACTCTGCATTGGTGAATTTAATCCTCTCCTTTGTGTTCAACTTTTGTGTGCTTTTAAAATCAGCTTTATTCTAAGCAAATCTGTGTCTACTTTAAAAAACTGGAAATGGAAAAAAAAATAAATCTTTGCCAAATCCTTCAGATTACTGTATTTACATATGGTTTAAAATCAGACGTCATGATAGCTTCTTAATGAAACCAGGACTGGTCCCTATTTTGACATTATCTTTCCTACAGCAAACTTTTTAGAAAGGCTGCCTGCCGCCTTGATGTTTCACCTTTCCACGCTTAATTCGGGTGTTAAATCTAACGTTTTCATTTGTAAAAATCTTTGTTGATGCTACCTTGGAAGCAGTCATCTCTCAGTCTTACATTTGGAGAATGTGGATGGCATGACATCAGAATTCCTTTATATAATTTAACTTCAGAATAGTCTGAGATCATCGAAGCACGATGGTCAAGGGAATTCCGTTTTTGTTTTAGAGCAAATATGTTTGCTGTTTGTCTTTCATCACAAACATCAGTGGAGTTTCAGCACCTTACAGAGCTCAGTGAACCCCCTGGTCACCATCAAAGTTAGCACACAACAAAGCCAACCACGTGTCCCCCTCACAGATGACAATGGCTGAACTCTGAGTGAAACCACCTGTATGGCCGGGCACAGTGGCTCACGCCTGTAATCCCAGCACTTTGGGAGGTTGAGGTGGGTGGATCACCTGAAGTCAGAAGATTGGCCTGGCCAACATGATGAAACCCCGTCTCTAATAAAAATGCAAAAATTAGCTGGGCGCAGTGGCACGTGCCTGTAATCCCAGCTACTTGGGAGGCTGAGGCAGGAGAACCGCTGGAACCCAGAAGGCAGAGGTTGCAGTGAGTGGAGATCATGCCACTGCACTCCAGCCTGGGAGGGAGAACGAGACTCCATCTCAAAAAAAAAAAAAAAAACAACCAGTTGGAGGTACTAAGCTCTGGGACTGGGCCAGTGTGATGGCTCCACACCTGTAATCTCAACACTTTGGGAGGCTGAGGTAGGAGGATCACAAGTCCAGAAGTTCGAGACCAGCCTGGGGGAGCATAGCAAGACCCTGTCTCTACACAAAATACAAAAATTAGCCTCGTGTGGTGGCACACACCTGTAGCCCCAGCTACTTGGTAGACTGAGGCAGGAGGATCCCTTGAGCCCAGGAGTTCAAGGCTGCAGTGAGCCAGGATAGTGCACACGGCCTGAGCAAGAGCAAGACCCTGTTTCAGAAAAAACAACTCTGGGACTGGAGTGCTTTAGACAGATGGGAGACCAAGAATCAAGTTTTCTGGAGGTGTTTTTCGTTAGATTGTAACATTAGACATTTTATTAAAAATGAAACAAGTTTGATGTGTGTGCGTATCTGAATGTTTTTATCTTTGAGGTAGGATAATGGCAGTGTGCCTTCTGAATAGCTTCTGTAAATAACCCTTCTTTTCTACAGTGGTTAATACAAATAACTGCCCATAACACTCATTTTAATCATTAAGTTTATAAAATTAACATTAAGTGATTCTGATATAAAAACATTGGCCACTTGGCCACTATTTACCTGATATTTACTCTGATGCAGACATTTGCCCATACACATCTGCTTAGGGTGTGGAACGTGACGCCGACACGTTGCTTAGAAGGAATGCACATGGCTGCAAGAGAGAGGAGTCGGCAACACCTCAAAAAACTCCAGCCATGCATCTATGCTTTGGACACACAAACCACTTCTAGGAATTCACTCTGGAGACAGACCTAGAAACTTCTACATGCACATGCACAAGGATATAACTAAATACGCAGTATTTATTATAACATGATTGTATTAAAATATATGAAGCAACCGAGGTGCCCACGCATAGAGACTCGAGAGAACGACAGTGCTGCCCTGCAGGGCCGGTGCTTTGCCACTCATGCACCAAGGGGAAGAGCTCGCGATGAGAAGGGATTCCAGGGTATGTGAAGTAAAACACAGTGCAAAAATAGATGTCTCCCTAGCAGAAAGGAAAGAACATTTGGAAGCAGCTCCTTGAAACAGGAAACCTGTAGCAGTTTGAAGACAGCCCCCGGCCAGGCGCTGTGGCTCACGTCTGTAATCCCAGCACTTTGGGAGGCTGGGGCGGGTGGATTGCCTGGGCTCAGGAGTTCGCGATCAGCCTGGCCAACATGGTGAAACCCCGTCTCTACTAAAATACAAGAAAATTAGCTGGGTGTGGTGGCGTACCTGTAGTCCCAGCTACTTGGGAGGCTGAGGCAGAATTGCTTGAACCCGGGAGGTGGAGGTTGCAGTGAGCCAAAATCGTGCCACTGCACTCCAGCCTGGGCGACAGAGCGAGACTCTGTCTCAAAAAAATAAAAGCCCCCTAGTTTTTTTGACAGCCCTTAATGAGTGATGGGGGTCTGTGCCCCTTCAGCTCTGGACTGGCCAACAGGATAAGGAGGGAGTGATGCCAGTGGTGCAGCACCACTTTCTGGGCCCACCCAGCCTTAAGAAACCGGCAGCCGCCACTTCCTGTCTCTGCGGGTGCATGCTCTTGGCGCCCAGCCTCCGTGCTGGGAAGAAGCCACATTGCTCAGTAGAGAGGCCTGGTCAGATAGGATCCAGCAGCTAGCACCCCTGCCAGCCATGTGGCCCCCTCTGTGGATCCTCCAGTGCCAGGAGAGATGCCCTCGCTGACAGTCTGGAGCACAGATGAACTGAACCTGCTGAGCCCCGTCCAAACTGCAAATGGGAGGACAAAATACAGGATTATTTAAATATATATATAGTATACTTTATGTGAAAAAAGCTAAGAAAAACACATAACTGCTCATTTGTGCAAAAAAATTAGGGTGAATAAGGCAGAATTAAATGAGATTGGTTACCCCGGGGTGGAAAGAGGTGGAGATGGAAAACGGAAGAGGGTGGAAGGAGTGCAGCTTTTTGTGTAACAGACTTAGAACCACATTAATGCTTCAGATGCTGCCAAATTCAATGAATAACTGTTTTGGGGGGGAATCCCAAATGGAATACCTACAGTAAGGGAACCTCACTGTTATAAATAATAAAGCCATACTGAAGGGGTGGGCTGGTGAGCTAAAGGACCAGAGAACACCATTCGGGGTGGATACTGCAAGGTTAAAGTGACAAAAAAAAAAAAAAAAAAACATAGTAAACTCTTGCTAGTGAATTTGCTTTCCATGGGTTGGCAATCCTGAAACCACAGGCATATTAACACTGTGTGATGTTACACGTAATGACAGCCTGATTTCCCACTGCTGGACAGTCACAAGGAAGGCTAGCACGAAGCCGTGGGCTTGCTGGGTTTGGGTTAGCAGTGAGTCGCGGTTTGAGCCGGAGCTGTGCATGGGGGAGTGTGTCTTTCCAAGTGCCACTCAACAAAAGGGCCTGGAAGCAATGATCCTCCAACAGCTGTGTGCACGGCCAGCCCTGGGTCCCGGTGGTGGTGACGGTTATTTGTCTCAAAAACAAAACAAAAAAAAAACACAAAGTCACCATTAGGCAAATACCAATAACTGCTGATTCGTCGACGGAAACTAAAGTTAGTGGGTTCTTGAGAGGATATTCTCATTGTGTCCCCGCAAGATACTCATTACACCAAAGAAAACAGTAACTCTACAGTGAAGAGACCTGGTAGACACCACCTACATCCTGATTTGATGCAGAGGAGGCCAGATCTCTTCCGTGTTCTTGCCAGAATGCATAATTGCAGTTTAATCACGAGAAAATATCAGGCAAACCAAAATTGAGGGGGAGTCTACAAAATGCCTGCCCACACTTCCCAAGTGCTCGGGTCCTGAAAGACTGCAGCAGAGACTGGAAGGCAGGGAGACAACGAAATACAACGTGGGCGCTTTGGGAGGGCCCTGGACAGGAAAAACCGACACTCGTGAGACAGCCAGGCAGGTGCCAAGGCAGGTGCAGGTGAGGCCACTAGCCCTGCACGGTGTGAGTCCCCATGAGGCTGCAGGACACACCATTGTTAGGGGGCTGGGTGAAGGCTGCAGGATTTCCAAAACCTGTTCAAAATTATTCAAAGTACAACGCTAAGAAGGAAAATAAATAGAAGATACCTTTTTACTAAAAAAGAAAAAAAAAGTGTGGTCCCTGGACTGGGGTGTCAGCGCGCTGCCTGGGGGCTTGTTAGAAAGGCAGAGCCTCAGCGCACAGCCCTGTGGCGTCAGAAGCCGCGTCCGACGTGTGGCAATGCCACCGTGCAGCAGCCAGTGAGGCTCCACGGACGGTGTGGACAGCCCGCCCAGACGCGCGCAGTGAGGACAGCCAGGCGCCCCACGGCATGCACAGGATGCTACCCGATGTGTAGAAACGGGAAACAGGAGTGAATCTTATTTGTGTTTGTATAAAAACTGGAAGTAACCCCCCAAGAAACAAGTATCCAAAATGATCCAGGGGGCCAGAGGCAAGGGCAAGACTTTGTCACCTCCTCTGGGGACTTGTGAACGCTGTACGTATGACCAGTTCACAGCTTCTTTAAGAAAAAACACTTCTAGTAAGAACCAGGGTTACACTGTGTTCAGATATTTAGGTTTGGATAACAAATTTCCCCTGAAAGTTCTTGGAATCATAAATTAGTGTTTCCCATCCTCCTGGAACAGACACACTTAAAAAGACATCCCAACCTTTTTTTGAGATGGAGTCTCACTCTGTCGCCTAGGCTGGAGTACAGCGACACAATCTCGGCTCACTGCAACCTCCGCCTCCTGGGTTCAAGTGATTGTCCTGCCTCAGCCTCCCAAGTAGCCGGGATTACAAGCGTCCGCCACCACATCTGGCTAAATTTTTTGTATTTTTAGTAGAGACGGGGTTTCACTATGATGGCCAGGCTGGTCTTGAACTCCTGACCTCGTGATCCGCCCACCTCAGCTTCCCAAAGTGCTGGGATTACAGGCGTGAGCCACCATGCCTAGCCCCAAAGATAATTTTCTAACAACTCCAAGGCAAGCAGACGGAGCTCTATCTGGACCTCTGATCGGCGGAAGTGCAGCCACCTCTCTGCCTTGGCTGGGCTGCGGTTGGGGGTGGAGCCCAGCAGGCAGTCACGTGGTCTGGGCCTGGCCATCTGCGGGGTTGGTGCCCAGTGCAGGCAGCCCCTGCCAGTTCTGACTGGGTGGTGCCAGTGTTTTGTTTTTGCATCTACACACCAGCGATGGACGGTCCCTGCAAATCTGCAAGGGACCCAGTCTCCAGCTGAGTTTCAGGTCCAGGAACACAGCCTGTTAGAAACGTCCAAGACACGTCCCAAGGATAAGAAGAAAATGGAGAGCTACAGAGCCTAAGACAATGGGAGTTGCAGAATCGAAAACTATTACTATCAGAAGCATTTCCCAGCCACCAAAAGGAAAATGAAAACGGAACGTGACTTTAACCACTCACCAGATGGAGACTGTGATTATTAAAGAAATCACAGGTTTCGCCTCTTTGCAATCTGCATCTGGTGAGTGAGTGAAGGTGACCGCGTGGAGCTGGAGAGCTTTCTTAGGACTGGACCGCCCCTCACCCCAAACCTGTTTCCCGTGCGTGATGATGACTTCACGAAACGCGGTTTCAGTTCTAACCTCAGCATTCCACTGTCGGGGATCCTGGCCACTGCGAGCCCCGCTGCTCGATTTGGTGTCATCACCGGGCAGCTAGTCTTGTATTTTAAGACACCAGTTTCTGTTATATTAAGAAATACACTAAAAAGGTTCTGATTGGAGATATTTATACAAAATCATCGTACAGGCCAGCCTCAGAAGCAGAGTCCCGGGCACCGGTGCTCCCCGGAGGGCAGTGCCGCCCCCTGGCCAGCTGCCTTGCTGGGCTCTCACTTCCAAAACCCCCGCGGGTTCTGACTGGCACAGGGGTGTGTTTATTCAGGAAATGCGTGCAGGAACTCAGGCGGAGGCGCATGAAATTAGGGACAGATGGGAGCAGATGGGGTGGGAGACTGTCAGTCCTTAAGATAATGTAAAAAAAAAAAACCCTGGAGGACATCAAGTGTGGGTTCCCGTCCTGGGTATGACACCACCACCTGCCCTGGCCAGAGGCAAGTCGCAGCCGCTGTGCCCTTGGGACTGGGTGCTGGCGCCAGAGCACACAAGGCGGAAGGTGAGGCCCGGCCCAGGACGGCAGCGCCTCTGCACCTGTCACAGCTTCGGGGGTGCCGCAGTTCCTAAAAGATCAAGGAGCCCTGGGTGTCCTGTAGGCAGCCCCGCACTGTCACCAGAGATCTGAGGGGCGTATGGGGCACAGAGGCACGGAGCTCAAAGCCAAGCCCAGTATCACCCCAGTGCCCAGCCGGGTGCTGTGGTGTGTGCGTCTGTGACCCATGGCCAGGGTGGCTGTAGGGAAAGCCCTGGCCCAGCGCCCACCTGCAGCAGGCACTTAGGAGGGGTTGCCACCCACAGCAGCCAAACCCCACAGCTCTGCAGGGCCTGAGCTGTGACAGCCCTGTGGGGCTGGGGGTGCTGCCTTTACTCACATCTGGTCTACACTCCACCCACCCCTGCACACCACCTGTGCAGAGAAGCCCACTGTCGGGGACTGCTGAACTTGGCTTTGGCAGGCAGCCCCCTCGGAGGACGGGACCCAAGGGAAGAGCGCGGGGCCCGCCAGGCCCCCAGGCCCAGGCCTCTCCCAGGGGTTGGGGAAGCGTCGGCCGCGGGCAGCGTCTGAAGGTGGTCTGTGGGCCCTTGCAGCTCCACCAGTTTGAGCTGCATTGTCTCCCCACCTGTGGCTGGATTCCTGGCTTGCTGTCTCACCAGCTCACGGACAGCTTCCGTCCCTCTCCCTTGGCGATCCCAGCACAGCAACGACAGGACAGCTCGCCACAGAAGATGCGGCTACAGCCCCACTCAGCACCCCTGGCCCAGCCCAGGACGAGCAGAGCCACGCCCTCATACAGCAAGCCCATCCTGTCCCTTTGCCTGCAGCTCTGGGAAGATGCGACCTCTGCTACCCAGCACAGCCCGGACTCCTGCTGGCTCTGACCTCACTCCCCCACTCCCTGGCTGATGCCAAAGCCGCTGGCCAAGGACGCACAGCACAGGTTTAGGAGAAAGCAAGCTTAAGGCCACCCGGAGAGCCTCCGCAGCCCCAGACCCACTCTTCCTCCCAAGCAAGCAAAGGGGTGATGCAGAGCAGCCGGGCCAGGCGGATCCAGGGCCAGCTTCTTCCGGCCGGGAGCAGGACACACACCAATCCCATGGCACTGGGCTTTGGGAGGCTTCTGGCACTGATGGTGATGATTTGGCTCCACACAGGACAGACAGACACGCACATGCTGCAGTCTCCAGCCACACCTGCCAGTCGTGTGGCCTCCAAAATCAGACTGAGTCTGTCCACGAGGGCATCATAAACTGGTTCATAGGAGCTCCATTTTTCTTTCAAAAAAGGCACGTTAAATCCACTTACGAAGAAAGTGTGTTCATGGAATCCGGGTCATCAGCCCAGAGAGCAGCAAACCTCCACCTGAACCACGGGCCCAGAATCCTCATCAATGAAAACTGTGCTCAGCATTAACCTTCAGAAGCTGATGACACTGTTCTACTTTAAGCAGGAAAGAGAAGTTTTCTCCGCACCTGTTGAGGGCACGTCTTCCTCCGCGCCTGTTGAGGGCACTTCTCTAAAGTGAATGGATCCTGCTTTTTGCGGACATAGGTGCGTGGAATTGCCAGCGCCTCTCAGAACATCAAGACTGCACTGGGGAGAACCCACAGAAACGGACAGGACTGCTGGCCAGGTGGCTTCCCCCGCAGGCGCCCCAGAGCTAGGTGACGACACCTCCAGGGAACGTGCGCCGCAGACCTCAAGGCAGTGGCAGTTCCACGGGAGCAGCAGTGCCACGTGGAACCTCTACACACGGGACCCGCCTGGGCTGCACCTTCTGCTCTGCCCTGGGGGTGGAGGAGGTGGGCTATTTAGTGGGAAATACATTCTAGAGGAAGATGGAAAAGGGTGTCCAAATACGCAGTGAAAATCCAGTTAAACATTTAAAATTTATTGAACTTTTTGGTCAAAATAGTTGAACAAATATATACAATCCCATTTTACTAGAACTGTCTTAAGGACCAGGGTTGACTAATGCTTAAATAACTGTTCCACACCTCAGACTTTGTAAATTGTGTCACAATCAATATACAGTATATAAATTATTTTTTAGTTAAAATAAAGGTACCTTTAGATTCTCAATTTCTAACTTAATGTGAACTCAAGTGGCACTGTGTTAGCATTGATTCAGGGTAATGACGGACATCCTGTTCTTGCCCATGTGGATTAGTAATCAGCACACACCTTCACCTCCACAGGGGGATGGGGGATCAACACACACCTTCATCTCCACAGGGGGACCGGGGATCAGCACACGCCTTCATCTCCACAGGGGGATGGGGGATCAGCACACACCTTCATCTCCACAGTGGGATGGCGGATCAGCACACGCCTTCATCTCCACAGGGGGATGGGGGATGAGCACACGCCTTCATCTCCACAGGGGGATGGCGGATCAGCACACGCCTTCATCTCCACAGGGGGACGGCGGATCAGCACACGCCTTCATCTCCACAGGGGGACGGGGGATCAGCACACGCCTTCATCTCCACAGGAGGACGGGGGATCAGCACACACCTTCATCTCCACAGGGGGACCGGGGATCAGCACACACCTTCATCTCCACAGGGGGATGGGGGATCAGCACACACCTTCATCTCCACAGTGGGATGGCGGATCAGCACACGCCTTCATCTCCACAGGGGGATGGGGGATGAGCACACGCCTTCATCTCCACAGGGGGATGGGGGATCAGCACACGCCTTCATCTCCACAGTGGGATGGCGGATCAGCACACGCCTTCATCTCCACAGGGGGATGGGGGATCAGCACACACCTTTATCTCCACAGGGGGATGGGGGATCAGCACACGCCTTCATCTCCACAGTGGGATGGCGGATCAGCACACGCCTTCATCTCCACAGGGGGATGGGGGATCAGCACACGCCTCCATCTCCACAGGGGGACGGGGGATCAGCACACACCTCCATCTCCACAGGGGGACGGGGGACCAGCACACACCTCCATCTCCACAGGGGCACGAGGAAGCAGCACACACCTTCATCTCCACAGGAGGACGGGGGATCAGCACACATCTTCATCTCCACAGGGGGATGGGGGATCAGCACACACCTCCATCTCCACAGGGGGACAAGAGATCAGCACACACCTTCATCCCCACAGGGGGACAGGGGATCAGCATACCCCTTCATCTCCACAGGGGGATGGGGGATCAGCACACACCTTCATCTCCACAGGGGGACGGGGGATCAGCATACCCCTTCATCTCCACAGGGGGATGGGGGATCAGCACACACCTTCATCCCCACAGGGGGATGGGGGATCAGCACACACCTCCATCTCCACAGGGGCATGAGGAATCAGCACACACCTTCATCTCCACAGGAAGACGGGGGATCAGCACACCCCTTCATCTCCACAGGGGGATGGGGGATCAGCACACACCTTCATCTCCACAGGGGGACGGGGGATCAGCAGTACACACCTTCATCTAGATAGGGGAACAGGGGATCAGTACACACCTCTATCTCCACAGGGGCACGAGGGATCAGCACACACCTCCATCTCCACAGGGCATGGGGGATCAGCACACCCCTTCATCTCCACAGGGGGACGGGGATCAGCACACACCTTCATCTCCACAGGGGGACGGGGGATCAACACACCCCTTCATCTCCACATGGGGATGGGGGATCAGCACACACCTTCATCTCCACAGGGGGACGGGGGATCAGCACACGCCTCCATGTCCACAGGGGCACGGGGGATCAGCACACCCCTTCATCTTCACAGGGAGATGGGGGATCAGCACACACCTTCATCTCCACAGGGGGACGGGGATCAGCACACACCATCTCCACAGGGGGACAGGGGATCAACACACCCCTTCATCTCCACATGGGGATGGGGGATCAGCACACACCTTCATCTCCACAGGGGGATGGGGATCAGCACACGCCTCCATCTCCACAGGGGCGCGGGGGATTGGCACACCCCTTCATCTCCACAGGGAGATGGGGGATCAGCACACACCTTCATCTCCACAGGGGGACGGGGGATCAGCACACCCCTTCATCTCCACAGTGGGACAGGGGATCAGCATATCCCTTCATCTCCACAGGGGGATGGGGATCAGCACACACCTTCATCTCCACAGGGAGATGGGGGATCAGCACGCACCTTCATCTCCACAGGGGCACGGGGGATCAGCACACACCTTCATCTCCACAGGGGGACGGGGGATCAGCACACACCTTCATCCAGACAGGGGCATGAGGAATCAGCACACACCTTCATCTAGACAGGGGGATGGGATGGGGGATCAGCACACACCTCCATCTCCACAGGGGCACGAGGGAGCAGCACACACCTCCATCTCCACAGGGCACAGGGGATCAGCACACACCTCCTTCTCCACAGGGGCACAGGCAATCAGCACATACCTTCATCTAGACAGGGTGACGGGCGATCAGCACACACCTCCATCTCCACAGCAGCAGGAGGAATCAACACACACCTTCATCTCCACAGGCGGACGGGGGATCAGCACACACCTCCATCTCCACAGGGGCACGGGAGCCCGACTCCCCACTCCCCTCGGGGACACGTAGTGGGCGTGTGTTAAATCCCACGGAAGCAAGCTCTGGTCACTCAGCATTGGTACAGCTCTGTATTATTTGTCTTGGAAAATCTTGATTTCTGGTATCAAAGATCCTACTTTGAAAATAAACCAACGTACTGGTGGCATCGTGTAATTAAAATTGCTTAATTTTGCTGGCTTGAAATGCAGGATGAAATTTAGCATGCATGTAATTTTAGCAATGTTTAAAAAGTATACTTTCCCCAAAGTGCTTTTTCAAAAGCCTTAGAAAGCAAGCACGTATTTCTTCAACTGTAGTGAATTTGAAGCTACTTTAAACCAGGCTTACTGGATGGCAGCAATTTTGGTTCTTCCTTGCAATTTTCTTTCTCAGAGGTGGCCTCGGTTCTGGCTTTTCCCAGACCTTACCTGGTGTATCTGATGGGCTACTTCTACAGAAACACAGCGGGCAGCAGCTTGGGGACAGAAATGCTGCACACATACCCCCACGCTGCCAAAGAAGGACACACATTTCTCAAACAGTTAGTTCCAAAGAAGAACCCTGCATAACTTCATTCTATGCAATAAAATTAAATAAAAAGACAATACTTCTGTTTGGATTTAAAAACACTTTATAGTGTGTTGTTTTTATTGAGCGCTCACACCCGAAGGGGTGGCGGCGGATGCTGTGGGTGAGTGGGGCCGCCTGAGCCTGCTCGGGCCACATCCACACATCCACAGAGTCCACCTGGACTCGGAGGAAGGCCGAGAGGACACGGACGGTGGCCACACCACGCTGCAGTGAAGGCCCAAGTGTGATGGCAGAGAAAGAGGGAAAGTTGGAGAAAGAGCGGTATCTGACAATAACTTTTCTCTTGGATGTTAATTTTTTGGTCTATAAATTGGAAAGGAAGGCTCGGACTGAAATAAATACATTTATTCTGAGTAATGACCTTTTGGGAGCAGTGTCCGTCAACTCTGCTTCGAGAGCGTCTCCACGTGAGCAGCAGCGCCTGTCTCGCGCCTCGCCGAGGCGGAACCACACCGGGCCTCCAGCGGAGGCGGCTTTCTCCTGTGTCTGTGAAGGGAAGTAGCAGGTGCGTCACTGTTCTTAATGGAGCGGACAATGATGCCTTTTCTCTGACAGAAAAATGTCCGGCTTAACTATGCAAGACAAGACTTGGTCCTCACGTTCGCGTCTCTAGTTGATTTTGTCCTGGAATATGTACAAGTTATTGGTGGCAGCCACGGCAATGACATTGTCCACGGGGTGCCAGGCTGTGTGCAGGATCTTCTTGTTGAAGTCCAGACTGTCCACACTGATCTCGTCTTTCCTCCGCTTACCCCCCGTACACACCTTCCGGGGTTTGAGGCTGGCGCGCGGTTTGCTGCTCTCTCTCGAGGCCTCCAGGGTCACATCCCTCCGCGTGTCTCTATCAAACATCCTGAAGAAGTTGTTATAGGACCCGGTCATGATGGCGCTGTTCAAAACAAGAGCAGACAGCAGCACTCCTCAGTGGGGGGAGCGGCAGCAAGGACTCAGACCCCACCCCTGGGGTGCACAGCGCACGCCACCCTCCCCCACAACCCAGTTACTTTCAGAAATCAGGAATGATCAATCACAATGGGCAGAAGAGAAATGCAGTGAAAATGTGTACCGAGCTTTATCTATAATCATGTCAGTAAGAATCCATGTCACAGGAGAAACAAAATAATGGAGTCACACTTTTAACATTAGTGTATTTTTTGAAACAACCCCACCTATTTATCTCACTCATGAATAACAGCACAGTTTATTTTTAAGCCTTATGTTCTGCAATTTGTCAATGATCCATAATGACCTGAACATAATCCTTATCATGTTCAACAGTTACTAGTCATATCTGTCAATGTTTCTTTGGAGTTAAACTGCTTTTCTATTAATTTCAAAAAGTTTCTTTCAAATGAGGCAACGGATAGAAATAGTAAAAATCCACTGGGCAAAGTGTGGCAGAATTTTAGAACAACTGCATTTCACACACATTCCAGACAATACAATACCGTCCATGCTTTTGTTTCTTCAAGATCAACTGTAATGGCTTTCAAATGTCTCTGCTGTCGAAAAATTCTACTACCGCACACATCCTCATGATATAACTTCATAATACTGGTAAAAACCTCTGCAATCTTACATTTTCTACAAAAATGACAGAAAAATAGCTGAATGATGCAAACGCTGCCATGATTTGACCCATGGCTTCATGAGTCCAGTTTCTGATGAAAGATGTGTTCAAACAATGCCCTTCTGGTTTCTCCAGCCGTCCTTGAAGCTCGCCTCCTCTTCCTATTTTGACACTAACCCGCGCCCTCACGTCCTGCCCCCATGGTCATGCGCGGTGAGAGGCCTTTCACGCTGGCGCGTCTTCAAGGTGCCATGAGAAAGAAGCGGGCCGCTTCCCTTCCATGGCCCAGCACTGACCCTGGCTGCTGGCAAATACCTAGTGTCTGACTGACCTTGTCTAAAACTTCAAAGCAGGGGAAAAAAAAAAAAAAAAGACGAACTCAGAGAAGAGAAACTGCATTCAGCGATCCATGTTTATTTCCCATCTCCTGCTTCCATCCAGGAGCCCACAGCGCCACAGAGGCGGGAGACACAAGGTGTGCCCAGCGCCCTCCAGCAATGCCAAGCTGTGCACGTGGTCTTGGAACAGGGGTATGCAGCCAAGTTGGCACGTGAGGGCCATTGACTGGGGGTTCCCCAAATTAGTTTCCACATAAAACACAATGTTTACGAAAGGGTAAGTAATAAGAATGTGTGAATCTGAAGCTTACATTTATGTTATTAAAACTCAACAGTAACCATTATTCAGAACACAGACGACAGATGATGTATGGCCGACACTGACTGGAATTGCTGGTGCATGGTAATAACGAAAAGCACATCAGCTTTCATACAGATTTATGATCACTTTTAAATTCTCGACAGATAGTGCCAGCCCCAGAGTGGGTGTTTCCACACTGCAAACAAGGGCGCTGCCCAGCAGCCTGGTGCTGGCCCAGGAAGGGAACAGCACAGACAGAGACACAGGCGTAAGCACATAACTGGTTCTGTGGGGCGACCTAGAACACAAGAAGGCGCTGCCACACGGAGAATCAGGATTGGGCTGAGGCAGCACTGAAACGCCTCACTCCCCTTCATCGCATCCCTCAACAGAAGTTTCCAGGTAGGAAGACTGGCGTGTTTTTGAGAGTGAATGGACTAAGCAAATGTTACTGGGAACGCTTTTAGATGTTCTTGGGGATATGTAATCTAAGGGTATTTTGCAATATTTGAAATATATCAAGAGGAATAAAAAATACAGTGACTATCCATGTACCCGCAAGTCACTGCTAAGACAGTGAACCCCCCGCACACTCGCAAGTCACTAAGACAGTGAACCCCCGCACACCAGCAAGTCACTAAGACAGTGACCCCCCCACACACCCGCAAGTCACTGCTAAGACAGTGAACCCCCCGCACACTTGGAAGTCACTAAGACAGTGAACCCCTGCACACCCGCAAGTCACTAAGACAATGAACCCCCGCATACCCGCAAGTCACTGCTAAGACAGTGACCCCCACACACACAACCACAAGTCACTGCTAAGACAGTGAAACCCCCTGCACACCTGCAAGTCACTAAGTGAACCCCCCGCACACCCACAAGTCACTAAGACAGTGAACCCCCGCACACCTGCAAGTCACTGCTAAGACAGGGACCCCCCGCAAGTCACTGCTAAGACAGTGAACCCCCCACACACCTGCAAGTCACTGCTAAGTGAACCCCCCGCACAACTGGAAGTCACTAAGACAGTGAACCCCCGCACACCTGCAAGTCACTAAGACAGTGAACCCCCGCATACCTGCAAGTCACTGCTAAGACAGGGACCCCCCCGCAAGTCACTGCTAAGACAGTGAACCCCCCCACACACAACCGCAAGTCACTGCTAAGACAGTGAAACCCCCCGCACACCCGCAAGTCACTAAGACAGTGAACCCCCGCAAACCTGCAAGTCACTGCTAAGACAGGGAACCCCCGCAAGTCACTGCTAAGACAGTGAACCTCCCACACACACCCGCAAGTCACTGCTAAGACAGTGAAACCCCCTGCACACCCGCAAGTCACTAAGACAGTGAACCCCCTGCACACCCGCAAGTCACTAAGACAGTGAACCCCCGCACACTCGCAAGTCACTGATAAGACAGGGACCCCCCCCGCAAGTCACTGCTAAGACAGTGAACCCCCCACACACACCCGCAAGTCACTGATAAGACAGGGACCCCCCCCGCAAGTCACTGCTAAGACAGTGAACCCCACACACACACCCGCAAGTCACTGCTAAGTGAACCCCCTGCACACCCGCAAGTCACTAAGACAGTGAACCCCCCGCACACCCGCAAGTCACTAAGACAGTGAACCCCGCACACCCGCAAGTCACTAAGACAGTGAACCCCCACACACCCGAAAGTCACTAAGTGAACCCCCCCGCACACCCGCAAGTCACTAAGACAGTGAACCCCCCGCACACCCGCAAGTCACTAAGACAGTGAACCCCCCGCACACCCGCAAGTCACTAGTGAACCCCCCGCACACCCGCAAGTCACTAAGACAGTGAACCACCCGCACACCCACAAGTCACTAAGACAGTGAACCCCCCCGCACACCAAGTCACTAAGACAGTGAACCCCCGCACACCCACAAGTCACTGCTAAGACAGTGAACCCCCGCACACCCGCAAGTCACTAAGACAGTGAACCCCCGCACACCCGCAAGTCACTAAGACAGTGAACCCCCCCCACACATGCAAATCACTAAGACAGTGAACCCCCCGCACACCCGCAAGTCACTAAGACAGTGAACCCCCGCACACCCGCAAGTCACTGCTAAGACAGGGACCCCCCAAGTCACTGCTAAGACAGTGAACCCCCCCGCACACCCGCAAGTCACTGCTAAGACAGTGAAACCCCCTGCACACCCGCAAGTCACTGCTAAGACAGTGAACCCCCCCGCACACCCGCAAGTCACTGCTAAGACAGCGAACCCCCCTGCACACCCGCAAGTCACTGTTAAGACAGGGACCCCCTGCAAGTCACTGGTAAGGTGGTGAACCCCCTGCACACCCGCAAGTCACTGCTAAGAGAGTGACCCCTCTGCACACCAGCAAGTCACTGCTAAGACAGGGACCCCCCTGCACTGTGTTGCCACTCTGGAAAGAAAGATGGTCTCCTATCCCATCCCCAGTTGGGGTCCTCACTTGCTAGAGTACATATGTGTCATCCCCACACACATTTATATTTTGTATACAGATTTTTTTTGTTTTTTTTTGAGACAGAGTCTCACTCTATCGCCCAGGCTGGAGTGCAGTGGCACAATCTCAGCTTACTGCAACCTCCACCTCCAAGGTTCAAGCGATTCTCCTGCCTCAGCCTCCTGAGTGGTGGGATTAAAGGCATGCACCACCATGTCCGGCTAATTTTTGTATTTCTAGTAGAGATGGGGTTTCACTATGTTGGTCAGGCTGCTCTCGAACTCCTGACCTCGTGATCCGCCCTCCTCAGCCTCCCAAAGTGCTGGGATTACAGGTGTGAGCCACTGCGCCTGGCCAATAGTTACAGATTCTTAAAACAAAACCGTCTTGTATGTCTTAAACATGTTGTATGTCATTGCACCGTACGCATTCCTCCTGAATTTTCTTTGTGGATTATCTTTGTGAGATCCACCTAGGTGATCCATGTAGTTCTAATAATTGATTCTCACTGCTTTTCAGTATATGTTATGATAGAGAACAACTTACCTGTCCATTCCTCTAATGATGCACCTGTGGGCTGTCTCCAGTTGTTTGCTATTTCAGGTATCTGAGCACGTTTTCTTGTCTGAACATGCAAGAAGCTCCCAACCCGACTGAATGTCACCAAGGAGGTCACAAGAAGGGTACTGGGTAAGACCACTGGTCTCCACCCTCTCCCCCAAACCATCATCATTCTGATGGGCATGAAAGGACGTCCCTCTGGCTTTACTTGCTGATCACTAAGAAGGATGAGCATTTCTATTTATTTTTCCATTTCTGCGAAACCCCATTCATGGTTTTTGCTCTTTTCTGAGTTGTTTGCCACCTTCTTGTTGACAACTAATTCTGCACCTATTCTGGATACTTAATCTCTGTTCGTTATCCTTTTGTGGATTTTGTTTTCACTTTTAATTTCAATATAAAGAAGTTTAAAATTTAATGTAGTTGAATTTCTTAATGTTTTCCTTGGGCTTTTGGGGCCTTCTTAAAGAAGCCCTTGTTTCCAGAGCTCACAAAGATGTCTTAGGCTTAGAAACACTCAGAGCTTATTTATTTATTGTGTGGGGCTGGTGAGGGCTCTAATTTTTCTCCCCCAAACACAGATAACTAAGGCCGTCCAGGTGGCAGAGCTTCAGAGTTTGCACTGCTCTTCCCTGCAGGCTGCGTTCCTCTGCCTATCTGTCTCAGCCCCTTTCTGCAGGGCCAGGCTCCCTTTACAGCTCGCTCTACTGAGTTTCCTGTTGTGATACATTGTTTCCCATTTGAAAATGCCTTTATCACAAGCAGATTCTTGAACGAGCATCTACTTCAAGGCTTGATTCTAAGCTGGCGGTGGAGAGTAAGGAGTCACACTTGCTGGATCTGTCACACGGCTTCTGGCTCCCACTGTGGCCGTGGCAAAGCCGAGTCTCAGTCTCGGTGTCCGCTCTCAGAGGTAATTTGCGTTTTTTCCTTGGGTGCATTTAAGATATTCTCTTTGCGTTTGGTGTCCTGCAATTTCATTATGAGATGGATGGATGCTGTGCTCCCGATCCTGTGTATTCAGGCTTTCATAATTTAGAGAAAATTGCTGGCCACTGTCACTTTAAGCCTCACACCCCCAAACTTTGTTTAAACGTGTGCTGTGCCTCACCCTGGCCTCCACGGTTCCTAGTGTCTCTTGTTTTCTGTTTGGCTCTTTAGCCCGCATTTCTTCTGGTTTTCCTTTCCATCCACTAATACAAGATCTGTTTAGCCAAAATGGACCTGCTGCTAAACCCACACAGTTTCATCTGTCATACTTGTCATTTCTAGATGTTCTCTGACTCCTTTCCAGTCTCCACGTCATGTTTGGCGGTCATGTATCATACTTGTCATTTCTAGATGTTCTCTGACTCCTTTCCAGTCTCCACGTCATGTTTGGCGGTCATGTATCATACTTGTCATTTCTAGATGTTCTCTGACTCCTTTCCAGTCTCCACGTCATGTTTGGCGGTCATGTATCATACTTGTCATTTCTAGATGTTCTCTGACTCCTTTCCAGTCTCCACGTCATGTTTGGCGGTCATGTATCATACTTGTCATTTCTAGATGTTCTCTGACTCCTTTCCAGTCTCCACGTCATGTTTGGCGGTCATGTATCATACTTGTCATTTCTAGATGTTCCCTCTGATTCCTTTCCAGTCTCCAGGTCACGTTTAGCGGTCATGTGGCTCCTGGTTCAGGCTGTTTCCTTCCTCTAGTCTGTGAATATCTCAAGCATTCTTAGTTTATCTTCTTTAACTTAGGATCTCAACAGCTGCCTTCTCGGAGGTTCAGTTCTGCTGTGGTTCTGCTGACTTGCTCACGGTGGCTTTTCCTGTATGTGCTTGGTAATTTTCACCTGTGAGCTCATGTTTAGATGATTTTAATGTGACGAAATCCAGAGAGACCTGGGTGTGCTGGCAGCAGCTACCCAGCATGCGTGTTCTCACGGAGTTTGCCAATGCCATTCTCTCCACCTGGGCCACTTCTCAGGGCTGTGCTTCCAGCAAGCGGCCTTGAGGAATGAGGTCATGTCTCTTCTAGTCAAAGTGCAGGTGTGTTTACTGCCCGCTGTGAAAGCAGTGGGGTTCTCCAAGCTCAGTGTGCATCAGCCACGGCCTCAAGTGTCCACCCGTGGGGAACCCAGGCCAACGAGAGGCTCATGCTGCCAGCTGTGCCATGAGAACCCGGGAACCTCATGTCTTCAGTCAACATCCGTGAGATGCTACAGGCTGGCAGGTCAGTCTGCAAACAGAGTAGAAGCCAGATCTGGAAACACGCCGGTCCCTCCCGATGCCCGCACACAGCCCTCGTGGAGGCAGGAGCTCCACAGTGTGAGATTTTACAGATCATGATGTAGCTGGCACAAACCCAAACTGCAAACCCTTGTGAGGGGAGGTTTTGCTTCCACTTCTCAGGGCAGTGCTGGCCACCCCCATGCAAGGCCTCAGACAGACAAACTGCCCTTTGGACCCTATCTGCCAGTGGAGGGAGACACCATCTTCAGGGGTCCCTGTTCCAACTCTACACCTCGTGTGGGCCAAGGCTTCAGCTCTTGAAAATTACCAAGCACATACAGGAAAAGCCACCATGAGCAAGTCACCTCGTGTGGGACAAGGCTTCAGCTTTGCACCATAACCTGCTGTTCACAGGGGCAGTGGTTCCTGCTATGGGCTGATGCTCCTGAGGCCAGCCGGGGCTGCAAGGCTGCTCTCGGAATAGACGCCTTCAGAGGCTGCCATTCTGGTTTCAGCTCCCTCTTAGTTTCTGGCCGTTGTGAGATTTCCCTTGCTTATCTGTGAGCTCAACTATGCACCTGAAGAGACACCTGCTGTATCATATCCAGCATTTCTAGGTGTTTATGCCAGAGGGTTTTGCAGAATATCCAGTCAATCACTTATTGCCAATAGACTCCTCTGTTCTCTTGAATTCTGAACAAAAATTCTATATAAAAATGGTGCAAGACAATCTTCCATCATCTGAAACGTAACTTTTTGCATAATAAAAAAAACGTAACTCTCAACCACACTAATCATAGCTATCTTTAAAGAATGTATACAAAATAAATTATCAAGGTACTAGAACCATCACATTATAAATTACATTGGTGTTTCAGACCAGCCATGACCACGCTGTGTCTGGGCATGACAGGCAGTGGCTCTGGGGTGTTTTCATCTACTTCTCTCCAGAAGGAAAGGCAGACTGCAACGCGGTCATTCCAGTGAGGTGAATCACTTCCCCACTTCCTTCCTTTTCACTCATTATCAGCATAATAAAAAGTAATACACTATCATTCACTAAGCATTTAACACATAGCCGGCCTGTACCTAGTGCTATACTTCTTGTCTAAATATAAATGGAATGACAAGCTAGGTGAGAAACTTGCTCAGAGATCCTATTTTCTCTACCTTGATACTATCATCCATCAATCAAAAGGTCTGGAAAACAACACCCTATGAGCGTCCTCCTCTGACGCTGGAGGACAGCTCGCCTCCCTCACTGACCTTGCACTCTCGGAAACCAGCAAGCTTGGGGCGACAGCTCATCTCCACGCAGGCCTTACCTATCCGAACCGTTCCAGCAACACTCAAACTTGTCAAAGATGCAGTCGTTCTCATAGAGAGAGCAGAGCTTGCTGCGCAGGTACTCGTGGACCTGGTGGGTCTCCACCGGCCTGCTCTCCATGTTGAGGTCCCACACCTTCACCGACAGGTAGTCTCTGGTCATCATGTACCGCCCACTATGACTGAATTTTACATCGGATATGGATGAAATTATTTCTGAGAAGAAGGACCTACTGCTGGGATCTTCAGGCTCTTCAAAAACTGAAAAACAAAATAAAATGTTTTCAGCTTCTGTTTAAAAATCAGAGAACAAATCATTTTCAAGTTCAAGTAGGAAGTGGCCCCTTCAGAGAGACTCTGGAAGGGCTTGGCCTCAACACTAGGTCTTCTGATCTTTCTGATTCTCTAGGTTTTCTGATCTTCTGTGACTTCCGTGGGCAAGAGCTTCGGATAAGACATTCTAGCACCAGCTATGGACAAGGGATGGGCATGAGAAGCGTAGACGCCCAAGTCTCACCCGGACCCTGAATGAGAATCTCTAGGCAAGGTCCTGGGCACTGCCATCTGTGGGAGCTCCTCGGGGCATCCTGATGTGTGCCCAGGTTCAGCACCACCGCATTCCTGTAGGAGTGTCTCCGCGTCCTCATGGCACCAGGCCCGAGCACGTGAAATTCTATCGCATACACATCACAGGAAGACACAAACAGCATTATATGGTCATGCAGACACAGCGGTCTGTGCCTCTAAGAAACTGCCTGCTTTTTGGAGGGTCGACAGTTTGTGGGTCTGCAGGAGTGACCACCTTGACTGGCAACGCTGTGGTCCTGATTTTAACCACCAAGACGGTCCCGCCGGTCAAAGCCAGCCAGCCAAGGTTTGTCTCCAATACTGAATATACACAAGCTCTACTGTGACAAAACTGGATTCCTATTTTCAGAAAGATCCTCCCGCCTCAACCTCCAGGGTAGCTGGGACCACAGGTGAGCACCACTGCACCTGGCTTGTGCTTCCTTGACCTGAAGCTGCTTTAGGTTTTTTCTCTTTTTTCTTGATGCAGGAGCCTGTGTTTGTCGGCTTAGCATCTGAAATTAACTTGAAGCCAGCTGTGCCGACGCCAAGCATTTACTCAAATAAATCACTCTGATGACAAATAGAACTGGAATCTGAAATTATTTACTCAAGAATTTTATGCTTAAGATACAGGCCAAATGCTACGAAACACTCATCCTCATCGCAGGAATTCTAGTAGAAATACGAATTCTTAAAAACACACTCAACCTCAGGAAAGAGAACAGGCGAAAAGGCTGCTGCACACGGTCCATGGGCACATTCCACCGAGGCACTGGGGGCGCCGCTGCACATGAGCAGCGGCTCAGTCTGGTGGGATTGACTGGCGGCTTCCCCATCAGAGGAAGTCACTGGACGTGTGTCTACCTGCTGGCACTGGAGGAAGGGTCAGCAATGTTTCAGGACACTGGGACACGCTGACTACAGTGCTCTATAAAGTCAAGCCCATTCTTTATGGCTAAAAATAAAAACAAAACCAGAACCTCCCTCACCTAAAAGGAGCTTGAAAGCTCACTGGATTAAAATGCTAGACTTTCAGCTAAGGGAAGTGGCT
The DNA here is from genome assembly GCF_000001405.40 of Homo sapiens. Lineage (NCBI taxonomy): Eukaryota > Metazoa > Chordata > Mammalia > Primates > Hominidae > Homo > Homo sapiens. Next base: position 131,946,169 of record NC_000010.11, on the reverse strand, counting down.
TCCAATCCAGCCAAGCTCAACATGAACAGGAGCTCATTCCAACAGCTGGGAATGGCCTCCTGTGTGCTGGCGGCCTCAGCCCAGGTCTCACGCACAGAGGCAGAGGCAACGGGTGGCTCTTGGCGGGACTCAGTGCTGGCAGCCTCTGAG